>NC_000005.10:100109807-100734807 GCF_000001405.40 Homo sapiens | reverse complement strand
GGACCCTGAGATATTTCAGTAAATTCAACTGAGGAAATAAAACCTGACCTTCCATGTCCTAGAAAGTGAGCAATTTGTTACTCTGTGTTGTTTGGGAGGTGGGTCTCCTCTTGTCTGTCTCCCTCTGCACATTGGCTCCACCTGCTTCTGAAGTTGGGCTTTATATTTTTACTCATAGCTTCTCTGCACAGGTGAAGACTCCTCTGGCTACACAACATTCCTTTTTACCTTTCCCTGCTTTATATTTCTCCACTGCACCATCTTATATACTCCATACCCTCCTTGTCTATTTACCATCACTTTCCCTGACCAGGTGGCATCACAGAGGAGGTATATTTATCAGTTTGATTCACTGCTGTGTCCTCAGTACTTACTTAGTATTTGACACATATAGAGCCTCAATAAATATATGTTGAATAAATTAATGAGTGATTAATTAAATGGAGACTTCTTCAAAAACTTAAACTTTTTCCTGATGATTTGAGATTTACTGATATTGATCAGGAAATTAGTTCAAGCTCAAGCTTCAGTATTTCTCTTTGTTGTATTTGACAAAAAGAATTTGCATTTACCTATTTTTAGGCTTCAGATATATATTTTTTTCTTAATTCTCTGGAATAACTAATATCACTAATTTCTTAACTTCAAGTTTATTGTACTGAGGTAGCGTCATGATCAAATGGAAAGACCAATATACTTGGAATTACAGATTTGAAGTGGCATCCATACATTAAACCCAAGGGATTTATTGTTTTAAGTGGTGAAACATGCAAAAGATATAGCCCATTTTAAAAGTGGTAATTATTAATTTTTTCTATGAAAGTGTATCTTGTTCATGACTATTAAAATTGTTTCTAATTTAAGGCTATTACATGTATGAACATTCTGCTATGAACATTCATGTATGTTCATAGCAGTTTGGGACATGTGCTGTCATTCCCTTGGGTAAATACTAAAGAGCATAATGGCTGGATCCTATATAAGGTTTATGTTTAACTTTTTAAGGAAGTGCCAAATTCTTTCCAAAGTTAGGTAGTACTTTACATTGCACCAGTGGTATGTAAAAGTTCTAGATCCTCTGCATCACTGTCAACACTCATCATGTCTCTTCTTTCTAAATTTAGCAATTCTTACAGGTGCACAGTTATACATCACTGTTGTTTTAATTTGTGTAACCAATGATATTCAACATTTATTCTTGTGCTTATTTTCCATCCACATATCTTCTTTGATGCAAAATCTATTAAAATATTTTGCTCACTTAGTTGTGTAATATTATTCAGTTTTGAAAGCTCTTTATTCTGGATATAAATCCCTTTTCATCCTTTTCATATATATTATTAAAAGTATTTTTCTCAATGCCTTTCGTGTGTGTGTGTGTGTGTGTGTGTGTGTGTGTGTGTGTGTGTATACACACACACAAAGGTAGACTGCTGCCTCATCCAGTGCCTCATTGGGATGTGTCTGGAGTCTTGGAAGCCTTATTACCCACGTCCTCCTACAAATAGACCTTGAGAGCTTGTTTGGAGATTCTAGCAGGGGAGCACAGCTACTCGTATACCCTTGACAGAAGACGCATCTTCCTCTATCAAGGATGGTTGTCCTCTTCTGCCAAGCATGCAGCTTCAGGAAGAACGCACATGGAGCAGTGAGGGAGGAAGGGGACACACACCTAGCCAGCTACGTCAGCCAAATCAACCCTGATGATCAATGGGGTGACAGATGTCACAGCCAGATCGCCTTCACATCCTGCCTTTATTAATACATTCTCTTAATGGTGTTAGTAAAGGAACGTTTTTTAATTTTAAAGAAACTACATTTATCAATATTTTATTTTGTAGATAATGCTTTTGGCATCATATCTAAGAAATATTTGCCTATCCCTGGGTCCTAAAAATGTCCTATGTTTTCTTCTAGAAGTCTTACAATTGTAAGTTTTATCTTCAAGTTTATAACACACTTTGAGTTAATGTTTGTATATGGTATGAGTTATGGATTTAAGTCAGGTTATTTTAACTTAAGGATTTCCAATGGTTTCAGTAACATTTACTGAAAGACTATCTTTTTTTCACTAAATTGTCTTTGTAATTTTGTTGAAAAGAAGTTGTCAATTTCTTGGTTCTTTTTCTGGATTTTGTATTTTGTTCCAATAGTCAAGTTTTTATTCATTATCTCAATGCCAAACTGTCTTGTTTATTGTACTTTTATAATAATTCCTAAAATCAGTCAGTGTTCATCTTCCAATTTAACTCCTCTTTTTCAAACTCTCTTTTGGTAATTGTAGGTTCTTTGAATTTTTGTATAAATTTTAGGACAATCTTATAAATTTATACTAGAAAACTGCTGCTTTTTTCACTTGGGATTGTGTATTGAATCTATGGTTCTATTTGAGAGCAACTGATAGCTTAACAATACTGAATCTTCAACCTGTGAACATAATGTACTTCTCCATTTATGCAGGTCTTTAACATTTTTTCTCAGCTATTTTTGATGGTTTTCAACATGTAGTCATCTTACATCTTTAAAAATATGTATTTTACATATTTCATAATTTTCATGTTACTTTAAATGGTATTTTTAACATTTCAACTTCTATTGATAGTGTGTAGAAATACAGTTATTTTGTATTTAAGAGTATTGTGATATTCTGTTATTTTTGCTTGTTTGTGTGTTCAGCACCTTCGTGCATTTTTAACTACTTCCACAGAAACCGGTGATTTTCTACTCGACAGAGATTGAGAATTTTAGCAGAAATAGAAGAGAGGTACTCCTCCATCAAAGTGAAACCACAAAAATCTTGTTTACCTTGCACTTTCTGTTTAAACACGGTTGGACCACATAGCAGCCAGATCAGTTAGAAAGGCTGCTCTTTCTTCTTCCTGTCCCTGTCTTCTCCCATCAGTGCACAAATTCTAAACCACGGGACTACTTGACTCTCCATTCTAGGGTGGCTGTGCTAGGAGTCCGTGTTCCTATAATGGATACATTCATGTACTTGGAGAATATGATCCCATGTCTATTTCCTTTAGAGAGAAGCTCTGAAAATATATTTGATAGTGAATGATCTGGAAGATTATTCCAATTTACCCTTCCAACATCTGTTTTCATGATCTCCTTTTTCTGCACTGTTTCTTCTACACTATATATTCTGCCACAGAGTGGCAAGGATAATTCAACTTGAGTATATTTTAGGTTAAAAAAGTGTTATCGACTTTTTCATAAATTATAATATACCTCTATGTATCTTTTTCCCCTTTGCATTTTTATTTAGGTTATCATGTTCTATAAATTTTATCAAATAATACAAATTAGATGAGAATGTGAAGATAGTTGATTTAAACGAGGATATCTAATTTATATGAGGATAATAGTTAATATACTATTTTTTGGTAAGGTATTAATTTGTGTTCTTAAGTTGAACTTTTATAGTTCACTATCCTATTTAAATGACAAGAGCACAAGAATTAAAGCAAGTAAATATTGAAATTCTAAAAACCCTTCCTGAAAATTCCAAGTTTTATCAAGGAGCTAATTTTTACAAAAGACTAATTTTGTACATATTTTAATTTTCTAAAATATGACGTGCCACTTCTTGTGTGTGTTTCAGTGTTTGTGAGTGTTACATATTCTGTTTCCTGAAAATAACTTGGTTTATTCAGCAAAATACAGTTCTGTTTTTTGAAGCAAACTAGATTCCTTCTTTTCAAAGTTTGATAGAAAGCATAGATATTTGCCTCTGAAGTTTTCCATAATTAACTTGGTTTGGAAGATATGTTTGAAAGTATTGATTAAATTATGTCCTTTTTCCACCTTTGTTTTTTGTTTTTTGTTTTTTGTTTTTTTTGAGACAGAGTCTCTCTCTGTCGCCCAGGCTGGAGTGCAGTGGGGCGATCTCGGCTCACTGCAACCTCCGCCTCCCGGGTTCATGCCATTCTCCTGCCTCAGCCTCCCAAGTAGCTGGGACTACAGGTGCCCCCCACCACGCCCGGCTAATTTTTTGTATTTTCATTAGAGACGGGGTTTCACCGTTCCTTTTCCTACATTTAAGCTCTCAGATAATTGAGAATATGCAATAACAAGGAAATGAGATACTAGACCAATTTGAACTAATATAAACAAATTTCCAATATTCATCTCAAGCATAAAAATACTTATGGGATCATGTTGGGCTTAGTTCTTAATTAGATCTTGAAGCTCATTTTCTTAACCACATTCCAACAACTTTGAATGACATTTTAAATACTCTGTTGCCTTGGTGTTTTATATCAATTAGCATTGTTGTTTTCTAGCTTACTTATTATTTTTTACTTATGAATTTATTAGTCTAATGACTTCATATGTATTATATGCTCATATTACCAGATGAATTTTGAGTAAGTTTTTAAATTATTTTCATTCTTCTTTAGTTAAATGGTCTCTACAGAAAACAAGATAAATTTGCATATATTCCATATGCATGCTGAATTGAGAATGCAGGTTTTTCTTAAGCAATACCCAAGGTAGTTATTTAATACTCAAGCATTTTGGCAATTTCTTTATATGCTGCTGTTGACTTTTACTGGACTAATTTCTCTATAGGCAAAAGTAAATGGCCAGTGTTAACTCAGAAGATTTTACAAGTTTGTAGTTTTACATAATTATACATAAAATAAGTCATTCAAATTTGAAGAAGTATTGAAGTTTTAATAAATTATGTTAAGTCAAGTTTAAAATCAAATGTATGCTGATTTGGGTCCAATAATAGGGATAAAATATTAAAAATTAAAAAAAGAGAAGAAACAACAAAACAGTAGAAAATGGAGAACCTAAGATTAGCAGTTGGAATTTAGATGATGTATTAATTTTTCTGGAAATCCATGTTGTTTTCTTCATTGTGTCACTTACAAACAAATATATCAAATAGTGCTTTATCAAGATAGTATTCATTTTTATATTTCTGCATTAATTAATCAAACATTTATTCAACAACATCTGTGTGCCAGATACTTTGGTAGGTACTGAGCATGCAAAAAGGAGCCAACAATATAATGGGGTAAAAACCTAGATAAGCAACTGACTCCATTCCTGTAGAGTAGTAATACTGTCTGCCTAACTTGTAATGATTCTTTAACTTTTAGCCGTAATATCACTTTTTGTAGACATTGTTCCTTGAGTAATATTCCTTACTTTCAACTGTATTAAGAGACACTACTAGGTATTTCCTCAACATTCTGTTCTTTCTTTATTGTATCACTTACCACACTTTAATGTAAATGCTTGTTTTAAAATCAAACATTCTAAGCTTTGGCAGGACAGATCAAAACTGCCTTGCTCATATTTATACCCCTTGTTCCTATCACAATACTTGGTGCGTGGTGTATGTTTACTATAAGTAGTTGAATGCATGCAAAAGGAAGAGGGAGGGAGAGAAATGCAGAGAGGAGAAACAGGGATAATGAAGGAAAAAGAAGAAAAGGAGTGAGGAAGACAAATCTCACACTGAAAACCTCCATTAAAGTCTGTTTTGGATTAAATTCTCAATTTATTTTCAGATAAGTCAAATTTACAGATAGAATAAACAATAGAAGAAGCTAAAATTCCTAAAAAATATTATTTCCCCTAAATATGCTCTGGCGAGGGTTCTGGAGACAAACATGCACATGAGGTCTCATTCTACTTTCAATCTACCACCAAACTATTTAAACAGTTTGAAGAAAGCTCAGTAACAAAATCATAGATAAAAATGTCTATATTCATGTATCAGTCAAATGTCTACCTAAGCAGACCAAGATGTAGGAAAATTTCAAAATGTTATCTATCTAAACAGACTGTATAAGATACCACTTAGAAAAATCCAAAAGTCATTTTCATGTAACAAATCCAATGTCAGAATTCCAAATAAAATATTTCCAAATGGGTAGGAAATTATATATATATAATTTTTATATATAAAAAATATATAAATTATATATATAATTTTTTACATAAAAATTATATATATTTAATTCTATATATTATATTATTTATATAAAACTGTTAAAATTATATATATAATTGTATATAATATATTATAAATAATATATAAATATATATTATTATATATAAACATATAAATATATATTATTATATATAAACATATAAATATATATTATATATAATATATAAATATAAATATTATATAATAAAAAATTATGTATAATTATATTTAATTTTAGGTTAACTTCACACTATGAAATATATATGTATGTACATACATACATGTATATATGTATATACATATATAAATATTATATATAATATAATATATAATATATAGAATATATTTATATAAAATTTATATATAATTTATATATTTATATAAAATTATATATAAAAGTATATACAATTATATATAATTATATTTAATTTTAAGTTAACTGCGCTATGAAATATATATATACATGTATATGTATTATGTACATAATTTTATATTATATATATAATATTTATATTTATATATGTATACACATATACATGTATATATGTGTATACATATATATTTCAGTGTGAAGTTAACTTAAAATTAAATATAATTACATGTACATATATGTATGTACATATATACATTTTCATGTGCATATATATGTATATACATATATGTACATAATTTTATATTATATATAATACATTATCCTTATATTTATATATGTATGTACATATATACATGTATATATGTACATACATATATATTTCATAGTGCGAAGTTAACTTAAAATTAAATACAATTACATGTAGATATATGTATGTATTTATATACATTTTCATGTGCATATATATGTATATACATGTACGTACATATATACATGTATATATATGTATGTACATATATATATTTCATAGTGCAAAGTTAACTTAAAATTAAAACAGAAGGTTTTATCTTTTCTTTGGTACATTTTCTCTCTGATGCTGTATTTTCAATATTTTTTACAGCTAACATACATTATATTTCTACTTACACAAAATAAAGACAAATGTTAATAAAAATAACAATGTGGAATTGAAATAACCATAAAATCATAAAGCAAAATATTCTCATGTTCATATTTGAATATATACATAGCTATATATGTCCACTGATTGTCTTTGTTAAGAATAACGTAGTATATATTGAATTATGCCCTATTTAATCAAAGAGATTATTTTTCTAAACTGGGCATAGATTTGCCTTGCCCATATATTCTTTGTCTATATCATTTTATAACTTTGCTGCAACATCTTCTGGAAATTATTATTACAGTTAAAAATTGAAATACCTGGGTCAAAAGTTTACATATTTTCCAGGATCTTGAAATATTTTGATACATACTTGCTAGACAGGTTGCCTATTTCATCATTTCTATATTAAAACTGATTATTATAATTCTTAAAATATGTGCTAACTTGATAGTAAATAAATGATGGCTTACATATTCTCACTTGAATTTTATATTTGTTGATAGGATGACTAAATACTCCTTTATGTATTAATTAGAGGATTTTTGTACTATTAGTTTATTTGCATTATTTTATTCATATTATTTATGTATTTTTGTTTCATACTTTGTAAATTACTTGTGTAAAATATTTTTGCAAATCAAAATTAAGCTGTCATCTTTATTCAGCAATATTTAAGCCTATTATATAAAGATATATGGAAATATTAAGTTGATCCAGATAGAGAAGCATTTTGAACCCAACTTGACAAATTAATATGTCTGAGTCATAAATAAACTATCTGGATTGCATTTACATGCTGAACTTTTAATCATTAGTCTAAGCTTAAGCTATATCAATCTATATTCAGCTACCGGAGCTTGGAAAATTGAAATATAAAATTAACAAGGTAGAAGTTTTGCCAATAAATCTGTTATTTTTACTGCAATACAGGGTAACCATTTATAGTACTAAGAAGAGTTGCTTTCAATCTCTAATATGCTTCTTTTGAAATAGCATCATTGTGTTTGTGGCAGTAAATGGTTCAAAGTGCACCTAATACATTCAGAGTTCACCAAATTCTTTGCATTTCCAATCTGACCCACATCATATTTATTGGGCTATAATGACTATGGAACACAACAAATTCAGGATGTTTCTGGAAAGGCAAAACCTCTTCTATTAATAATGCAGCAGTTGAACATTAAAGTACTGTCACTATGCTAGTTTATGATGTGATAAAATTGTTAAAAGTACATTACTATGTAACTACAGAGGTATATTGGGCCATAAGTGTATTTTAAGTACTAAAGAGAAAAAGGAATTAGATAAGGAATAAGATAGCTTTTATAAAGGTTAAAAAAAAGAGGCATATTATGTGCTATCAGACAGGAATGATAGTTTGTGTTTATGTAGTGTGCATTGCTAAATTCTGTGTGTGTGTACATGCATGTGCCCATATGTGTTTATCTGCACACACATATGTGTGTGCTCATGCAACTATGTGTAAAGGTGGCTTCCAGATTTCTCAGCTTGTAGGCGAAGGTGCTAAAGACATATACAGTGGGTGAAAGGAAGTATGGTGACTGTATGAAGTCAGGGTATGAATATTTCTGAGAATAAAGCAGAGAGTAGAAAAACGTAAGTGTCCATAACTACTGGTAAACCCTGCAAGATGTAGACTAGTTTGTAGCACAGTGCTGATTTCTCTCATAGAAATTATAGATTTAAATAAAAAATTGATTTTGAGAGTATTTGTTTTGTCTGTATTTGTTTTCTATTGCTGTGTTACAAATTACCACATTTGGTGTCTTAAAACAGCACACACTTATTATATAACTGTTTCTGTGCCTCAGGAGTCCAGGCACAGCTTAGCTGGGTTCTCTGCTCAGGGTTTCACAAGGCTGCATTCAGGATCTCTACCAGGCTGCTTTGACATCAATAAGCTTCATTAGGGAAGAATTTGCTTCCACGTTTATTCAGGTTGTTGATAAAATGTATTTCCTTAGCATTGTAAGATTCAGGTGGCTGTTTTCTAGCTGGATTTTGGCTGGGGTGACTCTTAGCTCACAGAAGTCACCTGCAATTCTGTGCCATGTGGCCCTTTCAAGACCAGGAGGAGAATCACTCCAATCTCAAGAAGGGCGCAGTTGCTCATTTAAGGGCATTAATTTGAATAATTAGGCCCACCAAGAATGATCTTTCTTTTGCTTAATCAAAAATCAGCTGATCTCATTGAACTAAAAATCAACCTGAATTTCATCTGCAAAATCTATTTATCTTTGCCCTATATATCACAGGAGTAACATCGTATCATATTCACAGTTTTCACCATACTCCAGAGTGTCATTATACGGGGCATGGGCATATGCCACAAGAAGCTGAATCTTGAGGCTCACTTTACAATTCTGCCTGCCGTGGTGTCCAAGCTATTTTAATAACTGATTATTCCTCCAATTACCAATATTGTCATTTGTTTAGAAAATGTTTCCAATTTTCTTTTATTACATCATTCTAATTCTCTTACTTTTATCTATTCCATTGCTTCATTTCTTGATTTTTTCACTGTGCCAAGACCCTTAAAATTGATAAACTATTACACAGAACTGCTGGCTGCGGCTTAGCCTTCCCCTATAACCCACTGACCACTTCTGTACACCGTACCTTGTAGAGGCAGCATGAAAAAAAGAAAGTAAATACATTTCCTACAGACAGATCTGAGTTTGAATCTTGATTATCTTACTAATTATAAGGTCTTGAGTAAGTGATTTTATATTTTGAGTTGCAGTCTCCATGTCTGTTAAGAGAAATCAGTGTTTACTTTTGTTATAACTAGAAGGAGAAACTATATAATGCATGCATAACACCCAGTAGAATAATTGGCTCATAGAAACTAATCGATAAATGGAAACCCATTCTCTGAGTACAAATATCCTTTAGCACTGGTTCTAGGTCTCACACTGCTCAGGTTTTGTATAAATAATAAATTCTATTTATCAATAACATCTATGTTCTAGACCATGTATTAAGTATATTCTTCACAATTATCTCATTGAATGATGTATTACTTTCCTCTGGTTGCTATATTAAGTTACCACAAACTTGGCTTAAAACACGAAGTTATTGTTTCATAATTCTGGAAGCCAGGAGTCCAATACCAAGGTGTCAGTAGGGCCATACTCCCTCTGAAGGCTTGAAGAGAGAATCCATTCCTGACCTCTTTTATGTTATGGTGGCTCCAGGTGTTGCCTCCCTTGTGGCCACATCACGTCAATCTCTGCCTCCATGGTCACATTATTTGCTCCTCTTCTGCATGACTCTCTTCTGTGTGTCTCTTGTAGGGATACTCATATTAGATTTAAGGCCCACCCAGTTAATCCAGGATAATTTTCTTATCTTAAAATCCTTAAATTAACTTCACATGCAAATACCCCTTTTTCCTAAATAAGATATCATTCACAGGTTCTAGGGATTAAAACAAGAGTATTCTCTTTAACGGACATCATTTAGCCCACTACCAGTAACAATCTAAATTTTAAGTACTACTATTATTTCAATTTTATTGAAGAATTAGCCATGTCTCAGAGATGTTTAAGTACTTTTCCCAAAGTCATAGAGCCAATTAGTGGTATAAGGGTTGGGAGGGGGGCTAGGTATACATTTCTGACTTCAACCTTGTGCCCTGAAACCCCCACTGTGCAGTATGCTCTGGCACAAGGAAGCAAGTCCTAGAACTCTTGGGAAATCATATCTTGGAGGACACATCCATCAGTAAAAAAAGAACATTTTACTCTTTTTCTCCTTACATAAGCTTAGCTTGACTTTCTGAAACTGTCAACATTATTTCTTCTAGTGAAAATTAACCTGAGTGTGGGAGTGAGAGTTGAATTGCTTTAAATTTGAAGATGTCAAAGTGAGGGTCGAGTAGATGCCTATCTTGGTTCTTTAATTAGAAGATCTTAGAGTTCGGTGCTAAGGATTAAAAAGCAGGGTGAATCACTTTACCTTTGTGCTGTGATCTTTGATGCTTTGTTGCTGACCCTTCACTACCACAAATTACAAAGGTCAGAAACTATTTGGAAAAGAAAGTTTGATGTTATGAAGAAGCACGTTGCCTCCCATGCTTCCCCACCATTCCACTTTTGTCTCATTTTTCCAGCTAACCTAGATTCCTTTCATCTACATACTGTATTTTATTGGCAATTATGATAATTGGTTAATATGTCTCAATTTGTACCTATATTTTTTCTAATCAGAATAAATTTCCTTCCTTATAAAACTCTTACCAGATCATCTAATTAGAGTCTTCCCCCAACCTCAGCAACTAGAATTCACTTTTATGTATTTGCACTGCATATGTATTTTTGTGATGACCATAGAATAAATGTACAAGTCACACACTTTAGTAGAAAAGTCTTGGGCTGGGATAACAATTGTTGTCTATGTTCTAGTTTCAGTTCTGCATTAATTAATTGCATGCCCTCATCTGAAGGCCAAGGTGACTTTTTATGCTTTTGCTTTATTTGCAAAACTGAGATAATTACTGTTTCCTGACTCAAGGCATTATTATAAGTATAAAAGAACTTACAAAGTAGATGTCAAAATGCTCAGAAAACAAAAAAGTTGTATGATTTTAACCAAAAAAAGATAAAAGAATACAAAACAATTGAAATAAATAAATTAAAAATCTACAGAATTATTTGGATGTTTTTCTAAGTCAGGAGATTCTCTACAGTTATCATAGTCTATTTACATGCCTTGGCATTCTCTGCTAATGACATTGGGATAATCAAGATTTCAGAAGATTTTTCATGTTGTTAAGTATAAATTTGACTCTACTGAAGATAATTCCTCCTATAATGGCAATTCTGCAAATTCTAAGAAATGCCTTTGGAAACTGATTCTAGCCTCCATTTCCTCTTAGCCCTAATTTGCAGGATTGTTGCCACATTTACTCTCTGTGAAAGCTCATCAGCCAACTCCAGGGAGCTTTAATTCTCAGGCAGTAACATCAATAGATAAGTGGTTGAATAGTAACCAAGTATGCAGCCCCCTTCCAAGAGAAGGTGAAGATATTTGTAGTGTGAATGAAGGCAATTCAAAAGTATTTAAACTCAAATGATTAGTGGAACTGTCCAGGGACCAAAGGGACTTAAGTGGATGTGATAAAGATCCACCTGCTGTTTTTTAGAGAGAGTTCACATTTAAAACACAAAATAATTAAGTGTTTTAATTTTGATCCCCCTAGTGCTTCTCCTTTTAAGAACACAGCAGGGTGGGTGAACATAATTGGCATCATTTGGAAGGTTGAGTGCTAAGGTTGTAGCAAGTTCTCTGTTTGTAGATGAAAAATGACATTTTGGTTTAACATCTTGCTATACTTATCCATACTTTGCTCCTATTCTAATTTTTAAGCAGAAAGATTGTGCCTACCTCAACTTCAAAAAGCAGCCTCAAATCTTCAAAAGCTAGGGTAAACTACGTCTTTCATATGAGAGACTTAACAGTATGTTCACCTGGGAAGAAACCCAGGCAAAAAATGTTTGTGTGTGTGTGTCTGTGTCTGTGTGTGTTCTCTGATATCACTGTAACTCAGACAAGATGTTACACTACCTTTATAGTTTTATTTCACTCTAAAACTCACTCATGTATTATTCAAGGCCTTCTATGGTCCCTTTGATTTCCTAGTTAACTAAATCTTTGAATTAGGCTCACATACCAGGAATAATTGAATAACAAAATAGACCCTTTTTCAGTTGATACAGTAATAATAGAGAAATATGAAAGAAGAAGCTCATCTTAAAAACAGAGTCAGACTTCTTTACCAATGCACTGAAATTTCATTCCAAAATAGTGCCTGTCATGTTGTAATTTGCTTTCTATAAATAGTTGAAGGTTAAATAAATGAACAAGTTTTCTGCATTATTTATTCCTGTCATGTAACACAGCATGGCAGCTTCTGACCCTGCCCTCAGCTATATAGCTTGAAGATAAGATGATAGACATGGAATGGGTTAGATTCAGTGTTTCTGTGAGGATATTTCTATTTGATTTACCAATGTCAAACAAATGTTTTCTTTGTGTTGCAGTTAGAGGTGTGTTGAATTAAGAACCTAAAGACCTTGATTCTATATGGTATTCGAATACTTGACCTATTTATCTCATATACAAAATGGAGATATAAGCCTATAAATCGTTGACATTTTGGCACGGGTGTTTGTTAATGAAAAACAGTATGCAGCCAATACAACTATTATATTTTTTTCTAAACAATAAGATAGGGCTATGTTATTTAAAACAATAGCTAAATATTAATTCACCACATTCATTAATATTTCAACCAGGGACTTTTTTTTTGAAATTTATCATTTTTTTAAAAAATTGATGTATAAATGTATATGTATTTATTATGTACAATATGATGTTTTGAAGTATATATACATTATGGAATGGTGAAATCTAATTAACAAATTAATTACCTCAAATAGTTATCAGTTCTGTGGTGAGAACATTTAGCATTCACTTTCTTAGCATTTTAAAAAATACAATATATCATCATTAACACTGGTTACCATGCTATACAGTAGACCTTGAACTTATTCCTCATATCTAACTATATATATGTATCTTTGACTAACATTCCCCAACTCCTTATCCCCCACTAACCACTCCAACCTCTGGTAAACCATTCTACCACCTTTTTACTCTCTATTTCTATGAGATTGATGTTTTTAGATTCCAAAGCCAGGAACTATTCTTCAATCAGTTCACCATTCCACATAATTATTCTTATATTTTTATTTATTTATCTAATATAATGCATTGTTGTAACCCAACTATAATTGATTAGTAAATAAATAAATACAACAAGATTTTTCTTGTTTCAAGGGAAACAATTTTTAGAGATGTTTTAAAATTGGGACATCAAAAAAATCACAGCACTGTAACATTGTAAAAGGGGAGATAAATTGGGAATAAAATTAAAATACACAATTTTAGAAATAATGAAACTAGGAATGCAAAATATTTGAAGCTTGTTGAAAGTAGTAATCTTCCAAATCAAAATGGCTTAAGAAAAAATAAAGCATGGCGTGGACATTATTGCATCACAAAATGAATGTCCAGAAATATTTTGAACTTTAGTTATAGCATATCTGGATCAAGTGCTTAAATAATATTGACAGAAAATGTTTTTCTCTCCATCTCTTGGCCCTGCTGCCATCTATGTTGGCTTCATTCTCTGAAGGGAAATTTCCTAGTGCCAAAATGGCCATTGAAAGACCCAGGCTTACTTTCAAAATCTAGCAACCTAAAGCAGAGTTTGCCTTCTATCAATAATTAAAGAAAAAGCCTCAAGACTGAGGCCCATTCTCTTGGACTGATCAAGCTAAGTTCACATGTATACTTCTGAACCAATCACTATGGACAGGGGAATATGGGAATCTCACTAGCAGCTATGGATGTTGAGACCAATCCAGGAGGTAGAAAGTGGGGTGAGGATTATTGAATCCTAGGTGCAAAAAATCAAAATAATGAGCAGTTACATAAAGAAGGGATAACCAATGCTGCAAAGGCAAAAATCAATAAATGTCCACTACAGAAAGGGGCACAGCATTAACATAACTTTTTAGAGAATGGAATAAACTGTTTCAGAGAAACACAAGAAATATAAGAAGACATCAAATCCTCATTAAAATTAATCTTACAGGATATTATACTGCAGAGTGAGTACTGTCAGTTACTTGCAAGATGCTCAAGAAGATGTCAGAAGAGTAAGGTTGATAATAAGAAAACACAGATGCAAACCTGTTTTTGGCATACCTCAGGAAGAAAATTTTAAAATTCAGGCACAAGGAAGCTTCAGGTCACAGTTAAATTCATTGTTATAGTACTATTTGGTAAGTAAGTATTTAGTTCATCCAGCACCATGTAGCACTAAGGAAACTGGAAGTATTTTAATGACTGTAACCAGCATTATAGTGACATATTTGAAAGCGTGAGTTCTGGAGCTGAATTGTCTGATTTGAATCCTACATTTTCTCTTTGATATCTATGTAAACTTGAGAGAGGTATATATTCTCTGTGTCCCTTTGTTTACTCATTTAAAATATATATAGCCAGGCGCGATGGCTCATGCCTGTAATCCCAGCATTTTGGGAGGCCGAGGCAGGTGGATCACCTGAGGTCAGGAGTTCAAGACCAGACTGGTCAAGATAGTGAAACTTCACCTCTACTAAGAATACAAAAATTAGCCGGGCATTGGTGACACGAACCTGTAATCCCAGCTACTTGGGGGGCTGAAGCAGGAGAATCGCTTGAACCCAGGAGGCGGAGGTTGCAGTGAGCCAAGATCGCGCCGCTGAACTCCAGCCTGGGTGACAGGGCGAGACTCCATCTCAAAAAAAAAAAAAAAAAAAAAAAAAAAAAAAAAAAAAACATAAATAATGTATATAGTATTAGAAACGAATTTATAGGGCTTTCTCAAGAGCTGTGAATAGTCTGAAAGTTTAAGGTTGTCTCAAGCTAACAAATTATCCTGTTATAGTTTCATGAATGCTGATAGAAGACAAAAGCCTCCTAGGTCAGAGACAAAGTATTTAATTTTTCATGGCACATGCCATTTCTTCTTTCCCTCAAAGTCCCATCAGAGCAACGTGGAGAGGTTCAGATGGATGATACACATATGGTGAATTTGTGTTACAGCTGAGGATCCCTGAGGGTAGGAAAGTCCAGTCTTTTCTAATAAGCTGCAAGCAAACCTACCTGAATATTTTTTCCTGAAAGGAGACATAATCTTTATTTTATGGGGCAAAAAGCAAACTAGTTTTTGCTCGGGAAGAAGACAAAATATCTGTCTTCCAAGGCTGTTCCCTACACAAACATTTTTAAAAAGATAATCCAAAATAAAAAGGCAGCTATTACCTCTAATTCCAATAACAAAAGAAATATAAGAGATCTATAAAGGATTTTTTCTTATGTCTCTCAGCAAGTTGTAAGTGAATAAACACATTTTTATTATTAAATATTTTAAACTATTATTATAGTTACATATTTTATTGATCTATTTAGCTGTCATGTATATGATTTATTATAATCATATCTGACTGGCCCAATTAGTGTGAATAAGACAAGTAAAATTGTATAAGGGCACAGGTGTTCAGAAATTGAATTAGGTCCCAGAATAAGTTCCTAGTAAGTAATCATTTTATTTCTTTGTTCTTTTCTTAATAGAGCTTACCTCAGGTTTAGAAGTTTCCCACTTTCAATTTATTTCCCCCATGCTGACTGCTATAGTTGGAATGTTCGTCCCTTCTAAATTCACGATAAAACCTAATCCTAAATGCAGCAGTATTGAAAGATGGAGTCTTTAGGAAGTGATTGGAGTAATTAAGCCCTCACGAATGAATTAATCTATTCATGGATTAATGGACAAATGGGTTAACATGAGAGTGGGACTGGTGGCTTTATAATAATAATAAGAGAGACCTGAGCTGGCATGTTAGTAGTCTCATATCCCTCGCCTTGTGATGCCCTGCACTGCTTCGGGACTTTGAAGACAGCAACCACCAACAGAAAGGCTCTCACCGGATTGACCCCTTGACCTTGAGCCTTCCAGCTTCCAGAAGTGTAAGAATCAAATCATTTTTTAAATAAATTACTCAATTTTACATATTCCATTAAAAGCAACAGAACATAAACTAAGGCACTGACTTAATGTACTTTCATATAAGAACTTGTAATGGACAGAATAATTTAACTTCCTCTATATATGTAAACAATTTTTGTGCATTGTAAAAGAATCGTGATGATAACAATAATAATCCAGAAGAGTCCTCCATAAGAGTCCACATTATCTCTGCATAATACCTTTTCTGCTGATTTCATGAAGAATTGCTTTGTAGTTAAATTAGAAATATTGAAGAAAATTAAGAAATACTAATAGGAAAAGGTTAGATATATGAGAAAATATGAAGGTTTAAAATTGCAGAAGAAATGCTAGCATATAAAAAAATAGTCAGTGATAAGATAAAGGATTTTATTAAGTTAGAATAAAACAATTTACATCAGCCAGCCATAAAATATGACTCATTAAGTCTTTTTTACAGTTGTAGAAATAATTTTTAAAAACCCAGTATGTGAAACCAACATAGAAAATACATGGAATGAAGACCATACATCATGGGGTAATGGTGGCTAAGAATGCAACTAAACTCAAACATCCATTAATCGGCCCACCAAGGGATAACCCTGTAGCTGCCAACAAAGTTGAATTTTCTGTCAGAAGACCAGATGCTGTTCTGTTTAAATTAAAAGAAAATAAAGTCCCTGAATTAGTCTGTAGCCTGTGGCATCTATTTTCAAAAGTGGAATAAAACAATATCTAGAATAAGAATCAATAAACCTTTTGGTAAAAGCAAAAGGTTAGCAAAAAATAAAAACGTAGTAAGGGTATGCTTGGGTACATGTAGGGTTCTGTATATAAAAATCTATTGCAAAATAACAATACCTCTTAATAGTACAGTTCTTTATCCTTTTTCAATAGAATTTCCAATGTAATATATTAAAATATGTTAGTTTTGTTATGGCTATTATTCTGCCATCACTTTACAGGTAAAAAAGTTGATGTCAGAAAAAATAAGTAACCAATGACACTTAATAAAACTAATTTTAATCTAAGAACATAAATTTCCTAGAACCAAGAAAGCATCAAACTGGAAGTTAATAGATGCCAATTTATTTTGGAAGAAACTGAATCTCCGAACAGACCAATAATGAGTTCTAAAATTGAGGCAATAATAAATAGCCTTCCAACCAAAATAAAATCCAGGACCGAATGGACTCACAACTTAATTCTATTAGATGTACAAAGAAGAGCTGGTAGCATTTATGCTGAAACCTTTCCAAAAAATTGAAAAGGAGGGAGTCCTCCCTAACTCATTCTATGAGACCAGCATCATCCTGATACCAAAACCTGGCAGAGATACAACAAAATAAAGAAAACTTCAGGCCAATATCCTTGATGAATGTCAATGCAAAAATCCTCAACAAAATCCTGGCAAACTGAATCCAGCAGTACATGAAAAAGCTTATCCAACATGGTCAGGTAGGCTTCATCCCCAGGATGCAAGGTTGGTACAGCATACGCAAATCAAAAAATGTGATTCATCACATAATTAGAACTAAAGACAAAAACCACATGATTATCTCAATAGATACAGGAAAGGCTTTTGATAAAATTCAACATCCATTCATGTTAAAAACTCTCAATAAACTAAATGTTGAAGGAACATACCTCAAAATAATAAGAGCCATGTATGACAAACCTGTAGCCAACATCACTCTGAATGGGCAAAAGCTGGAAGCATTCCCCTTGAAAATCAGCTACTTTTTTTTCATTTTACAGGTAAAAAACTTGATGTCATAAAAAATAAGTAACCAGTAATACCTAATAAAACTAATTTGAATCTAAGAACATAAATGTCTTAGAACCAAGAAAGCGTCAAACTGGAAGTTAATAGATGCCAATTTATTTTGGAAAAAATTGAATCTCTGAACAGACAAATAATGAGTTCTAAAAATAAGGCAGCAAGGATGCCCTCTCTCACTACTCCTATTCAGCATAGTATTGGAAGTTCTGGCCAGGGCAATCAGGCAAGACAAAGAAATAAAGGTATTCACATAGGAAGAGAGGTAGTCAAACTATCTCTGTTTGCAGATGACATGATCCTATATTTAGAAAAATCCATAGTCTCAGCCTTAAAGTTTCTTAAGCTAATCAACAACTTCAACAAAATCTCAGGATACAAAATAATTGTGAAAAAATCACCAGCATTCCTATACACCAACAACAATCAAGCCAAGAGACAAATAAGGAACAAATCCCATTCACAATTGCCACAAAAAGAATAAAATACCTAGAAATAGAGCTAACTATGGAGGTGAAAGCTCTGCAAGGAGATCTGCAAACCACTGCTCAAAGAAATCAGAGATGACACTGACAAATGGAAAATCATTCCATGCTCAGGGATAGGAAGAATCAATATTGTTAAAATGGCCATAGTGCCTGAAGAAATTTATAGATTCAATGCTCTTAAACTACCATTGACATTCTTCACAGAACTAGAAAAACTATTTAAAATTCACATGGAACCAAAAAAAGAGCCCAAATAGCCAACACAATCTTAACCAAAGAGAATAAAACTGGAAGTATCATGCTACCTGACTTCAAACTATGCTACAGGGCTACAGTAACCAAAACAGCATGGTATGGGTACAAACACAGACACACAGACAAATGGAACAGAATAGAGAATGCAGAAATGAGACTATACACATAAAAACTATTTGATCTTTGACAAACCTGAAAAAAACAAGCAATGGGGAAAAGATTCACTATTCAACAAATGGTGCTGGGATAACTGACTAGCCATATGCAGATGATTGAAACTGGAGCTCTTTCTTACAAAATCCCTACAAAATTTAACTAGGGATAGTTTAAAGACTTAAATGTAAAATCCAAAACTATAAAAACCTTGGAAGACAACCTAGGCTGTACCATTCAGAACATAGACATGGGCAAAAATTTAATGAGAAAGAAGCCAACAGCAATTGCAACCAAAGCAAACAGCAATTGCAACCAAAGCAAAAATTGACAAATGGGATCTAATTAAACTAAAGAACTTCTGCACAGCAAAAGAAACTATCAACAGAGTAAACAGACAACCTACAGAATGGGAGAAAATGTTTGCAAACTATGCATCTGACAAAGGTCTAATATCCAGCATCTATAAGGAAATTAAACAAATTTACAAGAAAAAAAACCACCCTATAAAAAAGTTGGCAAAGGAAATGAGCAGACACTTTTCAAAAGAAGGCATACATACAGCCAGCAGTCATATGAAAAAAAGCTCAACATCACTGATCATTAGAGAAATGAAAACCAAAACCACAAGATACCATCAAACACGAGTCAGAATGGTTATTATTAAAAAGTCAAAAAATAACACAAGCTGGTGAGGTTGTGGAGAAAAAAGAATGGTTATACACTGTTGGTGGGAGTGTAAATTAATTTGTCTGTTGTGGAAGACAATGTGGCGATTCCTCAAAGACCTAAAGACAGAAATACCATTTGACCCAGCAATCTCATCACTGGATATATACCCAAAGAAATATACATCATTCTGTTATAAAGACACTAGCATGTGTAAATTCATTGCAGCACCATTCACAATAGCAAAGACATGGAATCAACTTAAATGCCCATCAACAATAGAATGGATAAAGAAAATGTGGTACATATACACCTGGAATATTATGCAGCCATAAAAGGATGAGTTCATGTCCTTTGCAGGGATATGGATGGAGCTGGAGGTCATTATCCTTAGAAAACTAACACAGGAACAGAAAAACAAATACTTCACGGTCTCACTTATAAGTGGGAGCTAAATGAGAAGAACACATGGACACATAGAAGGAAGCAACACACACTGGTGCCTTTTAGAGGGCGGAGGGCAGGAGGAGGGAGAGGATCAAGAAAAATAACTAATGGGGATTAGGCTTAATATGGGGGAGGCATGAAATAATGTATACAACAAACCCCCATGACACAAGTTTACCTATGTAACAAACCTGCACTTGTACCTCTGAACTTAAAATAAAAGCTTAAAAAAAGAGACATATGCCCTCGAAGTTTTCTTCAACTTTATTCAGAATTTAATACAAAGGCAATGTTTAATCAGAAGACGACTCTTGGCTCCTTTATCTTATCCAAGACTGTATTACTGAAGTGGCAAAAAGCCTAATTGCTGACCAGTTTTACTTCACGAATATAAGGTAATCTTTATTTTAAAGAGCAATGTGTTTAGATTTGGTATTAATTCCATGATAACATTTTACCATGGCTACATAGAGTAAAATAACAATAAGAAAATATTTGGTCACACTCAAGTATATCACTTTCCCAAATATATTTATATGGAAATTTTTAAAATAATTTATAATTTCTTTTTATTCTTGTATAACTGAAAAAAAACAACACAATTTAATAAACTTAAATCATGACTATATTTTCTTAGGGAATGTGATGAAGGAAAAGTAAAAATTGAATTGGAGAGCATTTTAAATATCATAGGAGTTGCAGGCTTCCTTAGCTCACCTTTTAAAACATGTCAGTAATTATAGTTATTGAATCTCCCCAATTCATCGCCTCTGTCCAAAAAAAATCTATTAGGGGAACAGATGAATTTTAGAAAGCAGTTTCACGGCTGCAAACAGAAGCCAAAAATCACAAAACCGAATGAGCTGAAGCAAATTTAGAAAATGGCAGTGGTTGCAGGCATGAGGTCTTTTAGCAATATATGCCTATTAGTGGTGCACCAATCTGCATGCAAGCCCTGGCTCTGGATGAGATGCCAGGGAGGCCTAATTGGGCCACACTTGTCAAATCAGTTATTGAGGATTAGTAGCACGATATCACATATAGGACAACTCTGCAAATAAATGTCCTTTTTTTCTTTAGGTTAAGATATGTTCCCTAACATAATAATAGTTAATAATAGCTAATGTCTTAATATATCCTTAATAAAATTTTAGTTGTATTAAATACAAGGATACAATAATATGATTTTGTTTTTAATTAGAGTGTTCTAAAGATATTCTAACCAAAGATTAGAGGCATAGTAATATACTCATGCAGTACAGTTGAAATCTGTCATTAATCAGGTTTTTTTATGTTTGTCTCCCCTACTTGAATCTTAACTCCTTCGAGGATAAAATTCATCTTTTAGCTCCTACACACTCGAAGAATGCCTGGTAGTGTTTGTTGAAACAAATGGAATTGAATTGAAATGCAAAAACAGCTACTTACTTCTTACAGATTCTGCCCAAACTATAAACCATTTAGAAATATATTAAGAATTAACGGTTTATGAATTTCTGTTTTCTGGCTTGAGTTCTTTGGATGGATTTCAACAAAATCCTCCCTAACTTGTATATAAACTCTTAAAATAAGACCCATGCTTTACGTATAGATAATAATCGGTGTTTTTTGGTTTGTTTTCTGAATTATTTTAAATGTTTCTAATGATAACTAATTTTGACTCTAGAATGTTAGACATTTTTTAGAATATCATTTTCTTACACAAAATGAATAAATACACTCAAAAATGGAGTTTGGGGAATTATTTTTCACAATACATTATAATTTTTCTTTATCTACATTTATTTTTCCAGTATCCTAAATAAAAGTCAAAAAGCATTTATATTTATATGTATTCAAAATAGAGTGGTTGCCATTAGCCAAAAGCAGCTAGTGCATAACCAAAAAAATATTTAAAAGCCTACTTTTAGTTTGCAAATCTTATTTTTATTACCTCTTAATTACTCTCTGATTTCCTATATGCCACTCAAAATCCATTAGAGAAATAATGGCATGAAAGCAAGAGTGTTAGAATTCTCTTAGAAACTAGAGCTTCCAGATAGAAAAATGGTGTGCAGAAGGGAAGAATCAATTCCACTTGATTCTTCAAATGTTTCATAGTTTTCAAAGTTTATTTTCCTCAGAATTGTTGTAGAGTTTAATGGACGGAAGTGAGACAGAAGACATTTTGTCACCGTCTTACTCATTTGTTAAACATTCTTTAAAACCTTTTTTGTGTGAAAGACCAAAATGGGTGTAGGGCATTCGTTAGCCAGGAAACAAACAAACAAACAAACAAAATAAACAAACAAAACCATGGTGTCTGCCTTCAGTATATGCATTTTAGATGGGGAGGGGTTAACTATATAATTAATGAATACAGAATTGCAATTTTGGCTAGTGCTGTGAAGAAATGCCTAGAACAACAGGAGGACTTGAGATATTTAGCTTAAATGACAAATATGAGTAACTTAGGCAAAAAGAACAAGGGTTTCCATTTTGCTTTTTAAAAACATCATCATCACAACACATTCACAAATATTTTCACTAATATGCCATTATGCAGAAGAACATTAATTCATACCCCAGGGACCTGAGGACACAGTCAAAAGCTTTTCACCAAAAGAAAGATCTCAGTGTTTTATTTACTTTCAGACTGGAATCATCTCACCTTTCAGTTTGCCCTGATTGATCTTAGTTTTATTCTTGTTGTTATGGCTTGTTTTAATGGTTTACCAGTTTACTCTCAGCAGTGTGGTAGTTAGGACCATAAATTATACTGTCATTACTTCTTTACATTCATATCTTATCCTAAATATTCATGAAAACATTTCATTTTGCACCAAAGTAAGCCTGAGTTATAGCACATACAGAAAGGTAATAAGGAAGACATTGTTCAAGATGGAATTATTAGTCTTACAGTGGTAGCAATGTGATTGAAAGCAATTTCAATAGATGATTTAAGGACATAATTTTAAACTGATTTTTATAAATACAGATAATACAGCCTCATATTTGGTGACTCCAAGATATAGAAGATGAACACAAACAATTGACCACAATTACAGGAATTTTAGAAATAGAAACAGATAGGATGAGAGAATTACACAGCAACCAAGGACAAGGCAATACTTATTGCTGTTATTAATTTTAAAAATACCATTGTTTTACATTTTTATTAATTTTCCACTTCATTTCACAATCATTAATTTATTCTCTTATTTATTCAGCAAATACATTCTGAGCACCCAATATACACATTAAGCATAATTCTGCTCAATGTGGCCAGGTATGGTGGCTCATGCCTGTAATCCCAGCACTTTGGGAAGCCGAGGTGGGTGGATCACTTGAGGTCAGGAGTTCAAGACCAGCCTGCCAACCTGGTGAAGCCCCATCTCTACTAAAAATACAAAAATTAGCCAAGCATGGTGGCAGACGCCTGTAATCCCAGCTATTATGGAGGCTGAGGCAGGAGAATCACTTGAACCTGGGAGGCAGACGTTGCAATGAGCCGAGATCACACCACTGCACTCCAGCCTGGGCAACAAGAGGGAAACTTGGTTTCAAAAGAATAAAAAATAAAAAAATAAAAAATTCTGCTCAATGGTTTGGGAATATGATGGGGAATAACACAGAAAAAAAAAGAAAAAAGATCTGTCTTCATGGAGCTTAGAAGCTAGTATTTACTCAGTTTTATATTTTAGAATAAGTTATAAAAATAGCTAAAATAAAGTAGTACAGTATGTATGTGAGGGTAAACTCACTGTAAGAACTTGTATAAAGTCAAGGTTAAGGAAAAAGGAGTCAGACAGGCAGTAAATAGTCTTTCTACGATTAGGTCTTAGAGTAGTCTCTGGGCTTTGTAGACAAGAAGGATATAAGGAGACTCCATCAGTAATCAGATTTGGCCCCTAAGGAAAAAAAAAGTCCTCAGAAGGCCCAAGAACTTTGTAGCAACAACTTCTAAATATACATACACACATGAAAGAACTTTAAAAAAAATGATAATGGAAAGTATTCAGTGGTTCCAAAGCCCAGGTCCACAGAGTTACTGCACACAAAAGTAAAGCAGAAAACTTGAAAAAAAAAAAAACCCACACAAATTCTCAGACATTTTAAAAATAGTTCTCAGGTGGTTCTGAAATACAGTTTGCTATGGGAAGCCCTGATACTGGGCAGGATTTTTCAATAAATTGGAGCAGACCTTATATGGTAAAATATGTTTGAAAACAGAAGTTAATTATTAACTGACTAGAAAAATTAAAATATAAGAACTATAGAATATATAAAATAAAATTTAAAAAAATCAATTTATTCAATAAAGCTATCCTAAAGCTTTATACCAACACATGACAAGAAAAGCCCTAAAAAGGACAAATTAACTATTACTTAAGAAATAATAGTTATAGAAAAACATTGCAGAACTGGCTGGGGGAGGTTGTTGGAATCATCCCAGTGTCCTACTTGACCTAACTGGAGCTCACCCAGACAGTTCCCAGAGACTTGGGAGCATTTGTTCATCTTTGGAGTGTGCAGATTCGTTGAATAACAATTATGCTTTTGTGTGGGGCTTAAAACACAAATACAGAAATTTTAGAAAATATCTGACTACATGTAGTCAGGAAGTACTACTCCCACTGAGAGAGACCAGAATCTCAAGTAAACCAACATATTTTAGACAAATCTTTAGAGATAAAAAAACAAAAAACAATAGAGAGGCAACACAGACACTGAGGCTCTGTGGGGTTGCTGAATGCCTAGGCTAACTGCAAGCCCTGAATGGCTCCTAGAGAAAGGGGTGACTGAAGGAATGGTGGGATAGCCTACTCTCACTGTAGACCTCTGAGATCCTAGCTATAAAAGATCCCAAGACCCTCATGGACATTTGAACTGGCGTGGGGCATCTGCCGGGAGAGTAAGCAGAGACAGAGCTCCAGCCTGCATGGACCCCAGGGGATTTTGCATGCAGGGTAGCTGCAGTAGAATAAAGCCAAGAGTACCCATCCCTCAAGCCTCCCCATATTTCTCCAAGTAGCTCTAACCTTTGCTAACTGCTGGGCCAAGAGAAAGCATGGCCAACTTTTCTGCAGGACTGGGGCACATCTGTTCTGCGGTCCTTCCTGTTCACCAGCTCCTCCTAAGGCCCCTAACTTGCTGCTCCTGCAGTTCTATGTGCACACTCCAGCCTGCGTAGCCCAGGCTGAGTTCTGTGCCATTAATCCATCATGATACTTTCCTGGAAGCCTGGAAGCTCTTTGGATCCCCTAGCACAGTTGGCTACTGACCCCAAAATGCTGGAGGAAGAAGCCATGGGCCAGTCCCAACATCACAGGGTTGCAGTGTGTAGCCCAGGAGTACCAAGCCAAAATCTATGGCTGGTGCTCAAGCATTCAGAACACTGAGAGGGGTGAGATGTATGGGTTTGTGGGCCAGCATGGGAGCAGGGTGTGCCTCCCTCCACACGGCCAGTCTGGGAAGGGTGTGGCCCATCTCCCAGCCTCAGCTTCTGCCCAAGGGAGCCCTTCAGTCTGGAACATGTAACAAAAAAAATATGGGCATAGTGCCAGTAATTGGAGGGTCCTCCTCCAGTTACTTGATTAGGGGATCATCTCTCTCCCCACTGCACCACAGAGGACAGTTGTGAATGTGCTGAAATGCAAAAGCCACATGGTTGAGTAAGAGCCTATATAACAGACATTACTCTTAAGCACCTTGTAGCAGACTGCTGCCCAAAATACAAAACCAAAATGATTATGCCAATAAGCAGTGCCTGTGAAAGCCAGGTAAATAATCCAGCCACATATAAAGATCCTGTACAGAGAGCGCCTTGGCCCTCTGAAAGCAATCAGAAATGAAGCCAATTCACTATACTCAACTTACACCGAAGTTAAAGGAACACCAGCCCATTCAGTTGAGAGCAGATCAGTGCAAGACCTCTGACAATTCCAAAAGCAAGAGTATCCCCTTACCTGCAAACAAGCCCATTAGTTTCCCAGCAATGGTTCTTAACCAGTCTGAAATGACTGAAATGACAGACAAAAAATTAAGAATGTAGACGGTAGGGAAACTCATTGGGATTCAGGAGAAAGTTGAAAGCCACTCCATGGAATTCATGGAATCCAGTAGAACGCTTCAAGAGCTAAAAGTCAAAATAGTAATTTTAAGAAAGAATCAAACTGAAATTCTGGAATTTTATCACCAGTAGTAATAAAACATGCAAATTGAAACAATAGTATTGGTTTTGCCTATAAAACATTTTATGGACAAGTAAAGTGAAGTAAGTGAAATATATCTTTCATATGTCACCATTAGGATTAAAAATCAGTATATCATTGTGGAAGTAGGTTTGGTGTCATATATCAAATGTCTGAAATATTTTCATCATTTTTTACCTAATGTTTCCACTTTAATTAATTTGTCCTAATGAAATAATCTGAATCCACAATGCATAAACACAATGAGGCTATTGTAATTGATGACAGTATAAAAAACAAAAATAATCAAAGTTCACAAAAAATAAAATTAAAACATTTGTGGCACATTCGTAGACTGGAATTCTCTAACTTTTATAAACCTTGTTTGCAGGATTATATAATGTCTTAGAAACATAGACTTTTTCATTAAGTGAAAATAAAAATAATTCAAAAGTTACATGAAATTATTATTTGGAGAAAAAGTTCCAAATTTTATTTTCAGTATGGCCATAATTTTGAGGAGAAAATAAACCTATGCTGTCACACCTATTGATTCAATACTTGAAGTAACTGTAAGAGAATTCTAATAGAAGTTTTCTCTGAGAATGGGTATATGAGTAATTTTACATTTTAAAATACTTTTCTCTATTTCTCATATGTTATTATTCTGAACATGTAGTAATTTTATAATATGAATGATTCTGAAAAGGTTTAATAAAATATTCTGTCCTTGAAACAATTAATCTTATAAGAACACCATGTTTATATTATTCAGTTATGCAGACGTAAGTGACATAGAAGAACTCAGAGGATAGGTTTCAAAGTTATTCGCAGAATTTTACGTCATCTATATATGTGATTGTTATCACTGGTTTGTCATTAGATAAAAAGAGGCACCAATGATTTGCCTGTCACACATCTCTATATTTCTTTTCCAGGAACCATGACAGAAAGAGCACTGACAACCAGGATTAGAAATTCACCAGCAAATTTATACCATCTTGTAAATGAGATGTACTTAGTAAATCAATAACCTTCCCCTTTTCCCTACAGCTTAGCCTGCTTTAAAAAAAAAAAGAAAGAAAGAAAAGAAAAAAATTGCCATAAGCACAGGGGTAAACACTGTGTACAAGCATCTTATGGAAACATAATATATATCCTCGTAGAATTCAGATCACAATAAACTTTTAGTATTGCTTTCTCAATTGTGGGTAGGATGTGCTTTATTAAATGGCCACATGAGGCATAACATCATTTGAGAGCAAGATTTCACAATGTTTTCCACAACTAGTCATTTACAAGCCTACTGAAGGAGGAAGGAAATTGGGTAATTGTTTGCATTCTTAAAAGCCATCAACAACAACAACAAAAAAATTCCTCAAGAAGAGGAAACTGCACTTGTGTAGCTGACAATGAACCCAATTCTGTTTTTCATTGTGCAGTTGGTCTTCCTTAAATGGAGAGAAAAGAAATCTTCTCAATGCTTTCTTGAGTTGTCTACAAGCCAGACTTATGTTTAATTCTATAATAGAAAAACACACAGAACTAAGCCTATAATGATAAATCTGCATTTTCCATGTAGTTGCATGTAGTCAACAGTGTGTGTGAAAGCACATCCCAATAGCACATCAGAAATCTATCAATACATTATAAAACTCATGTGTATGCAGAGAAAAGCCTATTGTTTTCCAAAAAATATTGTAAACCCTGTGGAGGATACAGAAGAAACCTAAAGCATGATATCTGCCTTCAGCAAGATTACAATTCACCTGTAATGGTACAAATTTATTGAGTGTTTTCTCTCTTCCTGAAACTGAGCTAAGCACTTTGCAAAAAATTGCCTTACTTAAGCCTTAATAATCCTTGAAATACATACTATTATTCCTATTTTACTATAATAAAAACCAATTCCAAGAGGTTATTTATCTTCCCTACAAAGATATATTAGTAAGTGATAGAGCTGGGATTTGAAACTCTGTTAGATTCCAAAACTTATTATTTTAACTATCATATCCGAGACTTCACCATGAGTTATCTGGATAATGCTGGTCTTCACAAATAGTATAATTTGGCTAAAATAGAAGACATGTGTAAAGAACACATATTGTATTAAATGCTATTTGAAACTATTCTCTTTTCTCTAGTTAAAAACATGGGCTAACTGAATCTCAAATAATAAAAATTGTAATGTATATTAAATTTAGCACATTCCATATATTTGCACGTAAAGTTTTTATTATATGTTCTGACTTGGCATCTAACTACATTTAGACTGCTAAGGTTTTTATTTTTGCTGTAAATCAAGGCATGAATCAAGATTGTTTAAACATCCACCTCTCCCGTCATGCATTATTGCCAACACCAAGGTCAGCCATTGCAGTACCTGTTGAGAGTCTCCAATTTTACACACAAAACGATGGTGAGTATACTTTATTTTATTTTTATTTTTATTTATTTTTCTGTATGCGTTTTTTTTACGTTAAGTTCTAGGGTACATGTGCACAATGCGCAGGTTTGTTACATACGTATACATGTCCCATGTTGGTTTGCTGCACCCATTAATTTGTCATTTACATTAGGTATATCTCCTAATGCTATCCCTCCCATAGCACCCCACCCCACGACAGGCCCCAGTGTGTGATGTTACCTGCCCTGTGTCCAAGTGTTCAATTCCTTCCTATGAGTGAGAACATGCGGTGTTTGGCTTTCTGTCCTTGTGATAGTTTGCTCAGAATGATGGTTTCCAGCTTCTTACATGTCTCTGCAAAGGACATGAACTCATCCTTTTTTATGGCTGCATAGTATTCCATGGTGTATATGTGCCACATTTTCTTAATCCAGTCTATCATTGATGGACATTTGGGTTGGTTCCAAGTCTTTGCTACTGTGAATAGTTCCACAATAAACATACATGTGCATGTGTCTTTATAGCAGCATGATTTGTAATCCTTTGTGTATATACCCAGTAATGGGATCTCTGGGTCAAATGGTATTTCTAGTTCTAGATCCCTGAGGAATCGCCACACTGTCTTCCACAATGGTTGAACTAATTTACAGTCCCACCAACAGTGTAAAAGTGTTCCTATTTCTCCACATCCTCTCCAGCATCTGTTGTTTCCTAACTTTTTAATGATCGCCATTCTAACTGGGGTGAGATAGTATCTCATTGTGGTTTTGATTTGCATTTCTCTGATGACCAGTGATGATGAACATTTTTTCATGTGTCTGTTGGCTGCATAAATGTCTTCTTTTGAAAAGTGTCTGTTCATATCCTTTGCCCACTTTTCGATGGGGTTGTTTGATTTTCTCTTGAAAATTTGTTTAACTTGTTTGTAGATTCTGGATATTAGCCCTTTGTCAGATGGGTAGATTGCAAAATTTTTCTCCCATTCTGTAGGTTGCCTGCTCACTCTGATGGTAGTTTCTTTTGCTGTGCAGAAGCTCTTTAGATTAATTAGATCCCATTTGTCAATTTTGGCTTCTGTTGCCATTGCTTTTGATGTTTTCATCATGAAGTCTTTGTCCATGCCTATGTCCTGAATGGTATTGCCTAGGTTTTCTTCTAGGGTTTTTATGGTTTTAGGTCTAACATTTAAGTCTTTAATCCATCTTGAATTAATTTTTGTATAAGGTGTAAGGAAGGGATCCAGTTTCAGCTCTCTACATATGGCTAGCCAGTTTTCCCAGCACCATTTATTAAATAGGGATCCTTTCCCCATTTCCTGTTTTTGTCAGGTTTGTCAAAGATCAGATGGTTGTAGATGTGTGGTGTTATTTCTGAGGGCTCTGTTCTGTTCCATTGGTCTATATCTCTGTTTTGGTACCAGTACCATGCTATTTTGGTTACTGTAGCCTTGTAGTATAGGTTGAAGTCAGGTAGCGTGATGCCTCCAGCTTTGGTCTTTTTGCTTAGGATTGTCTTGGCAATGCAGGCTCTTTTTTGGTTCCATATGAACTTTAAAGTAGTTTTTTCCAACTCTGTGAAGAAAGTCATTGGCCCTTGATGGGGATGGCATTGACTCCATAAATAACCTTGGGCAGTATGGCCATTTTCAGGATGTTCATTCTTCCTATCCATGAGCATGGACTATTCTTCCATTTGTTTGTGTCCTCTTTTATTTTGTTGAGCAGTGGTTTGAAGTTCTCATTGAAGAGGTCCTTCACATCCCTTGTAAGTTGGATTCCTAGGTATTTTATTCTCTTTGTAGCAATTGTGAATGGGAGTTCACTCATGATTTGGCTCTCTGTTTGTCTGTTATTGGTGTATAGAAATGCTTGTGATTTTTGCACATTGATTTTGTATCCTGAGACTTTGCTGAAGTTGCTTATCAGCTTAAGGAGATTATGGGCTGAGACAATGGGGTTTTCTAAATATACAATCATGTCATCTGCAAACAGGGACAATTTGACTTCCTCTTTTCCTAATTGAATACGCTTTATTTCTTTTTCTTGCCTGATTGCCCTGGCCAGAACTTCCAACACTATGTTGAATAGGAGTGGTGAGAGAGGGCATCCCTGTCTTGTGCCAGTTTTTAAAGGGAATGCTTCCATTTTTTGCCCATTCAGTATGTTATTGGCTGTGGGTTTGTTATAAATAGCCCTTATTATTTTGAGATACGTTTCATCAATACCTAGTTTATTGAGAGTTTTTAGCATGAAGCGGTGTTGAATTTTGTCGAAAGCCTTTTCTGCATCTATTAAGATAATCATGTGGTTTTTGTTGCTGGTTGTTTATGTGATGGATTACATTTATTGATTTGCATATGTTGAACCAGGCTTGCATCCCAGGGATGAAGCCAACTTGATCTTAGTGGATAAGCTTTTTGATGTGCTGCTGGATTTGATTTGCCAGTGTTTTATTGGGGATTTTTACATTGATGTTCATCAGGGATATTGCTCTAAAATTCTTTTTTTGTTGTGTCTCTGCCAGGCTTTGGTATCAGGATGACACCAGCCTCATAAAATGAGTTAGGAGGTATTCCCTCTTTTTCTATTGATTGAATGGTACCAGCTCCTCTTTGCACCTCTGGTAGAATTCGGCTGTGAATCCATCTGTTCCTGGACTTTTTTTTGGTTGGTAGGCTATTAATTACTGCTTCAATTTCAGAGCCTGTTATTTGTCTATTCAGAGATTCCACTTATTCCTGGTTTAGTCTTGGGAGGGTGTATTGTCCAGGAATTCATCCATTTCTTCTAGATTTTCTAGTTTATTTGTATAGAGGTGTTTATAGTATTCTCTGATGGTAGTTTGCATTTCTGTGGGATCAGTGGTGATATCCCCTTTATCGTTTTTTATTGCGTCTATTTTATTCTTCTCTCTTTTCTTCTTTGTTAGTCTTTCTAGCAGTCTATCAATTTTGTTGATCTTTTCAAAAAACCAGTTCCTGGCTTCATTGATTTTTTGAAGGGTTTTTTGTGTCTCTATCTCCTTCTGTTCTGCCCTGATCTTAGTTATTTCTTGCCTTCTGCTAGCTTTTGAGTTTGTTTGTGCTTGCTTCTCTAGTTCTTTGTATTGTGATGTTAGGGTGTCAGTTTTAGATCTTTCCTGTTTTCTCTTGTGAGCATTTAGTGCTATAAATTTCCCTCTACACACTGCTTTAAATGTGTCCCAGAGATTCTGTTACATTGTGTCTTTTTTCTCATTGGTTTGAAAGAACATCTTTATTTTTGACTTCATTTCGTTATCTACCCAGTAGTCATTCAGGAGCAGGTTGTTCAGTTTCCATGTAGTTGAGCCGTTTTGAGTGAGTTTCTTAATCCTGAGTTCTGATTTGATTGCACTGTGGTCTGAAATAGAGTTTGTTGTGATTTATCTTCTTTTACATTTGCTGAGGAGTGCTTTACTTCCACTTATGTGGTCAATTTTGGAATAAGTGCAATGTGGTGCTGAGAAGAATGTATACTCTGTTGATCTGGGGTGGAGAATTCTGTAGATGTCTATTAGGTCAGCTTGGTGCAGAGCTGAGTTCAAGTCCTGGATAGCCTTGTTAACTTTCTGTCTCATTGATCTGTCTAATATTGACAGCGCAGTGTTAAAGTCTCCCATTATTATTGTGTGAGAGTCTAAATCTCTTTGTAGGTCTCTCAGGACTTGCTCTATGAATCTGGGTGCTCCTGTATTGGGTGCATATGTATTTAGGATAGTTAGCTCTTCTTGTTGAACTGATCCCTTCACCATTATGTAATGGCCTTCTTTGTCTCTTTTGATCTTTGTTGGTTTAAAGTCTGTTTTATCAGAGACTAGGATTGCAACCCCTACTTTTTTTTTTGTTTTCCATTTGCTTGGTAGATCTTCCTCCATCCCTTTATTTTGATCCTATGTGTGTCTCTGCACATGAGGTGAGTCCCCTGAATACAGTACACTGATGGGTCTTGACTCTTTATCCAATTTGCCTGTCTGTGTCTTTTAATTGTGGCATTTAGCCCATTTACATTGAAGATTAACATTGTTATGTGTGAATTTGATCCTGTCATTATGATGTTGGTTTCATTCTCCCCATCACTTTCAGGTACACCAATCAAACGTAGATTTGGTCTATTCACATAGTCCCATATTTCTTGTAGGCTTTGTTCATTTCTTTTTGCTCTTTTTTCTCTAATGATATTAGCTGGTTATTTTGCCCATTAATTGATGCAGTTTCTTCATAGCACTGATGGTCTTTACAATTTGGCATGTTTTTGCAGTGGCTGGTACCGGTTGTTCCTTTCCATGTTTAGTGCTTCCTTCAGGAGCTCTTATAAGGGAGGCCTGGTGTTGACATAATCTCTCAGCATTTGCATATCTGTAAAGGATTTTATTTCTCCCTCACTTATGAAGCTTAGTTTGGCTGGATATGAAATTCTGGGTTGAAAATTCTTTTTTTTTAAGATTGTTGAATGTTGGCCCCCACTCTCTTCTGGCTTGTAGAGTTTCTGCTGAGAGATCCGCTGTTAGTCTGATGGGCTTCCCTTTGTGGGTAACCCGACCTTCCTCTCCGGCTGGCCTTAACGTTTTTTCCTTCATTTCTACCTTGGTGAATCTGACAATTATGTGTCTTGGGGTTGCTCTTCTCAAGGAGTATCTCTGTGATGTTCTCTGTATTTCCTGAATTTGAATGTTGGCCTGCCTTGCTAGTTTGGGGAAGTTCTCTTGGATAATATCCTGATGAATGTTTTCCAACTTGGTTTCATTCTCCCTGTCACTTTCAGGTACACCAATCAAACATAGATTTGGTCTATTCACATAGTCCCATATTTCTTGGAGGCTTTGTTCATTTCTTTTTACTCTTTTTTCTCTAAACTTCTCTTCTTGCTTTATTTCATTAATTTGATCTTCAATCACCGATACCCTTTCTTCTACTTGATCGAATCAGCTATTGAAGCTTGTGCATGCATAATGTAGTTCTTGTGCCATGGTTTTTAGTGCCATCAGGTCATTTAAGGTCTTCTCTACGCTGTTTATTCTAGTTAGCCATTCATCTAATCTTTTTTCAAGGTTGTTAGCTTCCTTGCAATGGGTTCAAACATCCTCCTTTAGCTTGGAGAAGTTTGTTATTAGTTACCTTCTGAAGCCTACTTCTGTCAACTCATCAAAGTCATTCTCTGTCCAGCTTTGTTGCTGGTGACCTTGCTGGAGAGGAGCTGTGATCCTTTGGAGGAGAAGAGGTGCTCTGGATTTTAGAATTTTCAGTTTTCTGCTCTGGTTTCTTCCCATCTTTGTGGTTTTATCTACCTTTGGTCTTTGATGTTGGTGATCTACAGATGCAGTTTTGGTGTGGATGTCCTTTTTGTTGATGTTGACGCTATTCTTTTCTGTTTGTTAATTTTCCTTCTAACAGTCAGGTCCCTCAGCTGCAGGTCTGTTGGAGTTTGCTGGAGGTCCACTCCAGATCCTATTTGCCTGGGTATTCCCAGCAGAGGCTGCAGAATAGCAAATATTGCAGAACAGCAAATATTGCTGCCTGATCCTTCCTCTGGAAGCTTTGTCCTGGAGGGGTACCTCCCTGTATGAGGTGTCAGTCTGCCTCTACTGTGAGGTGTCTCCCAATTAAGCTACACGGAGGTCAGGGACCCACTTGAGGAGGCATTCTGTCCATTCTCAGATCTCAAACACCATGCTGGGAGAACCACTGCTCTCTTCAGAGCTGTCAGATAGGGATGTTTAAGTCTGCAGAAGTTTCTGCTGCCTTTCGTTCAGCTATGCCCTGCCCCCAGAGGTAGAGTCTATAGAGTAGGAAGCCTTGTAGCCCTGAGGTGGGCTCTGCCCAGTTCGAGCTTCCTGGTTGCCTTGTTTACCTACTCAAGCCTCAGCAATGGTGGACGCCCCTGCCCCTGTTGGGCTGCTGCCTCTCAGGTCGATCTCAGACTGCTGTGCTAGCAGTGTTATCCATATATTTTAAAGAAATTATTTCAATTCTATGCAAAATTTTATTTAAATTTAAATGTATTCAATTATCAATATGCCCCAAGCAGATGTTCTATTGTCAAATTTATATGACCTGATTTATTTTTAGTGACTTTTGCTGAAAAATAATCTATTAAGACTTATTCATAATGATATTTCACTGTGATTTAAAATATAAATACAAGTAAAATATATATACAAGTAAAAGATAATGACTTTTCACTGTTATTTAACATATATGAATACAAGTTACATATACAAGTAAAATATATTTTTTCTACAATATATTATATATTCCTATTATATATACATGTATATGTGTGTGTGTGCATAAATATATATATGTGTGTGTATATATATATATATATATATATATATATATATATATAACCTGGAGAAGTTTAGGAAAGTTGCAATATAAAATTTTATTGCGACTATTCCAATTTCCTGGTAGTGCTGGTAAGTATCTAGACTATGTCTGGCAGTTATCCACCAAGAATAATACTGAGTACTTGAAACTGTATAGCCCACCGTGCAAGTCTACTGCATTGTGATAAAATACCAAACATTGACTAAACCATGTCAAACTTAGTGTGCTAAGTCCAAATTAAGAGGACCATACTGGTTCCAGATATTTGGAGCTTATGTTGTTCATTTTTCTCCAAGTTGAATAATGTAAACTGTTCTCAGTTGTGCGCAAAAGGAGAGATGTAAGTATTGATGCCAGTTTAAGTAGAACTGAGAATCAAATTCTGGGGTTAATAGAGAGAAACATGAATTCTTTCTGCAAAGAACTGATTGATATGGCTCAGTCAACTGATTATAAATTTCAATGTGACCTGGGAATTATTTAGAAGTTTCCCAATATTGTAGTTTGGAAGGAGGTAGGGAGTTCATCCTGATCAGGCAAAAGTGTCAGATGCATTCAACAATGATCAAAGATTTACTATGAAGATATAATCACAACTCTCTTTAAGAAAAAATAAATATGAAAACACAAGTTAGTATTCATTTCGGTAATGCAAAGGGCTCTCTTCATTTACTTACATAGACTTTGCAAAAAAATTATTTAAAATTTATATGTGTGGCAAGTATAATAATTTCCAGTCAGCATACTCGATTGTTCAATACAAGCACTACAAAAATCTGCTCAACAACATAAACACATTGCCTCAGAGCCATCTTACGAATTAAATAGTTTGTTTCCCGGAGAGAGAAAAGTATAGAACAAAATTAATAGTATAGCTACTGTGTCTCAATGGGGAACTACCCTCAAGCCTGAATCATTGCAGAAGAAGTGAACAGAGCTGATTTTAGTGAGCAGGAGAGTGAAAAATGCCTGTGAACTCAAAAGAGAGGCGTAGGAGAGTTGAGATTTGGTACCATGTTGTTAATTAGCTAACTTAACAGAAATGAAAGTCATGTAAATGCTAATTAAGCGAAATTGATGTGAATGATCTCCGTCTTCATTTTTGAACACTGCCAAAGCAATCTCTGAGCTCAGGAATCCAGCTCTAGAGAACACATTTCCATGGGCTGGATGCTGATAAGAGGCATTGATTTCAACTGTTCTTAAAAGCATGCTTTTCATCCTCCGGTGGTTTGCCAAGCCCAGCCATCCAATGCCAGTCTTGTCTTGAGAGAAACCTGCTTTTTGTGAGATTGTCAGACATATTAAAAGTGGGAAAAAATTGATAATGCTCTCATTTCATTATCTAATTATAGTGCCCCCTGGCCTTAGTCAGCTGCATTGCTGACTTACAAAGTACGATGAGCTTACCATTCTACCCAGAGCTGAAAAATACAAAGTGTGGGACTTTTGTGTCTCATGTTAAAAATTTATGACTTTTTCATATTGCTTCTCATTGAATTAAGGCTGCATTTTATCACTTCACCTTGCACATATTAAATGCATATACGAGTGTTTATAATCCAAGGAATCTAAGAAAATGTGAAAACATTCCATCTTGTTTTGGTGTGCTCACTTTCAGCAAATTTAATTGTATGTAAATCACAGAAATGAACAGAAGAATTGGTGATTGTAGCCTAAAGTCTGTGACAATTTGTGTATTTCATCCTTGCACAGGTAACAGAGTAGAAACCAGGAAAGTTCTAAGGAAGTTTAGAGGAACTATTTGAATAAATTAAAATAACAACAGTGACCATTGAGTGCTCTCTTTATGCTAGTGACTACACTAAACACATATATTATCAGTTTCATAACAATTCTCTATTAAATTATAACCCCTGGCCATGTACAGTGGCTCCTGCCTGTGATCCCAGTATTTTGGAAGGCCGAGGCAGGCAGATCACTTTAGGTCAGGAGTTTGTGACCATCCTGGCCAACATGGCAAAATCCCATCTCTACTAAAAATACAGAAAAATAGGTGGGCATGGTGGTGCGTGTCTGTAATCCTACTTGGAAGGCTGAGGGAGGATAATTGCTTGAACCCAAGAGGTGGAGGTTGCAGTGAGCTGAGATTGCACCACTGCACTCCAGCCTGGGCGACAGAGAAAGACTCTGTCTCAAAAAAAGAAAAAAAATATATAACTCCAATTTCGTAGTAAATTAAACTGAAACACAGAGAATTTAAGTAACTGCCTATGATCACAGAATTAGCAAGAGGAATAAAAGGGCTTCAAACGCAAGCCTCTCTCTAAAGCCCATGCTGACAATCTGAAAAACATAAACTGCAAAATATAAGAAGTCTTGTCTCCACTGACATTCTTCCTAAAAAAAATCTCATTTGGGGAATTTCCTGATCATACCTCTTAAGCAAAGCTCATACTATTGACATTGAACACTAGTACAAAGTACTTGATATTCCAGATATTGCTGTTTCTTTTTACAGAATTTTAACTAGTGTATATTATTAATATTTGATACTTACATTCTCAATACAGGCAACTAGATGAAATACTAGGGAGGTCAAAACCTCTTTTATATATTTTTAACTTCAAGAGTTTGAGAATTTATTCTCTATTTTATTAGTTGTAACAATTTTATGCCTTCATTGTCAAGTTGAATAATTAATTGTTCAAAAAAACCCTCCTGGAAGACAAGAATTTATACAGTTTTTCAATTCAGTCTAAGATATGTCTAACCATGGCATAATTGGCCATGTCTGATAGATTGATTGGTAAGGACAAGACGTAAGTGTTTTTTGCATGAGGTGCAAAGAACCCTTCAGAGAAAAAAATTACCCTTAGAGGACACCACATAATTCTGCACAAGGAGAAAGCTTCTCTGGAACTGTGAAAGGAATGGACCACTGAAAGTATAGTCAGATGTGTGACACTCAAATTTGCCCTCTGACTCATTTGTTTTGGGGACTAGGATTGAGTCCCAGAGATAGTTGGGCTGAAGTATAAAGCCTGGTAAAATATATTCCCTAAGAGCTCAATAGCATACTGAGTATACAAGATATCATACACAATGAAAAGAATATAATATGCTTACAAACACAGCATTAGTGTGCTGACTGCTCCAGATGATCTCTGGGTGTAAATGGGTGCTTTGACATATTGAGGGACCATACTTATACTGCCAGCAACAAGATCCAGTACCTTGGTGTGAGGACCCATCCTGCACCCATGTAGGGGAACTCAAGAGTAGTGGTGCCCAGTGCCTGTTATTTGGTAGCAGCAGAAATTCATGTCAGTGGCAGCACTGGTACAAAAACTACTTTGGAGTTTCACAGGACCCCTTGGCCCAAAAAGCAGATCCTTTACACAGGACACTCAACTATTGCACTGATGATACAGCTTCTTGAATATGTTAGTGGGTTTTATTAAATGGAGTGACAGCAGGAGAGTGGGGAGAGGAAATGGGCAGGCACTAATGTAGGTATTGAAATCTACTTCTCATTCATCTGGTGGCAGACTATCAACCAGGGTCTTCCTTTGAAGCTAGGAGATGTTTTGAACAGGAAAACATTTCTGACAAAAGTGAGTAGTTGTAAGACAAGGGAAGAGAGCTTTTTTTTTTTATTCAAATCATGAAAACTATAACACCCTTGCTAGGAGAATACCAAAACTATTTATTGAGTTCACTTTTGCAAATGAAAGATTATTTATCTTGGATTCATAATGATGTATTGCAAAACCTAGGCTGATATACATTTAGTATTTGTGAAATAAACATTATATAGTTGGTAAATAAACACTGTTTTGTCTCCTTTTCCACTTATGTGCCTTATTCATAGTCATCTTATTAATTATATGTCTTCAATTTCATTGCCTAGAATATCTAGCAAGAGGCCAGTGAGGCCTAAGGTGCAAATTTTAAAGGGTCACTCACTTTCAGAGTCGTACAAAAGTTGACCTGGTCTTTAATGGCCTCACCCTAGTTCCAGCTCTGGAAGACATCTGTGTCATATTCTGATTTAACTGAAATGCTTTTGAAATTTTTCCATTAAGTATAAAATTTGGTATAGGTTTTTGAAAGGTACTCATTATTTGATTAAAAAAAGACCTTTGCATTTTTAGTTTGCTATTATTTTTAAAAATTGATATTGAATTTAAACAATTTTGTATTAATTGAAATTCTCGAGTGTTTTTATAATCCATTATTCAGTTAGTACAGTATGTTTCATTAATACATATCTATGATGTTGATTCATTGTTATGTTCCTGAGCTAACCTTGTTTTTTGTAAAACCCAAATCAAATGCCACTTTTGATCAATCATCCAAAGGCAATGTATTTCTCTCCCCTCTAAATTGTTACAGAACTATATTTACCCTTTACTTTAGCATATTCTACCTTGTATTGTATCTGGATATGAACATGTTATCTCTCCTACTTCATTTTTCCTCATACTGCAAAGAATAATGGATTAGAAGCCAGAGAAATTGAAATAAATCCAGGTCTGCCACTTTATTATTTATAAAGCTTAATTTCTCTTTATGTAAAGTAGAGATAATAATTCATGGATTGCCTGCCTTATAGAGGTTTCCTAAGTACTTAAGTGAGATAGGTTGATCACAGTATTTGAAAATGTAGAAAGCTTCATACATATTACTTTTATTATTAATCATTAAGCTTCAAAACCTGCAAAAATTTTGCTCATTGTTAGCTACGCTTAAAAGTAAAAATGACCTTGAAGAGGTCTTCACATTTCTATTTTAATGTCATATCTATCCCTGGAATGAATATGTAATAGCAAAAATTATATTGAAAATTATCAGTGATTTTTTTCATGTCCTGTTGGTCAGATTTCCTTGTGGCTCACCATACGATCTGTGAATGGCAGCCATATCTTCCAAGAGATGGCAGGTACAATTGGAGCAAAGTGATCACTGATCAGCGTTAATCTTAAAGATTAGTTTTGGAGATCCTGTGAAAAAATGATCTTGAATGAAAGAATCTGTGAAATGGGGGTTTTAAAACTATGTATACTTCCTTCTACATTGCCAAAATAAAGCTGAGCATCAGTACATCCAACCTTGTAATAAGAGTGGGCATAAAAAACAGTATATTCTGTGGGGTAAGTAAAACAGAGCTATATTACTTCCGTGAGAAGAGAGAGAAGAACCGATGAATCCGTTAGCCATTGCTATGTAACAGACAATACCAAAACTTAGTGGTTACCAATGATTATTTCCTGTGTCTCTGCCGGTTATGTATTGCATTATGCATTATGCTGTTGTTCTCCACATGGTTTCTCATCTTTAGCATTTTATCTCAGACATGCTTTACAGAGGACCAAATAGACAGAACTAAACTATAAAGTGGAACTAGAAGGGAATTTTCACAGTGTTACTTTTGCTGCCTCATTTTATTGGTCAAAGCAAATCACTAGGCCAGCCCAAGTTGAAGTAGTGGGAAAATAGATGCCATCTCTTGATAGGCAGAATTGCAAATTCACATTGAGAAGGATGTAAATACATGGAAGGATGAAGAGTTGGGGAAATTTTTATAATCTCCACACCTGTCAATGGCAAAATTCTATAATGGAATGGTAACCGAAAAGTAAAAATCAAGAGGGCTTGGCCTTACTCTTACTGGTAATGTGGAAGGTGACAGCCACAAAAGTCCAATGACCAGTAGGAAGTTGTAACAGGAACCTTGATTAGAATATTCATCTCTCATTGCTCCCATGTGTAGTGAAGTAGATCTGATTAGAAGTTTCTGCATGCCCTGGGAGAGACAAGATAGTGATAATCTTGATCATTCTTGAGAACTGAGATATGCTATGCAATCACACAGCAAGAAGCTATCTGCAAAAGCTGGGCTAAAAACCCAAACAAGAATTATATAATGTTGCTAACTCATACAGAGGTCTGCAGCGTTGATAAGAGATTCAGAAAGAATTATCAGGCACTGGCTGTATGAAGAAACAATGTACTTGATCTCTAGCTCATGGATCAGACCAGCTAAAACACTGAAGTAGAGACTAACAAAGACCATAAAGATAACACACAGACTTAATTGATTTACCTGCCCCTCTTCCACACATGTATAACAAATCAAGTACACCACCCTGTATTTGTTCGGGAGGAGAAAGATTTCTATCTTGGAGAAGTGTTGGGGGTGAGAGCAGAACACTGAAGACTGAACGTTTACTCTAGAGACAAATTTTATCTGAAAAAGAGATGTGTATTTCAGAAAGCATTGTGATAATACTATTTGACAAGGTTTTTGTTGTTAAGTTCAAATTTCAATATGAAATACATAAAAAGTCAGATTTTCTTTGCATATCAGAGAAGCAGTAAGGTACACGTCCAGATTTTGTGGAGGCTCTGTTAAAAATAAATACAACAAAATGTATTACTTTTACAAATTGTACACAAACATACAATCATGTGACTCCTTGCAAGTGCTCCTTGTAAGTTCTTAGAAGAAGGTATCTATCCAAGTGTTGTGCCTGCAACTTAAGCATCATTAGCTCCACAGTAAATCTGTCTTGGTAACAGCAAATGAAATATGAGTTTTTAAAAATATATTGTATTATCATTATTCCTCTCTCTTCTTTCTACAGGAACGATTCTATAATGAATAGGTTAAGTAATACTTGCATCTATTAGGTATCAAAACAAAGGTATTAAGGTATTCAGAATAGAACATACTATTGCAGGGAAATTCATTCTCCTCTAAGTTTGAATGAAAAGTATCACTTTAAATAGATCTTGATTGGAAATTACCTTAAACATGTCTTCAAAAGCCTTGAAGACTAAAGTGTCATATGCTAGCAGCAATGCCATATGAACAGGGTGGCTACAAGTCCCAGAATAAAGAAAGCCAAAATATCCTAGGCTTCACAGAGGTTGTGGAAAGAGGGGGCACCATGGCCCAGTCTTCACATAGTTAACTCTCTATGCTTCTCAGATGTAAACATCATTTCAGCTTCATAAGAGGGTCTCTGATACGCATTACATATTTCTCCTCACCTCTCATATAATTGCCCTTCAATTATCTGAATGTAGTAGAATATTGAAGTTAATGTTCTGCTTCAGTAAGCCCACATCTCAGTCTCTTTTCCTCAAATTCTGTTTAATCTTTCATGGTCCTAGTAGCTAAATTGTGTTCACAACAACCTTTGTTTGTGGGTAGTAGTTAATGTTACACTGAATGTTCTTGCCCAGTTCCAGTCTTTAGCCAGGACCATGGAATGGGATCATCTCCCAACAGACTGCCTTCATCATTCCCATGGAAGGATTACATTGTCTTAGTCCATCTATGCTGAAACTGCTGTTTTATGATTTCTGTCAGTTGTGACATCATAATTAATATACAATGCTGTATTTTATTACCTGAGTAATTTTATTTTCCCATTTATATGTAATACAAGAGTTAACCCAATTAAACTTCGTTCTACACATTTTTCAATATTTTATAACATTTCAAGATTTTAATGTAATTTGTTATTATTTTATATACAAATGATTATATGAAACATTCCCATTTAAAATTCAGGCTTGTCATTGTCCTTATTTAGATTTAATTAGTTTTTTAGAATCACATTTTATGACTATGCATACTAAAAATTACAAGTTTTCATATTCTCCTGTTAACTGACTAAACAACTTGTCCTATATATTCCTTTTTTTTTTGCCTCATACTTCACTGAACTGTGAAAACCTACTCAACTATTTGAAATGGATTTTGCAATATTACTGATATAATCTGAGATTCCAATCTGCCTTCTCACCATGAGCTCACTCTAAAAGTTTCAGAGAGATAAGAAGATAGATAGCTATGGAGGATTTATGACTTATTTTATACTACTTCTTAAAAATTGCAATATAAGGCAATCCGCTCATACAATTTTGACATTCTTCTTATATAGTCAAGACTATATTTAGGAAAACATAGAGAAGTTGAATCTATCTAATTTTCAAGTCCTGACTAGCATTTTCTTCTTAACAATGGCTAAGCTACTATGAATACAAGTACTTCCACTGCAGTAAGAAATTCTATAAAATAGATATCCTCACAAGCCCCTGTTTAGATAGCATTTAGTTATTTTAATGATGATGGTGTACTTTTAGGAAGTACTATAACCATCATGTTAGAGATTCTTGCAACAAAAATGGCTCACATCATTTTAGAGGGATCAAGCAGGTGGACTTGGGCCCACCTTCTAGAAATGTGAAGTGTGTCTGCCCAGTAAACAATTATTAACTCCTCCATTTAAATATTTACCAGACAACATGAATGAAAGGAAAACATTTTGTAAAGGAAATGAAAACCAATGTATGTTAGATATTATAACAGAAGGAAATTGTCAGGGGGTATATAAAAAGTCAAGCTTGGGGGTATAGATTTAAATTTTAAGTATCTCTAACTCACACTTTGTGTGAGCCAGTCAAGCCACTTTTTCTCTTTAGGACTTAGGCTCCTTGTATGTGGTATTCTGTGATTAGGCTCAATTAACACTTTACAAAATGTATTCCATAATCCCTACAGACATAAAATGATCTATGAAAAAAAGGAAAGAAAAGCAAGCAAATAAGAAAGAAATATAATATAGAAGGAAAGGAAAGGAGAGGAGAAGAGAGGAGAGGGCAGAGGAAGGGAGGGGCGGGGAGGGGAGGGGGGAGAAAAGGAATGAAAGGAAAGGAAGAGAAAAGGAATGAAAGGAAAGGAAAAAAAGCAAAAAAAGGAGAGAGCTGAAAGAAATTTAGAGGGAGTACACGCTAAATCAATAGATTAACAGTGCATATTTAATGAGACTGAGTAACTTGGCAGTAAGAAAATGTCTTACATTGTTTTGAAAAATTATTTTCTCACCCATTTAATCAGAAAATCCCTTCACACACTCTTTTTATGTAATTATATTAATGTACCAAAAAAACACTATTCCAAACAACATATCTCGGGAGATGCTTATATATAAAAGTTCCTCTAGCTTTAATAGGTAATATGTTTATCTGCAAGTGCTGCTCTTCAAAATTTTATTTTCTGATCTTAAAGCTTCTACATAAAAAATTTCCACCTCTCTGATACTCCACTCTCCTGTTTTGCCTGCACAAATGTGGTCACTGCCTTGGAGTTACTCCAGCTCTTCAGAGGGATGAACCACACACATGGATCATCTGACTGGCCCCTGCTCTGGTCATCTTCTTGAAATGTGTTCCCTGTCCTCTGCTAAGGACCCGCATGTCCCAGTCTAACACATTCTCCAGAGTTCACAGCAGTCTACAACTCTACTCAGGTTCGGGTTAGAGGCATAGAAACTAGGAAGCACAGCTCCCCCGCCCCACCTCCACCACCATATCTAACCAGACCTGAATTTGAGGTCTGCAAGAGAAAGAGCATTCCATTTTAAGAGGACGTAAAAATCTAGCTCTTTTGTAATCTTCCACAAATTCATAGATGCTTAAGCTGCAAACAAACAAAATAGCATCAAGAGGAACAACCACAACCAAAAATGTAAACCATAATTAGTATCCTTATACACTGCAATAGCTACAAAAAGATCTATTAAAACAGGCTGAAAAAAAATGTTTTTTCTCTTATATGAAGCTTTTATTCTGCCGCAGGCTGAATAGAACTCATGATGACTGACTTTAGCGTCTCACCTAGTCCTACTGCTTTCCCAACTGTCCTGGAATCCCTTCCCACTCACCTTTACTCCTCAAGGAAACACATTTTACTGTATATTATCTATAGTAAACATATTATTTTGTGTAGAGCTAATACTTACTGAAAGTCTAAACTCCTTATTCAATAAAATTTAATCTAAGAAAAATATTCCATTAGTTGAACATTTTCCATTTTTTAAGTAACCTAGTACAAACTAGGTTAAACAATAAAGGAAATATATTAACTCAAGTAGCTGAAACGTTTAAGGAAAGAACACTAATTTGGAAGTTCAACAAAGTTTTAAAACACTAGTTTCTTTCCATTATTTTCTTTTTACATTGGGTGGTATATGTTAGATCATAAAAACAACTTTCTTCATGGTAAATGATTGGCTATTCAGGGACCACACACTTTATTATTTATATTGAGAGGTGACAGAGCGCTGGCAGTCCTCAGAGCCCTCGCTTGCTCTCGGCACCTCCTCTGCCTGGACTCCCACTTTGGCGGCACTTGAGGAGCCCTTCAGCCCACCACTGCACTGTGGGAGCCCCTTTCTGGGCTGGCCAAGGCTGGACCCCACTCTCTCAGCTTGCAGGGAGGTGTGGAGGGAGAGGCGCGAGCGGGAACTGGGGCTGCGTGTGGCGCTTGCGGGCCAGCTGGAGTTCCGGGTGGGCGTGGGCTTGGCGGGCCCGCACTCGGAGCAGCTGGCTGGCCCTGCCGGCCCCGGGCAATGAGGGACTTAGCACCCGGACAGCAGCTGTGGAGGGTGTACTGGGTCCCCCAGCAGTGCCAGCCCACCGGCGCTGCACTCGATTTCTTACCGGGCCTTAGCTGCCTTCCTGCGGGGCAGGGCACGGGACCTGCAGCCCGCCATGCCTGAGCCTCCCACCCACTCCGTGGGTTCCTGTGCAGCCCCAGCCTCCCCGACGAGCGCCGGTCCCTGCTCCAGGGCACCCAGTCCCATCGACCACCCAAGGGCTGAGGATTGCGGGTGCACGGCACCAGGACTGGCAGGCAGCTCCACCTGCAGCCCCCGTGCGGGATCCACTGGGTGAAGCCAGCTGGACTCCTGAGTCTGGTGGGGCCTTGGAGGAACTTTATGTTTAGCTCAGGGATTGTAAATACACCAATCGGCACTCTGTATCTAGCTCAAGGTTTGTAAACACACCAATCAGCACCCTGTGTCTAGCTCAGGGTTTGTGAGTGCACCAATGGACACTCTGTATCTAGCTGCTCTGGTGGGGCCTTGGAGAACCCTTATGTCTAGCTCAGGGATTGTAAATACACCAATCGGCACTCTATATCTAGCTCAAGGTTTGTAAATACACCAATCAGCACCCTGTGTTCAGCTCAAGGTTTGTGAGTGCACCAATCGGCACTCTGTATCTAACTGCTCTGGTGGGGCCTTGGAGAACCTGTGTGTCCAAACTCTGTATCTAACTAATCTGATGGGGACGTGGAGAACCTTTGTATCTAGCTCAGGGATTGTAAAGGGCACCAATCAATGCCCTGTCAAAACAGGCCACTCGGCTCCACCAATCAGCAGGATGTGGGTGGGGCCAGATAAGAGAATAAAAGCAGGCTGCGGGAGCCAGTATTGGCAACCGGCTGGGGTCCCCTTCCACACTGTGGAAGGTTTGTTCTTTCGCTCTTTGCAATAAATCTTGCTACTGCTCACTCTTTGGGTCCACGCTGCTTTTATGAGCTGTAACACTCACCGCAAAGATCTGCAGCTTCACTCCTGAGCTCAGTGAGACCACGAGCCCACCGGGAGGAATGAACAACTCCAGAGGCTCTGCCTTAAGAGCTGTAACACTCACCGCGAAGGTCTGCAGATTCACTCCTGAGCCAGCGAGACCACAAACCCACCAGAAGGAAGAAATTCCGAACACATCTGAACATCAGAAGGAACAAACTCCAGACGCGCCACATGAAGGGCTGTAACACTCACCGCGAGGGTCGGTGGCTTCATTCTTGAAGTCAGTGAGACCAAGAACCCACCAATTCCGGACACAATATCAAGCAGGAAGAGTTAGGGCCTCACCTTTCCTGAAGGTCACACAGCAGTCTTAGGCTTTATTCTGACTGATTTAATTAGCTCATCTCTCATACATGAAGAGTAAAATAATAAATGTCTCAAGTCTTAGATTATCGATTACTATTAAAAAGGAACTGGACTGAATGGTTTGGAATAGGCCTACCTTTGGAGAGGAGGGTGGAATCAATTCCTTTCAGATCACATGGTTGGCTTCTGTAGAGATGGAAAAGAAGAGTAGAAGCTTGAGAAGCACCCACAATATGAATAACAGAGTGAGTCCCACAATATCAATACACACACACACACACACACACACACACACTTGAAAGTCCAGATTTCATAAAATAGATAATAAATAAATTTGAGAAAATTATAAACATTTCAATGGACAGGTCAAATATCAAAATGTCTACCAGACAGTGAGTTTCTTTCTGCGGTTTCCTGTCCCACATTCAGAATGTGCTGAAAGTACAACCCTTAGTTATTTTTTTATACCATGTAACATGACCTCTGCAGTTGATGGATCTTAGGGTGGGACTCACCCTAAAGCAGCAAATCGATAGTCTATAAAAGACTTAGAGAGCCAATTAGACTCTAATCTTCATTTAGTGTTGAGATACAGACAGTTAGCTGTTGGAGCTGAGGCAGGAAGAATGTGCCAGTCTCACAGGAAGCCAAGGTTATGAGGAATAAGAAGTTGGGAGACAGATAATTCATACAGATTAGAAAGGGAAGAATTCCATTCTTTGTGAAAGTAGATAAGAAAGTACAAGAAGAAACATAGGAAATAAAAAAAAAGAAAGGCATATGAAAAAGAAAAAGAAAGAAAGGTACATAACAAGAAGCCAAGTCTGGAATGCCTCCATTCCTAAAGGCTTCCATTCCAGGTTCTGTGACAGCAATTCTACTTCTCATTCGATATCCCTGCTGTTAGTGTTGCTCTCCGTATATTTCTTCATAACTATATACCCCCTTACATGTGGTATTGTCACTGAGTTTCTGTTCCATTTAAATGAAAGAACCAAACTGAAGAATATATTACAAAAGGATTATTTACTTGACTAAATAATTCACTCTGGATCTGATTTGAAAATAGTCTGCCCTTATGATATATTAAGATTTTACCTTAAAACTGTACTTGACATGCAATTTCTTAAAATTAAAATAAACCTTTTTAAAATGTGTTCTTTTAGTTTGCCTTCCAGAAATCTGAAGAATAAAAAAATGCATTCTCCAAAAATGTACTAGTGTCTCGCTAACACAAGCTGGACAAAACAGCCCTGGGCTGACAATACTTTTGAGCTGGGGAAATGTGGCCCTTAAATGGATGCTGTTTTTCTCACTGGTTAAGTCAGGGAAAGTTGAAATGACTATTTACTACATGTTAAACAGGACTGTTAATTGGCTTACTAATTTATTAGTAAATAAATGTGCACTCTATTTCTAATTTACAAAATATTTTTAAAGGCCTTTAGATGAAAACTATTAAACACTTCAAAATCACTGTTATTAAATAAAAGAATTTGATCCAGTTTTTAAATTTTGGTATTAGTTTGATTTATGAAGTCACAATTATATTCTGGACATGAATTATACTATCCTCCAGTACTTTTCTTTCTTTTCTGGAAATAAAGTGTACATTTAGTAAGGTCACATATCTCACCAACAGGGCAGAGCTGCTGACACACTGATCAGAACCAGCATGGAAATTTGCCTAGAAGCAGGGGTTCTGTTCTCCTAATTGACCTGCCAGTTTGAAATCTTTTCTTGACAAATGTGATTTCCTACAGAGTTGAAAATATTGTCCATCTTGCACTCAGATAGCAATTTAGTCTGAGACAACATCATGTTCAAAATAAAGCTCCTTCGTGAGAGAAAAAATATGGATTTTTAATGAAACAAAAATAATAACAGTAGAATTCAATACATATTGACATATCACTGAGCTATTATTTCTAAGGACATTTAAGTAGCTGCCTAATTAAAGTGTAAATTTACTTGGAGCGTAAATTTTTATTTCTATAAGAAACATTAATAATTGATCAATTAGTATGATAAATTAATCTGTAAGATGTTTCAATGTAGTAAAGATAGACTTACTACTTTGCTTCTCAGTGCACTTCTTTAGTCTGGACCTCTAAAACACCATGAGAAGTTTCAAAACTGTCTTCATGATATACCTAACTCCCATACTCGTAGCTACTATGGCAGATATAGTTGATTGGTGACTGGCTGTTTGGTACTACTCTCTACCCTAAAGCTAGCTCTGTGTGCAACTTCAACAGAAACACTTGGAGTGTACAGGAGTAACTTTCATGCCCTTCAAGTTATGCTCTCATTAAAAAATTTGGCATGGCACAGTGGCCCATGACTGTAATCCTAGCATTTTGGGAGGCTGAGGCAGGAGGATTGCTTGAGGCCAGGAGTTCAAGACCAGCCTGGGCAACAAAGAACAACCCCATCTCTACAAAAAAATGAAATAAATAAATAAATAAATAAATAAATAAATAAATAAATAGTCATAGTAGTGTGTGCCTGTAGTCTCTGTTACTTGGGAGGCTGAGGCAGGAGGATCACTTGAGCCTAGGAGTTCGAGGCTTCAGTGAGCCATAATTGCGCCACTGAACTTTAGCCTAAACAACAAATATATACACACACACACACACACACACACACACACACATATATACATATACAACAAATATATATATATTTGAATCTGTTATTCATATATATGTGTGTGTATGTATGTATACATACATACACACATTAATATCTCAGGTCCACAATCTATGTTGACTATGCACTACTGTGTTATATATTCCTGAATGAATAAAATCTGTAAAACCCAGAATGACATCAGCAAGATGACCAGCTAGAGTTAGCTGGTGCTTGTTTCCATTAGAATATGGAACCAAAACAACAAATAAACAACTGTATTTCAACTAGATTGACCAAAGAAATAAGATGAAGGGCACCACGGTAGTGGCAAAATCCTTGTGGAGCATAGCAGCCCAGTATAGCACCATAGAGAAGGGAATGAGTCATCCTGCCTCTGCTATATTGTCTATCCTACTGGATGGGCTCAAAGTTGGGGGAGGAGTTGTGGTTCTTGTGGGAAAAAGGTAAAGTGAATATTTCCAGTAGCCCCTATTGCTGACAGAAACACTAGCAATCCCTCCTAAAGGAGCAACTCCATGTCTTTACAGTCCCACATTCAGTTTGGAGAGTAGACAGATGTTCACACAGCTGTATTGTCTCAGAGTAGAAGCCCACATTGAGTATCCTATACCATCATGACATAAGCTGCTATGACTCAGTGCCATCTTGAAAGTGGACCCACTACTACAGTGCACCATTCCCCAGGGTCCAGTAGCACCTGACTATCCATCCCTGATGCCCCACTGTCATTCTACCATGTTCACACAGATGACTATAGCATCATGACCCTCACTGTCCAGAGCCTAGGCCACATGGAACAACTGAGACCCTGGCATGTGACCCATGTGGCACATCACCCACCGGGGAACAATTAAACCTGCACAGTGGAAAAGTCATTGAATAGCTGGCTGGCCACCTTGCCTTCACATACCCATGCGACACTGTTTGCCAATTCTCTCACCCACACTGACCACAGTGGCCTTATAGCCAGTCCTGTGGTGGCCCTACTGCCCAGACAGACCACTATTGAGCCACCTGGCCTCACTGCATATGCAAGCATCTGTACCAAACTTGACAGCTGGTCTGGCAGCAGGCCCACTCCCCCCGGACAATCTGCCACAGGGCCACCTGGCCCTGTTGTAACCACATTCACCCATGCAAGGCCCAAAAGCTGGTCTGATGGTGGCCACTATCTCCCTGGAGAGCATGCCAGTCAGACTGTAAGGCTTCTGCACCCACATGTTCCCCGCCTGACAACCAACTGGTGTCTGCCCTGCCCTTCCTACCCACACCCCCACTTCCATGACAGAAAAACTGCACACTTTGATTAAAAACTCCCACAGCCTAGGCTACTGAGGGAATTGTAGACATTGCTAACAAGGATTATAGCTGAAAAAATTGCACAGAGACCATGCTAGTGAGCCTAGAAGCAAAGCCAATGCACCATACACAACCAACACCCTAGGACCCATCTACAGAAAAAAAAATGTCTCCAACAAAAGCCATTTAATAAAATTGGAAAAGGCAAGGATTGCACAAGATGCACAGATATCAGTGTAGAAATGCAAAAATCATGAAAAAACAAGGAAACATGACACTACCCTCTCCCAAAGAACACAATAAGTCTCCAGAAACAGACCAGAAATAAAATAATTTTATGAAATGTCTGAAAAGGAATTCAAAATAATGATTATAAGGAAACTCAGAGAATAAAAGGAAACTCAGACAAACAAGTCACTAAAATCAGAACAACAATCCATTATCAGAATGAGGAATTCAACAAAGATGTCATAAAAAGAGACAGAAATATTGAAAGTGAAGAATTCAATGTGTGAAATAAAAACTATATTTGACAGCCTCAACAATTTACTAGTTCAAGCAGAAGAAATAGTTTTGAACTTAAAATGAGGCTTTAAAAATAATCCTGTTACAGGGAAAAAATGGAAATAAGAGTATAAAACAATGAACAAAGCCGACAGGACTTATGGGACATCATTAACTGAGCAAATTTTCACATTACAGGAGAATGAAAGGAAGAATACATGAAAGAAGGCACATAACACCTATTTAACAAAACAAAAGCTGAAACAGCTCAAGTATTGGCAAATAGATACACATCCACATTGACAAAGCTCACAGATTCTCAATTTGATTCAACCATAAAACATTATCAAATTATAATAAAACAGTCCAAGACAAAGATAAAGAGGTAATTTTAAAAACTTCAAGAGAAAATTGTCAAGTCAAGTATAAGGAAATCTCCATTAGACTATCAGTAGATTTTCCAGCAACAACTTTGCAGACCAGGAGATAATGAGATAATACATTCAAAGTGCTGAAGCGAAAAAACAATTGTCAGCCAAGAATACTATGTTTAGCAAGTCTGTCCATCAGAATTCAAGGAAAAGTGAAGACCTCCCAGAAAAGCAAAAGATGAGGAACTTCATTACCACTAGACAAGCCTTAAAAGAAATGCTTAATGGAGTGCTACAATTGGAAACAAAATGACAATAATTAGTATCACAAAAACACATGAAAATATAAACCTTACCAGTAGAGGCAAATTTATTAATGAAATTCAGAATAGCCCAGTGATGTAATGGTGCTGTGTAAATCTCTTCATCTTTTAGTATGAAGGTTTAAAGCCAAGAATGGTCAAAAACAACAACACAAAATGGATTTGAAAAAAAGTAAATTAGGGCAACAAAAATATAAATTGTGGGGGAAAGGAAAATAGTCTATTTTTATGTGACCAAAATTAAATTGCCATCAGCTTAAAATAGTCTATTATAACTAGAAGTCTCTTTATGTTAGCTCCATGGTAACCAGAAAGAAAAACATCACAACAGATAAACAAATGAGAAAGAGAAAGGAAACAAAGCTTACCATCACAGAAAACCACCAAATTACAGAGATAAAAAGTAGAAGGAAAAAAAAGAATCCCACTAAGGATCTACAAAATAACCAGAAAATAATTAACAAAATGGCATAGATAGGTAAGGAGTTAGCATGGCATGGATAGATAAGAAGTCCTTATCTATCAATGATAGACATAAATATAAATAAATTATATTTATATAAATATAATTGAATATAAATAAATTAAACTATCCAATAAAAATATATTGAATAAATAAATGGATAAAAAATACAAGATAGGATTAGCCATACTTAGATAAAATAGACTTTAGGGAAAAAAACTACAAAACAACAGTCATTATATAATGATAAAAGGATTAATTAAAGAAAGTAATATAACAATTTTAAGTATGTATGCACCCCAAAACACCCTATATATATTCCAAGTGGACCTAATAGACATTTACAGTACAGCTGCAGAATACATATTTTTCTAAACTGCACATGGAACATTCTCCAAGATAGATCACATGTTAGGCCACAAAACGTGTTTTTTAAAGAAAAAGATTAATCAAATATTTTTTTCCAAATACTATGGTTTAAAACCAGAAAACAACAAGAAAAAAAACTTCTGAAACTATACAAATACCTGGAAATAAACCAACATGCTCCTAAACAACCAATGAGACAATGAAGAAATTAAAAGGGAAATTTCAGTGTTCCTTGAAACAAATAAGAAGAGAAATACATTATACCAAAACCTAGAGTACACAGCAAAAGCAGTTCTAAGAGGGAAGCTAATAGAAATAAGTGTTTATATCAAAAAAGAAGAAAGATTTATAATAAGCAGCCTAATAATACACCTCAAAGAACTAGCAAAACAGAAACAAACTAAATATAAAATTGTTAAAAGGAAAGAAATAATAAAATTCAGAGTATAAATAAAATAGAGACTAAAAGAAAACAACACAAAATTTAACTAAATGAAGAGATGTTTTCTTGAAAAACAAACATTTTCAGACTTTACTCGACTAAAAAATAGAATACTCATAAAGATAAGATCAGAGATAAAAAAGGATACATGACAACTGATACCATAAAAAAGGGGTCATAAGAGACTACTATGAACAATTATATGCCAACAAATTTGAACAAAATGAAAGAAATGTATAAACAGTGGAGCACATACAACCTTCTATGATTAAATTATAAAGAAATTGAAAATCTGAACATATCAATAATGAGTGAAGAAATGGAATCAGTAAATAAAAAGCCATCTGTCAAAGAAAAGCCCAGGATCTGACAGCTTCATTGCTGAATTCTGTCAAACAATTAAAGAACTAGTACCAATTTTCCTTAAACTATTTCAGAAATTTGAGGAGAAGGGAAAACTTCCAAATTCAATTTATGAGGCCAACATTTCCCAGACTCCAATACCAGACAAGGACAGAACAACAAACAAACAACACTACAGGCTAATATCCCTGCTGAACGTAGATACAAAAATTCTTAAGATGCTAGTAAAATGAATTAAACAGCACATTAAAAAGGTCATTATGATCAAATGCGATTCAATCCAGGAATGCAAGTTTGTTTCAACACATGTAAATAAATAAATGTAATACACGAGATTAGCAGAAAGAAAGACAAAAAACATACGATCATTTCAATAGATAGAGAAAAAGCATTTGAGAAAATTCAACACCTCATTATGATTTAAAACTCTCAACAAATTAGGTATGGAAGATACCTAATAAAAGCCACATATAACAAACCCACTACTAATATTCAGAATGTATAAATAGTCTAGGCCGGGTATAGTGGCTTAACCTGTAATCCCAGCACTTTGGGAGGCCAAGGCGGGTGGATCACCTGAGGTCAAGAGTTCGAAACCTGCCTGGCCAACATGTTGAAACCCTGTCTCTATTAAAAATACAAAAAAATTTGCCAGGCATTGTGGTGGTTGCCTGTAATCCCAGCTACTCAGGAGGCTGAGGCAGGAGAATCACTTGAATCTGGAAGGTGGAGATTGCAGTGAGCCAATATTGCGCCATTGCACTCCAGCCTGGGCAACAAGAGCAAAACTCTGTCTCAAAAAAAAAAAAAGAAAGTGATAATATTCATCATCATCATCATCATCATCATCTAATGACAACAAAAAACCCCACAAAAATAAGGTTAAAATGGGAAAAATACCTTAATAGACATTTCTTCAAATAAGAAATATGAATGGCTAACAGATATGTGAGAAAATACTCAACATCACTAATCATCAAGGAAATGCAAATCAAAACTGCAATGAGGTAACACTTCACTCTAGTTAGATGGCTATTATCAAAAAGATAAAAGAAAACAACTATTGTTGAGAATATGAAGAAAAAGGAAGACAAACACACTGTTGGTGGAAACATAAATTAGTCGAGTCATTATAAAAAACAATAGGGAGATTCCTCAAACAATTAAAAATAGAATTACAATCAATCCAGTAATCTCACTACTGAATATAGAGCCAAAGGAAATGACACCAATATATTGAAAAGATATCGATAGCCAAGATATGAAATCAAAGTCTTTAAGAATAGATAAATGGATAAAGAAAATATGCTATATGTACAGAATGGAATAATATTCAGTCATGAAAAAGAACAAAATCCTGTCATTTGTGACAACGTGAATGAACCTGGAGACCATGATGTTAAGTGTAATAAGTCAGACACATACAGTTTGATCTCACTCATATGTGAAATCCACCTCCCACCCACCCCACCCCCCAAAAAACTTGCTACCATAGAAGCAGAGTAGAATAATAGTTACCTGATAGATACTAGATACAAGAAACTGGGAAAGGAAGAATGGAATGGGGTTAGTTAATGGGTGCAAAGTTACAATTAGATAGGAGGAAGACATTCTGATGTTCTATTGCCCAGTAAGGTGACTATGATTGATAGTAAAATATTATACATTACAAAATAGCTAGAAGGGAGGGAATAATCTCATCACAAAAGAAATAATGAATGTATGAGATGATATGTACACTAACTGCCCTGATTGGATCAGTATACAACACAGACATGTATCAAAACATCAAATCGTATCCCATAAATATATTAAATTTTAATGTCAATTAAAATATTTTTTAAAATCGGTAGAGCTTACAGTGTACTTCTTTTATTTACTAGTTCTTACCCAGAGTTATATAAAAATATATTGTTTTTACCTTAGCCTTAGTTACATTCCTTTTTAAAGCTTTTTTTGAATATTTAGCTCCATAGTAAGAGTGACAAATTTCAGGTTTATACTACATCCACAACTGGGGCAAAGCCAGAGACTTCTGTCTAAGACCCAAACTGTAATGTGGCTCTGGAGCTCTTGGGTACTACAGATCATCTCAAAGGATAGTAATTAGGATAAAAGCTTCTTGTAGTCTTCCTCCACATGGGAATTTTCAGATACATTCAGAGGTTCAATAGTTTCTCTCTGTGGAGCTAGAAAATAAGAAGAGTTAAGAATCTCTTGAGCTCCTCTCAGAATACAGAGTGGTCTCCTGAAGTGTCTCCGGACCCTCATATTATTTGTAGCCCCAAGCTCCATCTTTAGATGAGACCTAAAGACCACCTAGTATATCAAAAGATGACTTTGGTTTCATCTTAAAGAGTATATAGATAACTGATTTTTTAAAATGTGTTTTGTTTCTTCTGATAAGGCAGGGACCAGATGGAGGGGTTGCAATATTTATTAATTCATCCTTCTGCAGGTAAATCACCTTGATTTTTTTAAGATCAAGAAGTTATGGCATTATTAACTTCATCCTCAATCTAGCAGTGAACGTGGATTTAGATCTGTCCAATCGCAACACGCATGCCTCTAGTTACAGTGATTGGTTCAGGGAACAATACATGAGTTATGAAGAGGCAAAAACATACATTGTTAGAATCTTTTCTCTTATTGTTGAACAAAAGGAATATTTTATAGTCTCTCTCTGTCTCTCTCTCTCTCTCCTCTCTTCTCTCTCTCTCTCTCTCTCCCTCCCTCTCTCTCTCTCTCCCTCCCTCTCTCTCTCTCTCTCTCCCTCCCTCCCTCTCTCTCTCACTCTCCTTATTCTTTATTCTTTCTTTTTTTGGTGCTGTTTGTGTGTGGAACTGGAACCAGGTAAACATGAATCTAGACTGCTGACGACAATATTTCCCCCCAAAGAGGAGCATTCTTAAGAATATAGCTAAGGTAGAGCAAGCCAAGAGATGAAGAAAAATCAGATCTTAGTAACATTGTTTGAGCCTATGGATCCAGCCAGGCATAAAGTCAGTTCTACTTTTGGACTTTTAAGATATTTCAACCAGAATGTTTCCTTTGTAACCAAACAGTTTAAGAATTTATTTTTGAACTTACAACATGACAAGTCTTAATTTATACTGGCTACAAACAGGATTATGATTTTTGGCTGAAAGCTGAAGATAAGTTAGGTTTCCTTATTATCATGGTTTCTAACCTTTAGCCTCAGGAACATTTGTATCTGTTATCATATCTAGAAGTAAATACAAATGTATAGCCTATAAGTGAACTGATGTAACTGCCATAAAAGTGCTCCATTGAACTAATACTGTCTCTAGATGAGCCACTGAGATCCTAGTTGGCCCAGGAGGCAGAACAGCAACAACAATTAGGTATCTATGAAAACTAATGACAAGTAGCCCCAGTAGCTGCAAGATGACAGATAACCTCCCACCACTGCATTCATTAGCTACTGCGATGAGTGCCAAGCCAGAAGGGAGAGAGATGATGACTGAATAATTCTCCATCATTTCTAGTTTGCCAATTACTACACGCACAAAAGCAAAATAAATAATACATTAGATTTTTGGCAAGTGAGTCAGTGCTTTAAAAATCACTCCTTAAATTGTAGAAAGCATATGTACTTTGGCAGGGATAAGCTTTGCTTTACTCTGCCTCGAAACCAGCTGTGTTTGAGTGAAGTCTAGAAACCCCATTTTAAGGAGCACTTGATTGAATATACTTTTCACTCAGTTGAACCATTAACATTAATGAAAAGCTATAAATCTTCTACACATTTCAAATGAAATTACCACAAATGCTTAGCCACTGGACTTGACAGGATATGCTTTGTGGGATCCATGATGGAAACTTAAATTGGGGGAAAAGAGTAAAAAAATGTTAGTCATAATGCCCACAATTATAGATTGGACGTAATGTACTTGGAGGGATGGGGGTATAGTCAAGTGACATTTATTTGGTCAAAAGCTGGCAAGAAAAGCATGATTCTATTCAACATCTTCCAACCCACATTGGAGACTAAATTAAGCTACAGTTACCACAGGAACCTCAGAAGAAAATCTGTGGTTGTGTTGTTGCCAATGTCTGAACAACACAAGGTCTACTAGATTGGACATAAATTTGTCTACCCACATTTATAAAATAAGGCTTTGCCTCGATTCCTTAGCCATGGATTAATTGTGTCCCAATTCAATTTTTACCATTCTTGCCCTATCATCAGCATGAAAACCTCTTGGCTTAATTTCTCTCTCTCTCTCTCTACATATATATAGACATATAGAGAGATACCTATATATGGAGAGAATGTATATGTATATGTATACATTTATATATACACATACATTTATACATTTATGTACATACATATACATTATATACATATACATTTATTCATTTATGTATATACATATATACAGCTTCCTTGATGTTAAACAGTTTTGTCTTACAAAAATATAATAATTTTAAATGTATTTAACTAGATATACAATCCAGGAGCAAAATGGGAGGGGACTTGTCAAAGGTATTCACATAACAGAAAAACACACAATTAGAACAACAAGGGTCACAGTTGGCTGGGGTGCTTGGCAGATCTGATGCTTTTTTACTTTTTTGGGTGTGATAAAAGGTATCTGAACGCATTTTATTTTATCATACTCTCAAGAGCGATGATAATGTTTTTGAAATATTTTTGAGATTTCACAATTTATACTCTTTTTCAAGAGTTAAAATAATCAGATAGCTGATGCATTTAGATATGACTGGGGCCTACATTTGAAATACGGTTATGCCATATGCACATTGTTTGATTTATTTAAGCTCTCTTATCCAATGTAAGCCAGCTATTCAATGAAGAGGTGAATTGAATTCTCAGTTAACTGGGAAATTATTATTTATTACCCCATTACATGCAAGATATTTTGCTAGGCAGTTTAAGGGCATACAGAGATACTGACTAGCTACCATGCCTCTATATTTTCATTCCAGTTAGTAAACAAGTCCTGGAAACTGAAAATATAACAATGATTTCTGCATTGATTGAAGGCACTGCTAGCATTTGAGGGAGGGACATGATGCAAATGATTTTTCAGTGCTGAGAAAATCCTGCACCCCTACAAATTTTTTAATGTCCGAATGGAAATTTAGTTTTAACATCCATTTAGAATTATATGAGTCTGAACCTCTGTTTACATATGTACGCAATTCAGACAGGTTTAGTTTCTATTGAATGTTCTACTTTTATATATGAATTAAGGAATTACTGTACTTTTATTTCCTGAATTTTATCAAAAAAGGTTTACCTTTTCAGAAATAAAAACCCCAAAGGAAAAGCCAGCATGAGAGCTGCTAAAACCATACATTTGTATCATTCTGCATTTGTGTTTGCTTCATTCACAGGATATGCGTGTGTGCGCATGCGCGCGCGCGCACACACACACACACACACACACACACACACACACACACACACACACAGATTTGTATTTGAAAACGCCCAGTAGTATAAAAAACTCAACAACTGTTATTTTAATTTTTGATATTGTGTCCTATAGTGCTTCCTATAAATTAAATTTAGAGGTCTTTAGCCAGGATTTTTGTTTTCCTGATGAAGTAAAAGTAAGAAAAACAGGCCAGGTGGGGTGGCTTACACCTTTAATTCTAGCACTCTGGGAGGCCATGGCAGGCAGATCACTCGAGCTCAGGAATTCGAGACCAGTCTGAGCAACATGGTGAAACCTCATCTCTACCAAAAAGACAAAAAATATTTAGCCTCTTGTGGTGACACAGGCCTATGGTCCCAGCTACTCAGGAGGCTGAGGTGGGAGGCTCGCTTGAGCCTGGAAGGCGGAGGCTGCAGGGAGCCACTGCACTCCACCCTGGGTGACAGAGTGAGACACCATCTCAAAAATCAAAAGAAAACAAAACAAAAAAAGACAAAAATATCCAAAATTAAATGACAATTTTACAATGAAAGTTGGCAAAGTGATCACATATTTTCTTATTTTCTCCAATTCAGAAGTTTGTAATTGTCTTGCTCTGTTTGTTTATTCAATTAAGATTATTTCTCATTTTTCTGTTTCTTATTATACAATAATCTGCCTGTTCTGTGAATCTCTATCTTAACATTTTTTCTTCTTTTTCAAATTTATTTTAGATTCAGGTGGTTCATGTACAGGTTTGTTACAAAGGCATATTATATGATGTCAGGTTTTGGGTATGATTGAACCTGTAACCCAGTTAGGAGCATAGTACTCAATAGGTAGCTTTCCAGCCCTTGTCCCTATCCCTCCCTCCCACCTCTTGTCATCCGCAGTACTGTCTGTTGTGCCCATCTTTATGTCCATGTGTATTCAATTTAATGCTTATTTTTGTATTAATAACTAATAAAATCTCTTCTCATTGATTTTTCTGTAGCTCATTTAAATAATGGCTTCTAATCTTTCCTTCTCTGAAATTCAAACTTAATTATTGCAAATAGGTGAATGAATCTGACTATTTCATTGAGCTTTCTATTGCAGTCATACCTAAATATTTAAACATTAAATACATGTCATTACATTTCTTTCCTTTTATTTATCTTTTGATAAGAGAAAGTAGTATTGATTTTTCAAAAAAAATTGGGTGCTTAAATGTGTTGCTTTTTCTGTGAATTTAATTTCAGGATAGTACAGAAGTGATTGTCAAACAGGTGTTTTGAAAAGAGAGCACTGGGTTTGAAATCACTGAGATCCACAGACTCAGAGTTTTAATGAAAGTTAAATAATATGGTATATGTAAATTGTTAAAAAATAATTGCCTCATAACATGCTCAATAAATATGAAATAGTATATGATAGAGATATGCTCAATATGACTCCAGCAGGAATGGTCTCAAAAACTGCACAAATTAAATTGTATTTTAAATAAAATGTAAAATTTGATTATTTTTGGCAGGAATAGAGACAAAACTTACTTGATGGGTAAAATATTTTAGCAGAGATGTAAAGATATAAAAATAGAAGTCACAGTGTGTTCGATTTTCCTTGATTAACTGCCTGAGAGAGATCCAGTGTTTGAAGCTTTAGTTGGTAAGTGTCTGTATGTAAAAAATGATACATAATTGGGCCAGTAATCCCAAGAAAATACCAACAGAAGAGATAAGGTAGAAAGGAAAATATGAATGTCAGAAAATTGGATAAAAATAAGAAACATTTGTTAAGAGGAGGTTTTAAATTATAGATAAGAAACAAAGCTATAGAAATTCCTTTCTTGAAAGAGGATATAACTAGGTAAGTTTTACCCAGAAAGAATTGGTTACTTTACTATGGGCAAGAGGGATGACTAGGTCTGAAAAACTTGAAAAACAAGGAGCACAGAGGTAAAGAGGAAGATTTTTCTATAAAGAAGTGTACAAGGATGCTTTGATAAATTATGACAATATTTCAATAGGTCAAAATCCTGGATAGGTAAGTCTCCTTTGCCGATTTTTGACCTCAGCTGAAAAAAAAAAAAGGCAGAAAAAGCTAGGTTTTAAGAGGAATGAACTTTGATATACTTTGTCCACATCAATATACATCAGTTCACAAATAAATCATTGGTTGAAACCACAACACTAGAGGATGTTTTTCAACACCATCTTCTTTTTTTTTTTTTTTGGATTTTTAGTAGAGATGGGGCTTCACCATGTTGGCCAGGCTGATCTTGAACTCCTGACCTCAAATGATCCGCCCGCCACAGCCTCCCAAAGTGCTGGAATTACAGGCGTGAGCCCCCATGCCCGGCCCCATTTTTTCCCAATCTTAAGATAAATAAGTAACCAAGAGGCTAATTTAAATGGTTTCCAAAGCACAAATTATTCTAGACATTGAGGTAAATAATGGTGATTCTGGGCACTGGAAGCCCTGAAACTTGTACTAAGAATGAGGCAGGCTTTTAAATAATTTCAATGAGAAGGTTCCCAGGCTCTGCCACTTTATTTATCTATTTTTATCATTTCTTTTTTTTTAACTTTAATTTAATTTTATGTTTTCATTATAGTTTAAGTTCTAGGGTACCTGTGCACAACGTGCAGGTTTGTTACATATGTATACATGTGCCATGTTGGTGTGCTGCACATGTTAACTCATCATTTACATTAGATATTTCTCCTCCCCACTCCCACCACCCCGCAACAGGCTCCCATGTGTGATGTTCCCCCGTGTCCAAGTGTTCTCATTGTTCAGTTCCCACCTATGAGTGAGAACATGTGGTGTTTGGTTTTCTTTCCTTGCAATAGTTTGCTCAGAATGATGGTTTCCAAATTCATCCATGTCCCTGCAAAGAACATGAACTCATCCTTTTTTATGGCTGCATAGTGTTCCATGGTGTACATTTACCACATTTTCTTAATCTAGTCTATCATTGATGGACATTTGGGTTGGTTCCAAGTCTTTGCTATTGTGAATAGTGCCACAATAAACATACGTGTGCATGTGTCTTTATAGCAGCATGATTTATAATCCTTTGGGTATATACCCAGTAATGGGATGGCTGGGTCAAATGGTATTTCTAGTTCTAGATCCTTGAGGAATTGCCACACTGTCTTCCACAATGGTTGAACTAGTTTATAGTACCATCAACAGTGTAAAAGTGTTCCTATTTCTCCACATCCTCTCCAGCACCTGATGTTTCCTAACTTTTTAATGATTGCCATTCTAACTGGTGTGAGATGGTATCTCAATGTGGTTTTGATCTGCATTTCTCTGATGGCCAGTGATAATGAGCATTTTTTCATGTGTGTGTTGGCTGCATAAATGTCTTCTTTTGAGAAGTGTCTGTTCATATCATTTGCCCAGTTTTTGATGAGGTTGTTTGATTTTTTTCTTCTAAATTTGTTTAAGTTCTTTGTAGATTCTGGGTATTAGCCCTTTGTCAGATGAGTAGATTGTAAAATTTTTCTCCCATTCTGTAGGTTACGTGTTCACTCTGATGGTAGTTTCCTTTGCTGTGTAGAAGCTCTTTAGTTTAATTAGATCCCCTCTGTCTATTTTGGTTTTTGTTGCCATTGCTTTTGGTGTTTTAGTCATAAAGTCCTTGCCCATGCCTATGTCCTGAATGGTATTGCCTAGGTTTTCTTCTAGGGTTTTTATGGTTTTAGATCTAACGTTTAAGTCTTTAATCCATCTTGAATTAATTTGTGTATAAGGTGTAAGGAAGGGATCCAGTTTCAGCTTTCTACTTATGGCTAGCCAGTTTTCCCAGCACCATTTATTCAATAGGGAATCCTTTCCCATTGCTTGTTTTTGTCAGGTTTGTCAAAGATCAGATGGTTTTAGATGTGTAATATTATTTCTGAGGGCTCTGCTCTGTTCCATTGGTCTATATCTCTGTTTTGGTACCAGTAGCATGCCATTTTAGTTACTGTAGCCTTGTAGTATAGTTTGAAGTCAGGTAGCGTGATGCCTCCAGCTTTGTTCTTTTTGCTTAGGATTGTCTTGGCAATGTGGGCTCTTTTTTGGTTCCATATGAATTTCAAAGTATTTTTTTTCCAATTCTGTGAAGAAAGTCTTTGGTAGCTTGATGGGGATGGCACTGAATCTATAAATTACCTTGGGCAGTATGGCCATTTTCACAATATTGATTCTTCCTATCCATAAGCATGGAATGTTCTTCCATTTGTTTGTGTCCTCTTTTATTTCGTTGAGCAGTGGCAATACCATCTTCTTGAGAAAACATTTGACTCAAGTGTTTCCTAAAGGATGAAAGCAGGAAAGTACATTTTCTATTCACTTCCAAAGGTACACTTGGCCCAGTACTGTCCTATTAGTGAGAGGGATAATAAGGACCAAAGTCATCATGGTATCAGCTGAGAAAATTAATTCAAATGACTGAAACATGCTTTCTCCTCCTTAGAGATGTTTTATATATATAGAAAATGTACATGTGCATAGATATGTGTATGTGTGTGCAATGTGAAATTTGCATTAATAGTTTGATTTCTATCTATGATTTTCCAGTTGATTTCATCTACAGGAAAAGTGTTTATTACCATTAATAACACTCGAATAACTTAAAATATTCCTATAGGATCTTGCCTTTTCCAACTCAAAGTACCAATAATATTATAATAGTGGAAACAACTTTGTTTATATGTTATTTGACTCGTTTTACTTTTTGCACACACTTTTTGTACTTATTTTACTTTTAGAAACCAAGAAACATTTGTTTGAATCCCAATACTAAATAACAAAGTGTTTGTGTGAACACTTTTCTTTTTCCATTTAGAAAAATTTGTACCAATTCAAATGCTTTATAAGAGTATACAAATTGCAGCAGTGCCTACCATAGTGAAAACATTGGAATAATATAATGGCTGTCAAAAGATTTGGTTAAGGCATGCAAAAACAGACACTTAGAAGGAATAAGTTTTAGTACTCAATAGTAAAGTATAAAAATTATAGTTAACAATGATTTATTGTATATGTCAGAATATCTAGAAGAGATGACTTGTGATGCTCCCAACACATACAAAAAAAAAGTTTGATGAGATGTATATTCCAATTACCCTGATTTCATCATCATACATTGAATACACATATCAAGATATCACATGTGCCCCCAAAATATATACAACTATTATGTATCAGTAAAAAAACTAATGACTGGAGTAAAATAGAAGGCAATACAAATGCTTACACTCATGCTAAAGACTTGTATTTATTGACTTGTATTTATGGTATAAACTACCTATCAATACATTTCCTAAAGTCGGTTACAAATCAGTTTATGAGTTCATGTGCAGGAAGTGTGTGTCTAGAAATTGTGGATGTGTGTATTCATAAAAGAATTTTAAAAACCATGTCAAAAGATTAATATTATTTTTGGTAAGAAGAATAAATAATTATAATAGTTTTATATATTTGCAGTAATTAAAAAATAGTAATATAATAAACACCTTTGTATCTGCCACTCAGTTTTAATTTATCTTAATGTTCTGTCACACTGGCTTCAGATCTGTTTTTTTTTACACTGATAAAATATTTTGGTACATTTAAAGTACCTTATGTTTTTTAAATTTTATTTTATTTTTTCTTTCTTTCTAGGAAGTAGTCTCTATCCTGAATTTGACTTTAATTTTCTGTTCAATTCTTAAAATTATTGGAAAACTTTTACTACATATATATGTTCTTTGACAATATATAATGTCTTTCGGCTTGTTTTTCATCGTTCATTACTTGGTATCATATTGAATTAACCATTTTTCAATATTTTCCCCATTCAACACTCTGTTATTGAGATATGTCAACTTTATGGGATTCTGGTTCATTTATCACCAGAGAAGCAAGAAAGCAAAGTGATTAAGATTAAAGCTTGAAGACAGACTAAATTAAAATCATAGCTTTGATGCTTACTAGCTTTGTGCTACCTTGTATATGGTACTTAACCTCACTGCACCTCGTTTTCCTCACCTATAAAATTATTTAATAGTTCTTATTTGACAGACTTGTGATAAGTATTAAGTGTGCTAATATTTGTAAGTTACCTAGAGCAGCATATGACGTGGTAATTTAAAAGAGTTTGTTAAAGAAATGACCTGTATCATATTCCATTATATGAAATGTATTCATCATATTTTGTTGAATCTTTAGATATCTCTTTTTTTACCATTGCACACTGTCCAGTATTCTGTTGCTAATAACATGTCTTTGAGGATGTCTCTGTGTGCATTTGCTCAGTCATTTCTGTAAGGTATGCTTGTGATGTGGAATTCTTGGGTCAGAAGATGCAGATGCTTGCTTTCTACATGGATTGCCATTGCACTAGCCATAGCTGTTTTCTCGCTTACAGTAAAATAATGTCTTCTATTACTGGAGAAAATTTAAATTTTAATAAAATCAAATGAATTGTGCTTTTCCCTTAAAATTTAATTTCCTTTATAATTTCATCATTTCATTAATAAATTATTCCATATCCTGGAGTTACAAAGATATCAAATAGGAGCCTATTTTTTCAGTTATGGATGACTTATCTACACTATTTATTAAATAGATTTTGAGAATGAAATTATTTTATTTTCTTGCTTAAGCTATCTTTTATTTGACATGTATTATTATCATTATAAATATATATTTAAATCAGAAAAAAAATAAATATTTCCATTCAAACAAAAAACATTGAACCTTTAGATTTCTCAATGATCCCATTGTCTTAACAGTAAGGAGACAGAAGAGAGGAGATCTAATACGAGTTGAGCCAGGTTCTAGGCTCCTGGTTAGACTTCATATGCAGAAGAAACTCTTATCACTGATCCCCATGGTGCTAAATATTTGAAGTACGCATCACTCCCCATTTCCTGTGTGAATCATGTTCTATTTCCATAGTATTTGGAATACTATACTTTTCTGTTTTCACTGATTTTCAATGAACCAATCAACTACCTGTTTCAGCAATGTAAGGTAAGTGACTTTCTACTGTAAATCACGTTATTTAATCCCTTTGATATTCCTATGAAGTACTTATAATTTCCAAATTTTTACAAGAAACCAAGGATCAGAAAGGTTACAATCATGCATAAGCTAAATAGCGGCAATATCAACATTTGAGCCCAGGTAGTAGTGAATCCAAACCAATATTTCTTTATTAACTGTATCATCATTTATTTTTCTTGGAGATAAGACTTAATATTTAAATCAGAATATCTTTGGGTTCACTCACAACACTTTCTTTTAGTTAACATAGTAATCTAAAACCCTAACTGTAAAGGAATTTATATCTTCTTTTCCTTTCTTTTTTTCCCTTTTTTTCCTTCTTTTCAGAGACCAAGTTTTACTCTGTGACCCAGGTTGGAGTGCAGTGATCACAGCTCACTCTAGCCTTGACCTCCCAGGCTCAAGTGATCCTCCAACCTCAGTTTCTCCAGCAGCTGGGACTAGAGGCACACACCACCACACCAACTAATTTTTATTTTCAGTTTTTGTAGAGACAAGTATCTTACTATGTTGCCCAGTCTGGTCTCAAAACTCCTGGGCTTAAGTGATCCTCCTGCCTTGGCCTCCCAAAGTGCTGGGATTACAGGTGTGAACCCCCATGCCTGGCCCTGATATTTTCCACTCTCCTTTTAAGTGAACTTTGAAGTCAAAATTCTATGGCTCTAAATTATATGGCTCACCTGAAATGTAAATACTTACCAGCACAGAAAGAAGTAATGAGGTTTTGATGGAAGTATTCCTATCTCAGAGTTAACTGTGGATATTTGTTGTACAAAAATTCATTGTTTTCTAAAAGTGAGATACATTGAAAGGAAAACATTAGGAGCCTATTAAAAATAAAGCTTAAATCACCATTTGTTTTAATTTTCTTCAAAAATTTGACTTTTGTTCACATCTCTATAAACATGTGGAGTATGTTTTTTGACAATGCAGTTACTTCCGGCATTGATAAAACCAAATAACACAAACACTCAAGGCTGTTTCCGAAAACTGAAATACAGATTTCATAACAGCCAACCACATCCTGAGTCATGCTTAAATGAGTGACACAATACAAATGTATCCTTTCTAACGTGGAAATTCTTTCAATCATCAGGCCAGCTATTGTTTGTAGCTCCTCACTTTCTTGCACAATCCTCCCTCCATTATTGTTTTGCTGTATGTCTAATTGTGGGGCTCTCCATGTTGCTATTATGAGTTTTCTAGCTGTGGATACAGATGTCACATCAATTGCAACTCTGTTTCATAGGTTATTTGGATATATTGTCTGCCATCTACAATTGGACAACTGATTGCCATGCATGAATTGCTCTAACTTCCTTCTTTTATCCAATTTCAAAACAAAGACAAACGTATCCTGCTAAGCTGCAATGAGGACAGATCTTGAGACATGAGGAGGCACTTCACACTGAATCCCCATTCTTGGGAATTTGGTATTGCTATTTCCTGAATGTAAGAACACTTTGGTGTCATAAATAAAGTCTAAGATATAAAAGACATTAACTTTTCCTCTGGGACAACAGCAGTACTTAGAAGTGCTTTCATAAGAAAAATATCTTGCAAATAAATTCTAGTCCTTTATTGCTCACAGTATCTTTGCAAAGTTCTTCCTATTAATCGAATTCTATTTTCAAAGGAAGGCCTGTTTTTGTACTATTCATTTATTTTTTATCTTGTCACTCAGAATTTTGCTAATTGGCTATAAAAATCAACTTTCTCTTTTCAGGTTAGCAAATCAACATTTTTTTTTAATCTATAGGAATCAACATAAGATGGGCTTGCAGGTCAAATTGCTGGGTTCAAATATTGACTCTGTTTTTACTAAATGGGTAACTGTCATTAAGTCTATTTCTCTGTGTCCAAGTCTTCATTTGTCAAATGAATTACAATTGGACAGATTTTACAGCTTAGGTAAAGGTTAAATTAGCTAATACATGAAAAAGATTTAGCAAAACAGCTAGGTTATACAGTCAGGTATAACATTGAAAAATATTAGCTCTAATAATTTTGGCCATGTTAGCTCTTAATAAAATGCATATATACAGGCAATATTGCTAAGTTTTGATTCAATCTTTCTCTTTGTAAGGCACCCTTATTTATTCCTAATTTATTCCTTTTGTCTTTACATTGTATTATTTATGTTGTTCAAAATCAAATATAATTCCTCTATCCTTATCCCATGTTTGTTGGATTATTTTGTTTATAAAGTGTATTTATTTGTCTAACCTTTCAATCAAGTGACAAGAATCTTGTCATTTACTGCCCAGGATAAAGAGGATAGATGGAATAAATAAGGTTGGCCCAGAGGAGTGATACAGATTTGCATGTGTGTCTCTGCCCAAATCTCATTTTGAATTGTTATCTCCAGTCTTGGAGGTGGGGCCTGGATGGAGGTGAATGGATCATGGGGGCAGATTTCTCGTGCACAGTTTAGCACCATCTTCTCGGTTCTGTCCTCAGGATAGTGAGTAAGTTCTCATGAAATCTGGGTGTTTAAAAGCAGCTGCATCCTGGCTGGGCATGGTGGTTCATGCCTGTAATCCCAGCAGTTTGGAAGGCTGAGGCAGGAAGATCACAAGGTCAAGAGATCGAGACCATGCTGGCCAACATGGTGAAAACCCGTCTCTACCTAAAAAAATACAAAAATTAGCTGGGTGTGGTGGCACACGCCTGTAGTCCCAGCTACTCAGGAGGCTGAGGCAGGAGAATTGCTTGAACCAGGGAGGCAGAGGTTGCAGTGATCCTAGATCGTGCCACTGCACTTAAGCCTGGCAACAGAGCAAGAGTGTGTCAAAATAAATAAATAAATAAATAAATAAATAAAAATTTAAAAAGCAGCTGCATCCTGACCACTCCAGCTCTAGCTCAAAGAGGCCCAGGTACAGCTTCAGCTGCTGCTTCAGAGGGTGCAAGCCTTAAGCCTTGGAGGCTTCCACTTGGTTTTAAGCCTGCAGGTGCACAGAGTGCAAGAGTTGAGGCTTGGGAGCCTCCACCTAGATTTCAGAGAATGTATGGAAAAGCCCAAGTGTCCAAACAGAGACCTACCCAGGGTCAGAGCCCTTACGGAGAACCTATACTAGTGTAATGCAGAGAGAAGATACGCGTTGGAGACCCTACACAAAATCCTCACTGGGGCACTGCCTAATGGAGCTGTGTGAAGAGGGCTACTGTCTCCCTGACCCAGAATAGTAGCTACAGTAGTAGCTTACACCCTCAGCATAGAAAATCTGCAGGCACTCAACAACCTGTAATAGCAGCCTCTGGGGCTGAACCCTGCAAAAGCCACAGGGCTAGAGCTGCTAGAGGCTTTAGGAGCCTACCCCTTGCATCATTGTTCCCTGGATGTGAAACATAGAGTCAAAGGAGGTTATTTTGGAGCTCTTAAAATGACTGCCCTGCTGGGTTTCAAACATGCGTGGAGCCTATAATACCTTTCTTTTGGCTAACTTATCCCTTTTGGAAGGGGAATGTTTACCCAATGCTTGTATTCCCATTGTATCCTGGAAATAACTAACTTATTTTTTATTTTACAGGCTCATAGGTGGAAGGGACTTGCCTTGCCTCAGAGGAGACTTTCGACTTTTGAGTTAACACTGGAATGAGTTAACACTTTGGGGGATTGTTGGAAAGGCATGATTGGATTTTGAAATATGAGAAGGACATGAGATTTTGAAGGGGTCAGGGGGCTAATGACAGTGTCTCCACCCAATTCTTATATTGAAATGTAATCCCTAGTGTTGGAGGTGGGGCCTGGTGGGAGGTGATTGGATCATGGTGGTAGATTTCCCATAAACTGTTTAGCACCATCTGCTTGGTACTGTCCTTACAATACTGAGTGAGTTCACATGAGATCTGGTTGTTTAAAGTGTGTAGCACCTCCCCCTCGGTTCTCTTGTTCCTGCTTTCGCCTTGTGATGTGCCTGCTACCTCTCTGACTTCTGCCATGACTGGAAGCTTCTTAAGACTTCCCTAGAAGCAGATGCTTCCATGCTTCCTGTACAGCCTGTAGAATTATGAACCAATTAAACTTCTTTTCTTATACATCACCCAGTCTCAGACATTTCTTTATAGACATGCAAGAATAGACTAACACAAGGAGGAAACAAAAGGTGATGAATTGCACCAAGTACAGGATCATAAGAATAAATGGGGCCTGTGATGAGCATGATTGTCCCCTATGTCCCCCTTTAAAAAGTCAATATTGAAATATGCTTAAAAGTGCTAGGGTAAGCATTTTGAATTTGATTCCAACTACTAAATTTTCAAGCCCATGTCTAATGTATTAGGCCTAGGAATGGCTTCAAAAGTTTAAGATTTATCAACTTTAAGGGAAGCATAGAACTAATAATTCCTGCACGTATATTCTACTCTAAAAATATAGGAGTAGAACTGACATTTTCTGGGGTGCTGTTGTGTTCCTATGGCCAAAAACATCATATTCCACAAAGGCAGGTAAAACACAGATTATATAATTTTCTTCCAAGCAAACTGAGGTGACACTGAGCCCTCATTCTGTAGGATTGCCAGGAAATTCATGCTCACCTATGTGTCTGTGGTGAGGTTTTTATCCTTCCCTGGAACATGTATACATATAGGAGGTCTAGTTGTGGGGGAAAAAAAGGAAAAGTAAAGAAAGCTGGAAATTATCCTTTAGTTTGCTTGTATGGTCCCAGGCAGGCAGGTGGTTTACTGCTTTAAAGTGGAGGGTAGGAGACCCTGTGAGAGATTTCAATCTCCCTGGGTAAGCAGGGTAGACAGACCTTCTCAAGGCCATTTTATTTTCCCAGGGTATGGGTAAGAGTTCATGCCAGTCTCAGAAATTCAGTCAGGCTTCTTTGCCTGTTTGGGAAGACATCCTGTTACTTTTGCTTGCTTCTATTTGCTCCTTTAAAATAATCTTTCTAATGAACTCAATCTTATAAAAACTGAAGGCAAGAGGAAAACATCTTGAGACAACCTCTTAGCCTAAAAAAATTCCTCTGAGGTAAAAAAAGCACAAAGTCCTAGCTAAAAGAACAGAAAAAGAGGGGGGAAATATCCAGATTGCAAAATGTAAATAGCAATTTATTTTAATTTTTCAACTGTAATAAAAACAAAATAGTAATTAATATCTCAGTAAATTATCTTGATGTAGCTTCATGTTTCATATGTATTAACTCATCTGGCTTATATAACAAACCAATTTTAAGAGGAGAAAACTTGGCCTCAGATTGGCCAAAGCCCAATAATATGACTTAAAGAACTAAGAACTAAACAAGGTGAGATATGATAGGGTTTGGCTGTGTCCCCACCCAAATCTCATCTTGAATTCTAGTTTCCATAATCCCAATGTGTTGTGGGAGGGATCCAGTGGGAGGTAATTGAATCATGGGGGTGCTTACCCCTATGCTGCTGTTCTCATGATAGTGAATGAGTTCTCACAAGAGCTGATGGTTTTATAAGGAGCTTTTCCCCCTTTTGCTTGGCACTTCACCATGCTGCCACCAAGTGAAGAAGGACGTGTTTGCTTCTCTTTCCACCATGATTGTAAGTTTCCTGAGGCTTCCCCAGCCATGCTGAACTGTGAGTCAACGAAAACTCTTTCCTTTATAAACTTACCCAGTCTTGGGTATGTCTTTACTAGCAGCATGAGAGTGAATTAATACAAGGTCAAAATCTGAATGTATCTTCCTGCATAGGTCTCGTTCCTTTTAATAGACCAGTCTGGTGGGAAATATGTTTCTTTCTGGAAAATAGTGCTATCCCAAACTGGAGAACCAGTTTTGGGGGCCGTGGCATAAATCATACCACAGATCTGTCTGTTGATCTTTTTGCAATGTGCTGCAAGTAACTAGACCGTAGAGCTTGCTCTGGATAACACCTTGCATCTACAAAATGACTGTTCACCATGGACCTCAAATTTCTGGGCTTGGTGCATCTGATTGGTATAACCAATCTCCTGCCTTAACTGACAGGAAGCCTGAGTAAGCATTTGTCTGGCCTTTTCAGCTTCAATAACACAAGGCAGCTTTGCTAACTAACTAAATTTATGAAGTGAAGGGATCATCAAGTATTGGACGAAGTTCAGATGCAGGTTGGCCAAAATAAAAAATAAGTGGCCTCTATATTGAATAAAATGCAGCTTAGACACTAGCACCTTAATAAAAACAAGAGTTTCATTTGGTGAAAAGATTTCAAATGGAAATGGATTGGTTCCCTTCAGAGTGGCAGCTAACAGAGTGGCTTTTGGAAAAAATCATTCCTAAATGCATTGGGCTGCTTCTTGCTTGTGGAACAGAAATTACTGACTATTGGTTAAAATGCCATGTGAATTAATTTTCAGCCTCATTTATTCTCTGGCTAAGCATAAAAGCAATTTCAAAAGGAGAAAAATGGCCGCAATATGCATTGCCACAAATCTTTTGAGATATGAAAAATATCTGCAACTAGTATAATTAATTCAAACAACTATCACTGTTGTAGTTAGCAGTTCTGCATGTGTTCTTTGCAGATTCACAGAAAAAGAAAAAAAATTGTTTAATCTTAGATTACAGTTATTCCTTTTAGTATCTAATTTACTTATAATTGCTCCACCTTAAGATAATATATTTTAGCTTAGAAACCACCCTCTATAAACCTTCTCACTAGGGATTGGTTGGATGATTTAATTAATTCTTTTTTCTAATTAATCGTCTCCTCTCACCATAAGAAGAATAGTTATTTGTTGACTATTGGTTACTGTTGCTGTTTTCTATCACTACCATAGATTAAATGGCAGTTTCTTTAATTACTTAAAATAATTTCACCAAACAAGATGAGTCTTATGAAGATGAAACAATGTCTAAAAACTGTGATGAAACAGATATTGCAGCTACAGAAAACGAGTGAAAAAGCGACATGGCAATGACAACCTTTGCATATTTCATGCATGCCTCTACTAATGAGCTAAATTAGTATACATTCATTTCCGGATGACTGTATGGAAGTAAATTAAAGATAAAAACTGAATCTAAAATAAAGGTGATGTTTATCATTTGCATCAAACCAGAATCTTCTAGGTAGGATAGTGCTACTGTATTATTGGAATTTTTGATATTATTTAAGATAGACTCAGATGACTAATTGTTTTATCTTTGTTTTTTTTTTTGAGACAGAGCCTCGCTCTCACTTTACATAAACTGTTTTTTACAATATACTCTGCAGTGGAGAGATAGGAAAGATTGGAAAACAAGATTGAAAACATTTTAACCCTCAGATTATAATGAAATAAAAAATAAATTGGATTCTTTAAGTAATTTGTATCTGTACTTTTAAATTTATGCCCTTACTGTTCTTTTTTATAAGGACTAAAAACTGTTTTCCAAGTCATTTTTTATTATTAGAGCTCTTAAACTATCTGAGAGGCATTTGTAATATCCCCCTAAATTGATGTATGGCCTTGAGAAAGTAATTCAACCATTTTAATTATTGGACATTATAAAAGTATATCCTGGTGTGTGCTGAATGACACATGACTGATCACAACATGACATTTCTTTTAGGGAAGTTTTCATATTTATTTTCTGAAGAGATGCATTACATAGCACACCCTGGGTCTCTGTGGTCAGAGGCCCTGATTAAAGAACAAAATGTCAAAACCAGTAAAAGACCGCTAGCAAGACTAATAAAGAAGAAAAGAGAGAAGAATCAAATAGACGCAATAAAAACTGATAAAGGGGATATCACCACCGATCCCACAGCAATACAAACTACCATTAGAGAATACTATAAACACCTCTACGCAAATAAATTAGAAAATCTAGAAGAAATGGATAAATTCCTGGACACATACGCCCCCCCAAGACTAAACCACGAAGAAGTTGAATCCCTGAATAGACCAATAACAGGCTCTGAAATTGAGGCAATAATTAATAGCCTACCAACCAAAAAAAGTCCAGGACCAGACGGACTCACAGTCGAATTCTACCAGAGGTATAAGGAGGAGCTGGTACCATTCCTTCTGAAACTATTCCAATCAATAGAAAAAGAGGGAATCCTCCCTAACTCATTTTATGAGGCCAGCATCATCCTGATACCAAAGCCTGGCAGAGACACAACCAAAAAAGAGAATTTTAGACCAATATCCCTGATGAACATCAATGCAAAAATCCTCAATAAAATACTGGCAAACCGAATCCAGCAGCACATCAAAAAGCTTATCCACCATGATCAAGTGGGCTTCCTCCCTGGGATGCAAGGCTGGTTCAACAAATGCAAATCAATAAACGTAATCCAGCATATAAACAGAACCAAAGACAAACACCACATGATTATCTCAATAGATGCAGAAAAGGCCTTTGACAATATTCAACAGCCCTTCATGCTAAAAACTCTCAATAAATTAGGTACTGATGGGACGTATCTCAGAATAATAAGAGCTATTTATGACAAACCCATAGCCAATATCATACTGAATGGGCAAAACCTGGAAGCATTCCCTTTGAAAACTGGCACAAGATAGGGATGCCCTCTCTCACCACTCCTATTCAACAAAGTGTTGGAAGTTCTGGCCAGGGCAATCAGGCAGGAGAAAGAAATAAAGGGTATCCAGTTAGGAAAAGAGGAAGTCAAATTGTCTCTGTTTTCAGATGACATGATTGTATATTTGGAAAACCCCATCATCTCAGCCCAAAATCTCCTTAAGCTGATAAGCAACTTCAGCAAAGTCTCAGGATGCAAAATCAATGTGAAAAAATCACAGGCATTCTTATACACCAATAACAGATAGAGAGTTAAATTTGATATTTTAAGTACTATAGTTCTGCTTTCAGATGCCATGACTTGCTAGATGTTCATTAAATCATTAATATTTTTATTTTACAGCTTATATATACTGGAAGACTTTTTAACATGCATTCTACAAGTTCATTCTACAAAAAAATGTTAGCAAGTTCTTTGTGGTAGATTTTAGAGATATTGTGAACAAAACAGACACAGCTCTTAAACACATGTTGTTTCAGTCCTGTGGGTGAAGCAGATACTCACAAAATAATAAAAAAGGAAGTTTGATAGGTGAATCAATTGTAATCCTAAAAACTCCTGTCACCAGCACCATGTCAACATACACAGTAGGCTGGTTCGACTTCTTGTCTTACTCTAGATGTTTCTAAAAGCCCAAAAACTTATTTATTGTGTTTCCATTGCTAAGTTATCTACAGAAAATTAAAAATGAAAGTGGGATGTTTCTCACTTGCAGAAAAAGGAATCCATAAAAGGAGAGTTGGTACTTGAGATAGCAAATCTAAGTATGGAAACCCATAGCTTGCCTTCTCTCTGTATCTAAGATTGTGAAAGTAGAATACGAAGGGCCATGCTTTTAAAATGACAGTTACGCGTGTAAGAAACAAATGCCCTGGAGTTGGCATCTCAAGGGAAAAGGAAAAAAGTAGTTGGACCTGTGACTTCTTTGTAGGATGGTGCAAGTTTTGTACTGCACAATACTGAAGGAACCATTCATAGCAAGCTTGTAATAAAGTGCATGACTTGTATGAATATACATGGTGGCCCTGAGTAGATTTCTATGTAAACTCCTACTCTAAACTTATGATATAGGATCTAACCCTGTCTCTCAGCCTTTCAACTGTGCAGTGGCAGCAAGTAGATCAAGATTTACTGACCTATTCATGCAGGGTACCAAGAGTAGTCAAAAAGCTAAGTCAGAAGAGAGGTTCTTCCCCCCTAGTTTCCAGTACCATAGGTTAGTAACCTTTATCAAACAGAATTAGAGACAATAACATTAAATCAACAAATTCATCAGGTAACCAGAGAGCTAGAACTACCAAGTCTTTAAGAGGCTGAGAAACATTTGTGTTGGGATCTGAAATGAATATCTGAAAGGCAGTTAAATGTGTGTAGACAGATTAATACAATGGGTATAAACATTTCCAAAGATTTCATTTAATCACTCTCATTATTTCATGCCACTTCTTGGCTATGATATTTTCAGGAATACTTTTGCTTCTATCTTCAAGTATGAATAGAATTTTTAAAAAATGAGCATGTCTCAAAAAATTTGAGAGAGCCACTGGTTCAGTTGTAACAAAGCCCTTGGAAGCTTTCCATTATATTTAAATTTACATCAGCTAAGCATTGTTCAGGCATATAACATGTGCTAAATAGGTGTCTGTATATGTCTACAAAAGGTAATATTTTTAGAGAAACCTAAAACTAATATTAAATGACATGATATGAATATCAAGCTGGTATGAATAAAAGTAGAGCAGGACTTGTTTCCTCAGGTCTCGCTGACCGAAACTTTCAGCAGATAATAATTAGTATAATCAATGGCAATTTTTGCACTTTAATACAGTACAATTCAATGGTACTAAAGGTTGCCTTTCAAGAAAACTATTAAAGTTAAAAGGTAATAATGCTGAGAAACATGTTAACTGATAGAAATTGTAACCTCCACAATATTAGCAACAATGATCTTAACCCTTGGCTTATAGATCCGATTCAAACGTTGACCAAGAGAGCCAGGAGATTCTAATTCACTCCAATGTCTTTACTCAACATTCCTCCATTCGTTTCCTCATTCATTTCACAAATATTAATTGAGGACCTTCTATATTCTAGGCCCGGTGCTGGGTAAATTAGAGAAAATGAGGAACAAAACCACACCTGGAATCTGAAACTAAAATTAACTTTTTCCAGCAATGTCCTATTGTGTCCGGAATTGGTGGGTTCTTGGTCTCACTGACTTCAAGAATGAAGCCGCGGACCCTCGCGGTGAGTGTTACAGCTTTTAAGGTGGCACGTCTGGAGTTTGTTCCTTCTGATGTTTGGATGTGTTCAGAGTTTCTTCCTTCTGGTGGGTTCACGGTCTCGCTGGCTCAGGAGTAAAGCTGCAGACCTTTGCAGTGAGTGTTACAGCTCTTAAGGCGGCGCGTCTGGAGTTGTTCGCTCCTCCCAGTGGGCTTGTGGTCTCGCTGGCTTCAGGAGTGAAGCTGCAGATCTTCGCGGTGAGTGTTACAGCTCATAAAAACAGTATGGACCCGAAGAGTGAGCAGTAGCAAGATTTATTGCAAAGAGCGAAGGAACAGAGCTTCCACAGTGTGGAAGAAGACCGCAGCAGGTTGCCACTGCTGGCTCAGGCAGACTGCTTTTATTCTCTTATCTGGCCCCACCCACATCCTGCTGATTGGTAGAGCCTAGTGGCCTGTTTTGACAGGGCACTGATTGGTGCATTCACAAACCCTGAGCTAGACACAGGGTGCTGACTGGTGTGTTTACAAACCTTGAGCTAGATACAGAGTGCCGATTGGTGTACTTACAATCCTTGGGCTACACATAAAGATTCTCCACCTCCCCACCAGACTCAGGAGCCCAGCTGGCTTCACCCAGTGGATCCTGCAGGGGGGCTGCAGGTGGAGCTGCCTGCCAGTCCCGTGCGGTGGGCCTGCACTCCTCAGCACTTGGGTGGTTGATGGGACTGGGCGCCCTGGAGCAGGGGGCGGCGCTCATCCGGGAGGCTCGGGCTGCATAGGAGCCCACGGAGGGGGTGGGAGGCTCAGGCATGGCGGGCTGCAGGTCCCGAGCCCTGCCCCTCGGGAAGGCAGCTAAGGCCCCGTGAGAAATCAAGGGCAGCACCGGTGGGCTGGCACTGCTGGGGGACCCAGTACACCCTCCGCAGCCGCTGGCCCGGGTGCTAAGCCCCTCATTGCCCGGGCCGGCAGAGCCAGCCGGCTGCTCTGAGTGTGGGGCCCGCCAAGCCCACGCCCACCCGGAACTCCAGCTGGCCCGCAAGCGCCGCGGGCAGCCCCGGATCCCGCTCCTGCCTCTCCCTCCACACCTCCCTGCAAGCTGAGGGAGCCGGCTCCGGCCTTGGCCAGCCCAGAAAGGGGCTCCCACAGTGCAGCGGTGGGCTGAAGGGCTCCTCCACGGCCGCCAAAGTGGGAGCCCAGTCAGAGGAGGCACTGAGAGCTAGCGAGGGCTGTGAGGACTGCCAGCATGCTGTCACCTCTCACTGTCTATAAAGTTAAATAGAGAATAATCAGTAATAATTTCAATTTTTTTGACAGCTCAAAATACTCTTATTTGAGCCTAAGAAGAGAACTAAGAGGAGAAAGGAATGTGCAGCTGTGAGGGTCTTAAAAGCAAATGAATCTAAGGTCTGTTTCCTAGTGCTACCTTTAGGTACAGAATCATCCCTTCTCCTTATTTTAGGATGGAATCATCCCTTCTCCTTATTTTACCTGGTATAGTGTTAAAGTATAGATAAGACATATTTGTTAGAAATAAGTATTTTTGTATTGAGCCTAATATCCAGATGTGAATTTCATTATGATTAATCACTATATTTGTTATAGGCAGCAAAATGTCACCAAATTTCATAGCATTGTAACAAAAATTAGCGTAGTTGCAGTTTGCTGTTGCAATAGTAATATAAATATTAAACATGACTTAAAATTATATATATATATACACACACACAAAGAGAAGGGAAGTAAATATTCATAAAATTGTATTGAACAATATTTACTTATTTTAAATACACTACGCATAAAACCACATGTTTATCACTGTGGTATTATATGGCGTTTATATTCTTAACAATTTTTTCCAGGTTTAAGATTTGTAGGAAACCACATAACTGTCTTTGTGGTCTTGTATCTGAATGGTAGAAAGGGCTAAGAAAGAAGTATTTCCTACTCCACTAGAGGATATAGCACTCGGAAAATCCATGGATGAACATTGCTAAAAAGGAATGTGTGAAGAGCTAAACTGAGGAAGGAGCAGAAATTCATGAGTAATTCAGCTCTGCCTTTAACCAACCAGCCTTCCTGCCTTATTCCTGGAAATTTGGCCACTGGTAACTTTTAGGGCCACAGTTGAGCCACTGGTGCATTCCATTCTCAAGGTCCAGTCCATACTCCTAAAATCCACTCAAGAAGTGCGGGGACAGGTGAGAAGTCAGGCCAAAACATATGGACTATGATGCATGTTGAGAAGCTTTCACTAGCACAAGCAAACAATTTTTAAATGCTTACGAGTGAAGTAGAAATATTTTTCATAACAATGACCTTGTCTGCTTTCTCTTTTGGGGTCTCTTACCCTTGGAACTCTACACAGCTGTCAGAAAGAGATAAATGAATTCTTAGAGTTTGGGTAAGTGAATTAGTAATGATTTTCCTTGGTCATATTTTTCTAGACCTCTCTTCAGGAGCATGCAAACTCCCCAAAAGACCTAGTTTTGTATGTCACGAAAGCTGATATGGATTAAATAAAAGGAATCCTAGTGCCTCAGATATGTTCTATACTTCTTCACAAAGTCTGTCATTCCACACAGATTTAGGGAAAGCACTAAATTCCAGATAACCTGCACACTTCTTTTGGAGATATAAAGGGAGAGGTTTTAGAAGATATCTATAAAGACATGATTTGAGGACTCTATTCCTAGCTTAACACTTGTTACAGTATTGTCCTCTGTCTTTCTTTCTGGTGTTTGTGTGATAACAGCCCTGCTTCTTATCAAAAAGACTATAGGCTGAGTCTTGGTGATAAAGCAAGTGGTAAATGGCACACTTAGAAAATGTTTTTACTCCCATGAAATGTATAGTGAGATAAGATCATAATTCTTTAGGTCTTCATTAATTAGAAAATGGTATACAGGAAGAGAAATGGAAAAAAACTTATATTGTTCATCCTCTTGTTTGCAGTTCCTAACTCTACCCTAGTAGATAATACATGGTCTCCAATACTGGGAACCATTAGAATACAGTTACCCTTAGTAGACTTTGTCACTCTAATGACTCATGATCACAAGAATAAATCCTTTCAATAAAGATGTCCAATAGAATGAAAATGTAGCCACCTTGACAGCGGGGTCTTATTATGATGCATAATTATACTGAAAAAAACAGCTGAGGACTTTGGAGTACATGTTCTCTGCCATAATGAAATGTGGCTCTCAGGGCATGGAACAGTGTTTGACTCTTTGTTCATAATGTGAAAATATCATCCAAATCTACCTAAAACCCTTCAAGTGATTGGCCTTGTTAGCTTAATGAAACTTGACGCATCAGAACAATTGTCGTCATATGCAAGAGAGAACTTGTTTAAACTCTCTGGCAGTCCCACTGGGTTTTGCATTAATTAGTAAACATCCATATAATTACATATCTTATAACTGATCCTGACAAAACATTCACACAGGTGCACAGAATATTGTCTTATGGAACTTCAAAAATCGTTAGATCCATCTTCATAAAAAGAACTCTTGCAGTCAAATAACCTGTTTCCAGGAAAGGAATGGCCATGGCATATAGACCAACCTCGACTTGCGTATGAAACTACACTAATGGGCATCAAGTTTATTTGAATTCGAGATATAAACTGAACGTCTGCCAGAGAAGAATTGATTTGATATTTTTATATAATCTGTATTTTAGTAAACTAAAGTCTATGTATGTAATCTGATATATATGTAATAAATAAATATGCATAATAAATAGCAGGCCAGAGTAAAAAGATTTGTTCTTTATTTATTTTGCTAGTTATGAGGAACACTGAGTTTGATAGTGAAGAGTGAACATTCCACTGTGTGTGTGTGTGTGCATCTGGCAAGCTTGAGCAGCGTGTGAATCAAATAACAATATTTTGACAAAGCAGAGTGAGACTATTGGACTTACTGATTGTCCTGTAAAGAAAAGTAGTTTAGAGTACTAAAGAGCTTGAATGCAAGTCAAGGGGGAATTCCGGTAGAAGCCATGGCATAAATGAACTATATAAATTTAAGCAAGTCATTTTAGTATTCTGGTCCCCATTCTTACATGTCGAAATTTAAAAAGCTGGATTAGATGTTTTCTACAGTCTGCAAAAGCTTATACTTCTTTATCATTCTGTGAATAAATTAAATTAAATGCATTAAACAAGAATGCTGTAGTCACCATAGTTACAAAACTAGTCGGAGATTTTAACTGGTATGATCACACAAGAAAAGGTATGAATGTTAGAAGAAAATCAAAATAAATACTATCACACAAAATATTTGGATACATAAAAAATCAAAAACGATCTGTAAAAATCTATATATAGTAACATAAAGTAAACAAGCAAATAAGAGTTTTCTATATATTAGCTATAACAGATTTAAAATGTTATACAAATAATAAATATCCTTTTTCATTACAGAATATGTAAAATAAAATAATGAATATAGCGAAAACTATGCAAACCTGTCTGAAAAAAGTTATGAAATATTACAGAAAGTTACAAGAAAATCAAAATAAATGTGAAGTCATATACTGTTTCTGACTGAGAAAAACCTAAGACTGCAAATATATTAATTATATTGAGAATAAGCTATGCATTTAATGGAATCCAGTGTAAACCTCACAAAAATCCAAGAACATTTGGAAAAGAATAAAAAGGCAAGAACAGCTGTTCTAGAAACCAAAATATACTCTAGAGCTTTAATAATGAAGTGGCAGCCTTCAACTCTGGAATGGATAGAAGGTTAAGAAACGGACAGAAAACATAACAGAGTCCAAAAATAAATCTTCGGTTAGTAACAAGAATTCTGAAAAAGTTGATTCTGACCATTTCTGCCAGTTTTCTCATTGCTTTTATAGAAGGGACAATTTCTGGAGTTTCCTACCCCACATTTTCATGGACCTAACTCCTCTCGTGCAATTTAAAATCAGTTTTATAATTGTGAATGGTATCTATGGAGGTCAATAGAGTGCTGATTTGAAAGTTCTAAATACCATATATGTTCTAAAATGTACTCACCACATTTAGTTACAACTTAGATTTTTGTTAACTAAATATTTTCCAGATATCTTGTAGTTTTCTACATTTCAACATTAATTTCTCTTACTCAGTGTCCTTATAAAATATTCACAAGAATATTTATTCTATCTACTTTAAGCTTTTCTTCAAAGTCTTAACATGATACTGGATATGAAACTCATTGGAAAATGTATGAGTATTTTAAAATGTAAGAACTAAAAATCTTTTTTCCTGTACATATGTATTAACTATCAAATGCACTTTTATGAAGTGAAGGACAATGATGCCCAAATCTCAAGCAAAAATAGTCTTCCCCCCTTCACATATATTTTGATGGTAGCAATTTAGAATGAGAGATGCTTTAGACAACTTTATTAGGAAACTGTCTGTGGAAGACTGGCTTGGCATCTGGAAAAAAATGAAAAATAGTTGAGGAAGGATGATCTATAATAAACTCTCAAATTTTTATAAGCACTCAAATATTTACTAAATACAATAAAAAGGAATTACCCAAAGGATGTCAACATCTTTCAAATTCTGATATCTGTTTCAGAAGACAGATGGAAGGAGAGAGAGAGAGAGAGAGGGCCTTTGAAAATACCTAAATATACTTTCTAAATATAATATGGCAATTATGACTTTATGAATGACCAACTTAGTAATGTTTCTTTCGCAAATTTTTAATATTCCTTTATGAGAAATATCTGCAAAAATTTTTGCTACTTTTATATCATAAAAATAATCTATGAAATTGTGAACAGCAGTCTTAAAACTAAGGTCACCAAGTATACTATAAAATTGATTATAATAGCTCTAAAGGTATCATCAGAAGCTTAGTGACAAATGTTTAAAGTCTAGAATCACCCATTTACTCACACATATAATATGTCTATATGCAATACCATGCAGGTTAATATATTTGTAAAATAATGGTAAAAAAATACAGATAATCTGTTGACGTTGGCCACCTTAATAATCAATAAGAATTACTAAATATAACAGCAATGCAGATCAAAAATCTGAAAAGAAAGGAATTGACCATATATGCAAAGAATAAACCATATGATTTTAAATTTTTTTTTTTTTGAGATGGAGTCTTGCTCTGTCACCAGGCTGGAGTGCAGGAGCATGATCTTGGCTCACTGCAACCTCCGCCTCCCAGCTTCAAGCAATTCTCCTGCCTCAGCCTCCCAAGTAGCTGGGATTGCAGGAGCCCACCCCACGCCTGGCTAACTGTTTTTGCATCTTTAGTTGAGACAGGGTTTCACCATGTTGCCCAGGCTGGTTTCAAACTCCTGACCTCAAACGATCTGCCTGCCTTGGCCTGCCAAAGTGGTGGGATTACAGGCATGAGCCACTGTGCCTGGCCATTAAACAACAACAAAAAAATACATCTCATGTCAAAGAGGAGGGGGTCTCGTGGGAGGTAATTGGATCATGGGGGTGGACTTCCCCCTTGCTAGTCTCATGATAGTGAGTGAGATTTCACGAGATCTGATGGTTTAAAAGTTTGTGGCCCTCCACGCTTCACACTGTCTCTCCTGATCTGCCACAGAAGGTGTGCCTTGCTTCCCCTTTGACTTCTGCCATGATTGTAAGTTTCCCCAGCCATGCGGAACTGTGAATCAATTAAACCTCTTCTTTTTATAAATTACCAAGTCTCAGGTATTTCTTTATAGCAGTGTGAGAATGGACTAATACAAGGACTCTCTTAAATATGCATAATATTTAAATTTTGGTTTTATTTCAACACTTAAAAGAGGGAGTAAACAATAAGGCAGGCAATCTGATATTATATGAATTTTCTTACTATGAAATGTAAAAGATCTGTGTTCTAGCCTTAACTTTTAATAATAATTGTGGAAAATTACTTAACATCCCTGTAAAATTATTGGGTTGAACAGCATATTATGATAATAAATAATAAAATATACTAGTTGTACAACTATAATAGTTGTAGAGTTTTCAAAGTGTTTTGTGTAACATTGCCTTATCACCTAAGGTCTCTTCCAGCTGTAGGCTCTATGAAATAAAGCTTTAAGCATGACGATTCTAATTAACTAAGGTATTTAATGTGAAAAATTTGAGGAACCTGGGAAGGAAAAAAAGGAATATCTTCTTTTAGAATTCATCTTTCAAGGCAGTAGAACTTTCCTTCAATCATACCAAACATACCTTGCTTTTCAAGTAAGTGATGCTACTTCTAAGGAGACACAATCAGAATTTTAAAAGACAATTAATTAGACACATTTTATGTATTTATTTGACTAAAACTCAAGGTTCAACTATTTTTTAGAGAGTGTATTTCCTTTGGGTTACATGATGTCAATTTCCAAGAAGATAACTGTAATAAGAGATTCAGTTGGATATACAGAACTTCAGCATAGAATCCTTTGATCCAGGCTGTAGGCAAACATCAGGGGTTTCCTTTCCTCTTTCTCCCCAATGGCTAAACACAGTGGTGTGCTGGAGCTAATGTATCCGGCAAAGGAGAGCTGATCATGCCCAGCACTTCCCAACTCCAGACTCAGTAGCATCACATTATTGCCCAAAATCAGACATGGTGAGAGTACATACATTATGGAAATTAGTAAACGCTACTAATATAAGCTGTTTGTTTATTTGTTTTTGAGACGGAGTCTTGCTCTGTCACCAGGCTGGAGTGCAATGGCTCAATCTTGGCTCACTGAAACCTCCACCTCCTGGGTTCAAGTGATTCTCCTGCCTCAGCCTCCCAAATAGCTGGGACTACAGACACGTGCCACCACGCCCAGCTAATTTTTGTATTTTTAGTAGAGACGGGGTTTCACCATGTTGGCCAGGATGGTCTCCATCTCCTGTCCTTGTGATCTGCCCGCCTCGGCCTCCCAAAGTGTTGGGATTACAGTCGTGAGCCACCGTGCCCAGCCAATATAGGCTCTTTTTTAGGATGGAGAGAGGGATTCTGGGTGGCAACAAGTTTGCCAGTCATTACAACTTTACCACCATACCACTAGTCAAACCCTTGTAAATTCTGGTTGCAAGTAAAAGTCAAATGAAACCAACATTAAACACGTGGACAAAGAAAAACACCAAGCTTTTTCTGCCTTGAAACTAAAAACTAATCAAGAATCTTGAAGTGATGTGATTCTCAAACTGCAAAGCTCTAAAAAGGAAGCATTCCTTGCTTTACCTCTGAAACTAAGTGACAGAGGAAAGAATGTTAATATAATGAATTCTGAGAAGAGGCAGACAGACAAATTATACACTGAAGCCCATTAAATGTTCTTGCCCTTGAGGAATCTTAATCAATGAGAGATGCTGAGCAGAGTAAAGAAAACTGACAATTCCTTCTTTTTCTGCCATTGCCCTCCCACTAGGTGATGAACTCAGGCTAACTAAGCAGTTTTTGTGCCTCTTTGAGTTTGTCCTAAGCATTTAAATTAGCAGCTTAATTGTCTCTGTATGTGGATGGTGGGGTAAGATGAAGAGAGACTAAAAGAGACAATTGATTGCCTTTATTAATTTTAAGTTGATAACTTAATAATTAACTTATTTGAGTTTTGAAGGATTTTTCAATTTGCCATTGATTTTATTATTGAAGCAACTACAATTCCAATATTCTTTATTTTATGAACATAGGACTAGATTTGCTAAAACAGCCTCTAATTTGCCAACATATTGAGAACTTGAGAACTTTTTTTAATAAATGGAGGACTGTAGGAACATTTTATGTCAATGATGCTGATACGTGCTGAGAAAGTTGATCATTATTTTAATGTACTCATATGTGTTAGAGAAAAGTAAAAATAGAAAAAAATAATTGAATGACCAGATAATAAATACTTTTTTTATTTATTCCATTTTCAAATTTTCATCTTTCCCACAAAATGCCTCAGGGTAACAGTACTAAAATTAACATAAAATTAATCCCCAAAATTAGAGTTGTGATTATATTAGCATAAAATGAGTTTTAAAATACTTTTCCTTCAGTTGTCATCTATATCAGGTAGCCAAATGAAAAATATAGTCATTATGTGCCCCTTTAAGAAAGGTGGGGAATATGAGACTTGACAGTGTCACAGCAAGGAAGACATTTCAGAGCTAAATGTCCTTTATTGAAAACAACTTATATCCAGCTGTCTAATGTTTACATTTGAGGAATCTGAGAAGGCTGTGAAATGGAATTGGGTAAAAATGTCAGCAACCTCAAAGAATCCAAGAGAAGGAAGAAATGAGTCAATTAATAATCTCGTCCATTAATAATCTTTATACTATCCATATTTGTTGAATCAAAATGAAAAAAGTTTTTAAAGTTAATTAATAAGACCTTCAATGAGCAAAAGAAACGCATCAAACTACTGCACCCTGAAAAACATTATCACTGAAAGTGTCATCACACTAAATGTTGATACAGAATTTAAATTTAATAGGTACTTTCTTCTGTTAAAACTTTCAGAAATGTAATTTGTTAGATTTCTTCAAGCCATCTAACTCTAAGCATAATTCTAAAAAGATGTATGTCATCGTCAGATCTTTGCTTGCAGCAACTTTTAGCTTCTGCCTTGGGATCTTAGATATTGATTCTTATAGGATTTATTATAGTTATCCTTAATGGGCTTTAAAAAGAGGAGTCCTATAAGCGTTTGGGACTTTTCGAAGAGCTGACTAAAGAGAAAGAGTGTTTGTGTATTCAGATGAAATGCAAGGGAGTAAGCAAGAGACGCTGTGTTCGCTGAAAGAACAGCCAGTTCTGAGAATTCTGTGAGGTGTGCACAGAGATACTATGTAGCGGGAGTTCAGGTGACTTTGAGAAAAATAATTTCATTGTGAAATCCAGAGGCATTTAAGGAGAAACAGAGGGTACAGGCAGAAAATACTGTGCTTCCTTAGACAATAACTGAATCCAAAGAAATAGCCACGGTCTTGGAGGAAGTTATAACCTACCTAAAAAGGACACATGAAAGGAACTTCCATTTCTAAGAGGAGCTGGGCACAGGGCCAAGAGCAGGGAGTGCCTGACTGACACTGTGTAATTCTTTAACTAGGGCCAACCTGACCTGAGAAACTGGAGTTTTATATCTCCATGTCTCCCCTATATTTACTGAGCTTGTAACCCAAGATTCTGATGCACTTCAGTAATTTGTTCACGGTGTTGGCTGACGGTGTGTGAAATCCAGCAGCAAGAACCATAGGGTAGAGGGATAGTGAATAAACCAAAAGCTTAGAAAGTGATTAGCCCCGGGGGTGGAGGCAGATTTATTTTGAAGCTACTGAGACTTCAGTTTCAGTCTCTCTCTTGGACCAGCCCTTTTGTGTGGGCTGGCCTCAGTGGCTGCAGGCGTTATGAGAATGCAGCTAAGCTACAGACACATTTAATTTGGGATTAGTAAGATGTACATATCTGTGCTTTACAGTTATTTCCATTTATAGGTAAGTTTTTGCTTGTCTCAGTGTCAAAATGGCTTCCAGAATGTACCCACCACTACTGTGCCAATTCCCTTGTGTCCTGAAATGAAGAGGCAGGACTCAACATAAAACTCATAACTCTCACTACAAGGAATATTTGAATACTAATAGATGAATGAGTGTCACCATTACAAACAACATTTAAATTTAGTCACTGCCAAAGAAACTCATAGTATCTGAAATATTACAGTTCATATATAAAAGAAAGTTGATAGAGATTTGTCCAAATTTTCAAATAATTTTCCAAATTTAGGGGAAAAACACATTTACAGTAGTGCAGCTGTAATTTTGAACAGTTTTCTTAAAGGCAAGACTAAATTATCCTTCTATTTTCTCTAAGGAAAATAATATTATAAATTGTGGGCAAATAAACAGGTAATCAAAAAGTGTGTGTGAGAAAACATTTTAAATGGTCCATTTTCAAGGCCTAATAAAGCTAAGTACTGGCAACCAGCCTGTGGACGTGACAAACCGCACGGCTCATGCACCTAGAAGGTCACGATAAGTGAACAGAATGTAGAGGAGGGGTCAACCCATAAAAAGGAAGAAAGTTTCATTATTGGGAAATCAAAACTTAAGTGGGGAAACGGACGGGGGTATAACCTTATAAGGGGGATAATGAAACGCAGGTGACATCCGGGAAGACTGTAACCCCATATTACTCGGCCAATGAGGAACTGGGGGAGGTTCTTGCATGTTAGGAGGTAAATTACCTGCTGTAACTGCCCCAGCTGTGCCTGCCTATCAGACACCCAATCTTGCAAGACTGCTGTTAAAAATCTCGCTTCTGCTGTTCTCTGTGTCTCCGAGTCCATTCTTTGGGTTTGGACAGGCGAATGTGTTTCTCACAGTGTGCAACTAAAATATACATGGTGTTCCTCGAATTTTGGGCTGTTTGGGTTATAGTATATAGAGAGATGCAATCCCCAGATTCGTCTTTCAGAACAGAGGCCTTCATTCTTCTAGTGGCTGGAAGTGGTGGCTGCTTTTTGCTCATAGCTGCAGCACCTTCCAGGAATTGCCCAGCCTGATAGCAGCTGCCTTGATTGAGATTACACCCCATTCTGAGTGCAGCCCACCTCCAAACCAGGTCACTAGTGAGGTACAAAGACCTGACGTTCTTGCCTGCCAGGAGCACAGAGTCGATAGACCATTTCAGTTCTAGAGTTCCCAGGGGAGTGGACCGAGCCTTTGTTGCTTCTGCACTACAGGTCAACCTGGGTCAATTGGTCTTTCTGTCTCTCTCATCCTGCTTCCTTTCCTCTCTCAAAGGTGCTGTTCCTAACTCTAGTCCTCCAACATTTTTCTGAACAATCCAATTCAATGTAATTTTATTTAAGACAATGGTATATTTTGTTTTAGTTAGCAATTTTTAAAGTTTTTTTCTCATTCTAAGGAAATATTATTTTATCCAATTTTTTATTTATAATTTTGTGTCTTTGTTTTTTTTTTTTTTATTATACTCTAAGTTTTAGGGTACATGTGCACATTGTGCAGGTTAGTTACATATGTATACATGTGCCATGCTGGTGCGCTGCACCCACTAATGTGTCATCTAGCATTAGGTATATCTCCCAATGCTATCCCTTCCCCCTGTCTTTGTTCTTAAAGAGAGCTCTCAAAACTGTATAAGCCTCAGGGCCCCGTTAGCCTAGATTTGGTCCTTCTCTCTTTGAAGGAGAAAACCCCTCTGGTTTGTCCTCCAACCGGTGACAGGAGAAGCTATTCCAATAATAGCAGAAACTGGTCACAGAGCTTTCTGCATGAGTGGGGCCTGTGGCCATAATGTGCTTCACCGTCAACCACTGTAGTGATCCTTCTTCTGATTGCATCACAGCTGAGTCTTACATATTACCTTGTTCCACACCCCATAAATTTAACATTGTTCAAAAATATTTTCTAATATCCGTAATCAAATATATCCAGTTATCCCTCAAATATCTTACAGCTTTTTTTTGACCTTCTGTTAAGGACTCGAACCAACAAGATTGTGCATTTTAACTCATTGTAATGTTGTTTTACTTTTCATTAATCTACAAGAGTCCTTTCATCTTTTATTTTCTTTCATAACATTGATATTTTTGAAAAGTTTAAGCCAATTGCATTGTAGGATATTCCTCATTCTAGATTTGTATGATAATTAAGGACAATTATATTGTAGGATAGTTAAGTATCTCTATTTGCCTGATTGTTTTCTCATATTTAATTGTAAACCCTTTGGTAAGAATACCATATGGGTGATGATGGGATTTGTCCATTGCATCACATTATTGCAAACATAAAGTCAGTTTGCTTTTCTGTCTCATTGTTCATGAAGTGAAATTGTATCACCTTGTTATCTGCCTGTTATCCTAGGTTTCCCCTTTGTGATTGATGAGTAATCTGTGCGGGGTAGGGGGTAATACCTTGAAACTATGTAAGTATCTTTGCACTGATTTTTATAATTAGAATTTCTCAGTGAATACTTAACTACTCATTGTATTCTACACGATAAGTACTAACTAACAACTCATTAAGTAAGCTAGACAGGAAAGAATGATTCTTTATAAACCCAAATTATGATTAGCTGGGCATGGTGGCGGGTGCCTGTAGTCCCAGCTACTCAGGAGGCTGAGTCAGGAGAATGGCGTGAACCTGGGAGGCAGAGCTTGCAGTGAGCCATGAGCCGAGACCGCGCCACTGCACTCCAGCCTGGGCGAATGAGCAAGACTCTGTCTCCAAAAAAAAAAAAAAACAAAAAACCCCAAATTATGAAGTGGGACCATGGACCATGTATGTTTTCCTGTAATAAAATGATCAGAGCTCAGGTGGCTCCTGTATTGACAGTGTTGAGATTTACTGACTTGGCATGGAGGTTCCTGTGCCAAAGTCTGCCATGCATGGCTGACGAGTTGTGCCATGTGATCAGTGTAACAGTGTGGCCAGATCCAGTGTTTTAACCTAACTAGTCATTAGTTCCAGGTTTCTACATTGCTCTTGGACTGAATCTGCTCCTTTCTGCTTAATTGTGTGCATCCACATTTTCCAGGAAATACTTCTGCAACACTTATTGAATTCCTGGTGACAGTGTCACAGTATGTTTCCAAAGTGCACCAGCTGCCCAGGGTTGTCAGGACAGCTGGGATCACATTTACCTGAATGTTTCACACATCCTTCTTGTCTGGTTCGACATTCCTTACAGTGTAGAAAAGCTTGTTGGTCTAATATGCTAATTAAGTTCCAGTTTAAAGCAATCATTTAACATGAGAAAACATGGCTTTTTCTTATTCAAAAGTTATAAAGGGTCCACTGACAGCAATTTTAAAACAAGTTTGCTATCAATATAGTGAATTCATAGCTTGCAAACTATTTCCTTCCACCCTGCAGCCCTATTAGCATCCAGCATTGAAGCAATGGAGAAAAGTCTAAGGTTACTTCTTATTCAACAATTGAAGATTTACTCCGTAATTTTGTATAGTAAATATTGTAAAATATATTTTCCCCCTTTCCTTAGCACTTGGTCTTCCAACCTGAGTTCTTCATATATTTAAGGGAAAAAAATGGCTGAGAACAGTTAATGTTTTTAGAACACCTTTAAGGATTTCTTAAAGTGAAGTGATAAACATATTCCCACTCACATCCTCTGACTCATTCTCATTCACATGTGCAATTGTGTTTCCTAGTAAGGCCATGTAACACATAAAATGCAAAAGACAAACTGAGCAGTCATACCAAATTGGCCATTCAGCTTGGAGACCCAGTGGGGGATAATGGCGTAATCAATCTGCATTGTCCTTTTGTCATAACACAATAGTTAAATTGAGCAGCGACCACACAATGGCTCAACATTGCCTGTGTGAGGGAATGATTTGCTGTCTTTCTTAGATATTCTCTCCTGGATTGTGAAGAAATAAAGCAAGCCGAAAAGTTTCCCATAAGAAATCAAGGAAAAGGCACAGTCAGATGCACCAAAGCTCTGTTCTTTTTGTGCCTCATAAATCCTAGAGGAATGTTAGAAATATATGAATATCTTCTTTTTATTTGTTTATTTGATCCTTAACCATGTTATTATTTCTCCAGAGAAACAGAACCAGCAGAATATCTCTCTATGTATATATATAGAGAGATAGATAGATATTTATATACATAGATATTTGCTCTCTCTGTGTGTGTGTGTATATATATATATACATACATATACATATGTATGTATGTATGTATGTATGTATATGTATGTATATATATATATACATATGTATGTATATATATATACACATATGTATGTATATATATATATACATATGTATGTATATATATGTATGTATATATAGAGAGATTTATTGTAAAGAATTGGCTTATGCTATTATGGAGTCTGACAAGTCCCAAGATCTGCAGGGTGGCTGTGCAAGCTGGGGACCAAGGTGAGCTGACGGTGTAGTTCCAGTCACCAGCATGACAAATCCTATGTCCCACTTTGCAAGTTATTAGGCAGGAAGAATTATCTTTCCGTGTCGGGGTGAGCGGTCAGCCTTTTTGTTCTAGTCAGGACTTCCCCTGATCAGTTGAGGACCACATACATTACTGAGGACGATCTGCTTTACTCAGTCTACCTATTCAAATGTTAATCTCATCCAAAAACACTCTCACAGACACATCCAAAATAATGTTTGGCTGGGCACACTAGTCTAGTCAAGATGACACATAGCAATAATCATTCCAACCATCTATTCTCCCTGAGGATAGCATAGCTTGCAAATGCTTATTTTCCAAAGTACTCACCTTCTTTTCACTTAGCATACTACATTTTACTCTCATTGTCAAATTATATATGAAGTGTGAATTGACCCCTTTGGGTGGTGGCAACTAAATTCAACCATCTAACCATCTCCTGTAAAAATACTTCTGACAGCAAAAGTTGTTGCAGGACTTTTCCTTAGTCCAGCTAAAGACAGGGTTCTTGTCCGTCCCATGGCCACAAAAATTTAGGCTAGCAGACAGCTTAAAGGGTGAGTAAGGCAGGGTTTTATTGGGTGAAAAGGGAAAAAAAAAGGGGAAATAGGGACTCTCACAAGGCCAGAGACCCTCTGCTAGAGTGCTTCCCATCCAGCATTCCAATCTCAGGTTCCACAGAGGAAGAGGAGGAGCCCATCTCCTCCCCACTGCAAAGGGTGTGAACTTCTGTGACTCCACGCCAGTGGGCAGGCCACTTGGAGTTTCTCCAGGGACCCCCTCTCACCTGGCTGTCTCACTCCCCCCTCTAAAGAAGTACATCTAACTGCTGTTAGATTAGGATAAGGACTAAGACCAATCTTAGCTGCTTCCTGCTGATAGTGGGTGCTGTTCTGGGGAAACGGCAGTCAGAGCTCCCTCATAGGTCAATTTAAGGATTTCCAGCAGAAGGAGCCATTGTCAGAGGCTCGGTTCCATGACTGTTTGGAGTTTTATGGCCTGAAGGCAAGAACGGACAAACATGAATCAAAATGAAACAAGGGGAGGGGTAAGGAAAGCTCAAAAATTCTAAAATATTTTACCAGTTTGCACAGGGAGAGGCAGGCCAAAATTCCACTGGCAAAAAACTTTACCCTTTTGCTGGCATGTCAGGTTTCTGGGTTCCCTTCCCCTGAGCCCAATCCTAAACCAGCCAGTTTAAGGTTTGGGAAATTAACTCTTTCTAGTTTGGAAGATGCATCCAAGGGGTGTGTCTTGTAGTATGGCGGCACAATTATCTATTAGTGAAGAGAGAACTGAGGAGAAGAAAGGGAAAAAGAAGGTGTCTTTTAAAGGAGTCCCAGGGATTCAGTATGCATTCGAAAGGGGTAGACTGAAGATGAATGGCTACCCATCTAGAAAGAGGGGAGCATGCATTCCTGGCTTCTTTCTCTTCCTAGCAGATACCCAGGGTATGTGAGGAAGAGAGGGAAGAGTGTCCTCTTTCCATCTTCCATCCTTGCATCCCCAAGTTCCAACGACCTTGGGAGGTCCTGACATGAGCGCCAAAGCAGCTTGCACCCATAAAACCGGGGAGCCTAGAGAATAGGAATTATCTGCTCTCAGCTATGTCTCTTTCCATTTACTGTCAGTAGACTTGGAGTTCCCTGGAGCTCATTTATGCCATGGATAATATCGTGGCCTTTATCCATGAAACAGGACGCTTGGGGTTGTGTTAATCAGCAGGAATCAGCCACATTCACCTATGCTGTGCCTTTTAACGTCTGTTGTCATTTGCCTCTGGATCCCTTAGATTCAGTTTTCTTTCCTAGGGCTTTGACCCAAAGCTTGGAATTGAGTCTGGGACAAAAATGTATCTGACGGGCCTGCATGAACTCCTTATCATAAGCTAAATGCTAAGGTGAAACTGTGGAACTGAGGCTTCCTTCAACAAGGGAGAGGAAAGGATGTCTTGTGACACACCCAGGTAACTGGTAGCTACAGTTATGCTTGCTAGGATTTGGGTGCATGGTGATTGGCTTTGGTTAGCTCCTTTGGTCTTACTTTCCTAAAAGGAAATCTCTGAGTGATGGGCCTCCTATTTATTCCAAATCCCTGGGAGAATTTGCAGGATAATTACTCAGATCTAGAATATTAATATTGATCCAGATTTCTACATTACCAATCCTTTTTGTTCTTTCTGAGCTGCAGCTGGAGATTGCTGATTGGTTCACAGGAACAGGCAGGGTTAGTCTAAAATGTAGGCAAAAACTTCAAAACAACTAGTAAGTTTAGAATTTAGTGACAAATGCATGACAAGTTTTGGAACATAATTTCTCTCTCTCCAGTCTTCATTTTGTTAAGAAACAAATTATCATAGCACTGAGTGGTTTGCAAAATAGACTTTAGTCTTATACCTGGCCTGGTTATTTGCATAAAGTGCAGCAAGAATAATTATTTCTACGTAAGCCTTTTGGATTGGCTTTGATGGAAGTGTGTTCCACAAGGAATCTCAGAGTAGACCTTTTAAAGCTGAGCCCAACTGTGGGTTTGTATCCAAAAACTCCTGTGAGTTGGGTGATCCTTTCCTCTTAAGGTCCAAAGATAAACTTGGAGCTCCTGGACCTGTTAGGAAGTGACATTCTTTACTGATCACAGGACAGGAACCCTGTACAGGGACTGTGTAGGCAAGAGTATGAAGCCAGTTTCCCCACTGGGCTTTTATTGACTCTGCAAGTCAAAATTGACTCCTTAAAGGGAAGCATACCCTTTCAGTAAAAGCCTTTGTAAAATAACCATTTTCTCCAATTGTGATCTGTTGCAAAAGCAAAATGGATTCTTATTGCACTGATGCAAACAACTATATTGCCATAAGAATACTCACAGGTAGTTTCCAAATTCTAGAGGAACCAAGCAGAGAAAAACAAACATGCTCCAAATTTTGTTCATAGGAGTATAACTTACTCAAGTATTAAAGGCTGTAAATAGTTAAAAAATAAGTTTCCTTGACACTGAAAAACAAAACAAGGATCAGCAATATTCCAAGCAAAAGTCAAAAATATTTGCTTCAGAGCTTCAGCTTTCTGAGTTCAGTCCATTTAGTTAAATCTTATTTTGCTTCATATTCATAAGTATTGCAGCTCTTTATGAGTCCTGTCCATTTTCCTTTTTTCCAATGTTACAATATCTAAAGTTATCAGAAGCCTGTATTTGAGAGCACCTGTTAAAGTTCTATAGCTCATTATAAGCCACCTTTGAAAAGGATTAAAACTAGGCAATTGTCTGTTTTAACAAAATGTCCAGGGCAGTTATGGTTAGAAACAGGATTGACAAAGAAGTTTCCTTATCTCTGTGGTTTACAATAAATTAACGTAAAAACCTTAATTATAATTGATAGCATATATTCAGACATTGGAATTTTAAAAATCCCATACAATTCTGGAACATATATAAGCACTATTTACTAAGATATAACCTAAAGAAGATTGAACATCATTTTTGGCAATCCCATGTACCTAAACATGACAAATAATCATGTTTTCCTCTCTTTTCTGGACACTTCAGGGGCCCTCTGAAGCATTAGAAAAGCCAGGTGCCTGGTTTCTTCAGGTGCTCTCAAATACAGGCTTCTGATAACTTTAGATACTCAATGTACTCAATCCGCTAGAGCAATTTCCACCCAGTGTTCGAATCTCAGGTTCCACACAGGAAGAGGAGGAGCCCAGCTCTTCCATGCTGCAAAGGGCACTAACATCTGTGGCTCCACCCCAGTGGGCAGGATGTTTGGAGTTTCTCCAGGGTCCCCCTCCCACCTGACTGTCTCAAAGCTACGAGCCATACATTTATATCAGATTCATTTTATTTTTCCACATAGAATTCTAATTTTTAGAGCTATATAAAATCATGACTCAAGTTATTTAACCTGTATTTTGCACTTAATTGTAGGGGAAAAAGAGTAATATCTTTTCTTCATCCATTACAAGTTTATGGTCAAGACATGGGACCCTTCAGAAATGAAGACCCATAGAAACGGGAAAAACTGTGTATTTTTATGGACGATCATGAAGAAGAGTGATTGGAGAACAAAAGGGTATGGTCTAATGGCAATAAGCTGGAGAACTAAGTTTGGCCTGTTTGTTCAGATTCTACTGTCTCTGTGTCTTCACTCCTTTCTTCTGAGTACAGAGAGACCCATCTGAAATGAAGGTTCTATGACTTTAAAGGAATGTCAGATAATTCTTTTATGGCCTGCTTCAGAGGAGAATTGTGAAGGAATGTCAGAGTGTCCTTCCTGCTTCTGTTGTTTTCTAAAATTCCTTTAGGTTAAAATACTCAGTATTCCATGGTGCCACATTTTGAGGTACTGTGTCATGAACCTCATCACATCCATTCATATTCCTGAGCAAGGACTTGTTACAATTTAAATCTTAAATGTTTCCTATGCTTGAGGAAATATATATTTCTGAGAAAGGCTTTGGAAATAGCCAAGCTCTTCATTAACTTTATAAATAAGCATCTGAAGTATGAAGACATGAAATCTCTTGCCTGTGGAAATAATAGTGGGAGACCTGGAAGTAAAAATCAAGTGACTTTTTCTATTACACTTTCTTCTATACTGAAGCATGTAAGGACATGTCAGACCGAAATGCAACAAAATCTCACAGTCCTCTGGGTAGCCTCAAACCAACTTTCCTTCCATATTTAATGCTTATGATTATTCTTATCTAAATAATTAAGGAAATGTATCAGTCAACTAAGCCAAACTTGCTATAAACAGTTGCTGAATATATGTAACGACAAATATATTACAGTGACCAGTGCAAGTCAAATTTTTTCTATGATGTATAATAGTAGAAGCTTCTACTAAAGAATATTTCAAAATTATACTGCTATTATCTCCAGGAAAGAAATGCAAAACAACCTGTAAAAGGGATATATTATAGCTCCAAATAATAACAGTGCCTGCTTGGGTAGTATCTCCTTCCCTGCAGGCATAGTTACACAGGAGTCAGACCTAATGAAAAAGAAAAGATAATAATAATAAAAAATTCAGACTTCAGGGTACCATCAGAGGTCCACTTTATTTTCATTGTAAATTTGTCTTAAACTTAATAGACAAGGAAAAAGAAAGCAGAGGATACAACAAGGAAAGGTATTTTAAACTTTAGGATCTAGTTTACTATTTTCCTTAAATATATTTGCTTCAAAAAAACAGCTGTGAAGATGAAAGATAAACAGTCATCAAAGTTAGTTAACTGCGAAGCTACATGAAGGGTTCCCCTCATTTGAATTCCCCTTACTTTCCTCTAAAGACCCAAAGTGCACTCAGTGTAAGTGGCAGCTTTTCTGCCTGTCATATCTGAGAAGAGAGTCACTTTTTCATGCCTGGAAAACTCTGGCTGCAGGGAAGATGAAAGTTGGTGTCAGAGGAGGAGGGAAAGGGCTGATGGGCAAAGGGTAAAGACCAGAGCTTGCATTGTCTGGGTCAGCAGTAGACCTCACCAGAGGATCAGCATCAAGTAGCCAAGTACGGAGAATATGCAGACTGAAAAAGAGAAGAAAAAAAGTGAGATACTTAACATTTCAAAACAGTAAATTGAAATAGCCTTGCTGTTATTGTACAGTGTTCTTAGGGTGTTTGAATATTGTTTGTTCTGTAATATCTTCAATTTCTGCTACAAATACACAAGTGATGAAAACAACATGATTATAAGACTGGAAAACTACCTTTTTTTCTTTTAATTCTCTACCCATGTTGTAAAAATTGGTCTATAGAATAATGTTGAGAGCAATGGCACTTACTCATATGTTTCAAGAATGACCTTATTCCGGCTCACCTTGGCTTGAGAAAGAAGCCTCAGTTTAATTCCACTTTAGAGTGGTTTGGAATTGACCCAACACTTTTATTCCTCATACAGTGGTCTTGCAGAGAGATATAAGAAAGGGATTTTTAAAAATACAACCCAAAGGATTATTCCAAGTCCTAAGAGAAATGGATCTTGGCTTCTTTGAGCCTATAAAATTAAAAATAACATACCAAAAATTATCTTAAGTCTATAAAACTACTGGAACCAATTCTTATCTCAGTATACTAGGTCCCTGAATCTCTATAACTGGATGAAATAAATTTAATATTGAGAAGTGTAAAGAAAATTCTTAATTTATTATCTATATTAAATGTGAATGTTTAAAGTATGAAAATTGCTCTGACTTTTAAGAAGTCAGGTGGTGAAACAAAAGCACATGTATTCACCCAGAGAGAGAGGAAGCAAATAGTTCAATCAGAGGGCAACAAGAGTACATATGATTTCTCCTTTATAATATATTCAGAAACATTGTTTATTCAATTAATTATTTTTTTAGAGAGAGGGTCTCACTGAATGATCATGGCTCATTGCAGCCTCGAACATCTAGGCTCAAGTGATCCTCTCACCTCAGCCTCCTGAGTAGCTGGCACTGCAGAAAAATATTGCTTTTTAAACAGAAGAAGAGTCTAAAGGCAGAATCGAATACTGAGGATCATTTACTGCTCGGTTAATAGTGAACAGGGAAAGGATTACTGTTGTTGAGAATACTATTTACATAGAGGCTGAAGATCCAATCCAGTCAAATAAAAAGAGACTAGTATATATAAAAAGATGGCCAGGTGCAGTGGCTCACGCCTGTAATCCCAGCACTTTAGGAGGCCGAGGTGGGCGGACCACAAGGTCAGGAGTTTGAGACCAGCCTGGCCAACATGGCGAAACCTCATCTCTACTAAAAATACAAAAATTAGCTGGGCGTAGTGGCAGGCGCCTGTAATCCCAGCTACTCGGGAGGCTGAGGCAGGAGAATCGCTTGAACCCAGGAGGTGGAGGTTGCAGTGAGCCGAGATAGAGTCATTGCACTCCAGCCTGGGCCACAAGAGCAAGACTCCATCTCAAAAAAATAAGAAAAAAAAAAAAAAAGATGACCTTTAAAAACATAATGGACTTTTATCTCTAACCAATTAAGGTAAACTTATTTGCCTGGCTTTCAAGGTTGTGGCCTAAATTTGTACAAGTCTTCCCATATACCTACCCTGGTCTTCAGTTAAATCAATTGCCATTGCTTCACACATTCAATCTTATGCTACTAAGTCTTCGTTTTTCCTTTCAATCTAAGCACTACAATCTGTGCTGTCAAAATTCTATTCATTTTTCAAGCTCCGTTTAAAAAATGTCACCTCTATTTTATGAAGATATTCTTATTTTTTGATTCCTTTAATTTGCTAAAAGCTAAAATGTTTATCCTCCTCCTTTTCACTTCTGTTCCATTAAGATGAGGATAGGAGTGGTAAAGTGAATGAAGAAGATTCTTAGGAAAAGATCTGAAGTTAGGTGATTTTTCTTTAAGATTTATGAACATTCAAGTTTTCATGTGATTTTCTTTTCAAGTTACTTTATTATTGTACAATTTGTTGAGTATTTATTTTGAGCCAAACACTGTGTTAGAACCTGGAATTGAAAAACTAGATTAAAACTAAGTACCTACCCTTAGAAATTCCATAACTAATGGGCAAGGATTTGAATATTGCTAGACAACAAAACAGAGAAAAGGGCCAAAGAGAAGCAAGCCATTAGCACATCACATAAAATTTTCATAAGTTTCTTCATGTCTAATTTACTCAAGATTCAGATTGTTGAGTTCAGTAAAGATTATTTTGTCATATTATTCATCACTGAAGATACACATTAGTCAGCTAGAAATAAAAACAAACACACACCAGAAACAAACAAAAAAAATATAAATCTTATTTATTGCCCTGGGCATGTTTGAGTTTTCTTCTCAGTTTCATGTTTGGCAGATTTTCACATTTCATAGCTCAGTTAGCCCCTGTGAGTCAGATGAAACGTTTCAAAAAACTATTCTTGACTACTTATTTGCATATGTATATATGTTATAAGCTTGAAATTTTAAGATTAAGTTTTTGACCACAATGTTAAAGTCTCATGATAGAGTATGAATATTTTTAGCAACTTTCTCTATAATTCAATCTCTAAAAGTATTTTCTTATGCTGAGCCCAAAAAAATGTTTAAACGTGTAAAAAAGTAGACAAATATAAACTTAGAAAGAACAAAAGATAATAGAGCCTCATAAATTATTTTGAAAGTTACATACAAGGAAATATTTGCTCCTTTTCTCATGAAGATAACATATAAAAACTTAAGTTGGAATTATTATGGGAATTATGAAGCCTCATCATTGTGGCCTTGAAATAATGACTTCATTTTCTGAATAAAGACTGACCAACTGTGTGACCTCGAATTAGCAATTAATCTCTCTGTGCTATCAATTATTCATCGTTAATATTGAGCTGAATATTCCTTCCTATCAAACATTTTTAATGGTGTATTATGCCCTTTAAAAGGAAAGTATTTTGGAAAATTCAACAAATATTGACATATTTTTCAACTATCAGTAATTAGGTGAAAACAAAGATAAACTAAAACTATAATTGTTGCAAAGGAAAATATGCATCTGTGAAAAAATCATTTTCCCCTTCGATAACTTACTCCAGAAATCTCAGAATATAAACAATTAAAATATAAAATGGATTTTCTTATGGTAAGAATACTGATAAAATGTTTATCAGCCGTTTTGCGTGTCCATGCTCTACAAGTGGCCTTAGCACAGTGGCTGACACAGAGAGAACTCTGGACTCTCATATACCTGAATTTCAGAAGCCTTGTATTATGGTCTTCTCTAAGAGTTTGAGAATATAATAGACACTCATGAAGATTCTTTCCTAAAAGAGGAAAGCATTTAATTAATTGATTCATTGGTTGGTTATAAATGCCCTGCAGTCAAATGACCAGGAAACAGGAGGCAGAGACTTTGGAACTGTTCTCCAAGCCAATTCTGTTCAAAGACAATCTGTATTGATAACTCTGCAGGCATAATCCTTTGAGAATCCGGGTGGCAGGCCCTGTGAAAAGCATAGTTGCTCAGCATCCCAAGTCATGAAAAAAATTTGTTTAACTCTATGAATTTCTTCAGAGTTCCTGGGTCAGAAAAAGTTACTGCAGTAGATTTGCTTATTGTACTAACCAGAAACAGTCTTAGCAGGAAAACAAGACCTGGAAGGAAGGTTTTAAAAAAAGGTTGCTAGAGGACATAGATAGATAAATAGTAGAGAGATGTTACTAATCTCCATACTCTAATTTAAAAATATAACAAGGTAGGGATAGTATTTACATAATATGGCTTTTTAATTGAATGATAACATATGACAATGGTGGTAAATCTTATGATAGGAATTACATGATAGCTATAAATATCACCTAAAAGGATTGTACTGAAATGGCAATTTTAATCAGTACAATCTAGCTAGTCAATTTAAAGACTTACCAAAATACTCACATTTTAAAAACCATTAGAAAGTCCAATTTTATAAAACTGTCTTATTGCTTGATTCTTGGAATTCATGTAAAGATGAGACAATTAATGGATAGCTAATTCAAATAAACATATATGCCTCTCTTATCTCTTCATTAATATGCAGTTTGGTCAAAAAATGTAGGTTTTTTCAATTCTATCTACCAAACATAAAGTTATACATTGAATGCAAGGGTTTTCCTAATATAATATGAAAAATAAATTTAAACATATAAATAATATATAATAATAAGCTGACTTAGTGCTCATATTTCTGGCAACCTCAAATTTTCAAAATACATCTGTATAGCTACAGACCAGTAAGCAAGATTCTGATGGGCAAACAGGTTGAAGAACATGGCAAGATTCATAGAAGAAAAAAGACTAACCTCATTTTCTGGACTACAGTCTAATGAATAGGACTGTCTTATTTTATAAATAATCTGGTGTATGTGCTGTTTAACAAGTCTTCCTCAGATACAATAGCAGCATGTTGGAAACTAAAGGTAGAATGACAAAATTTGAAGAGGAGAGGTCATTCAGAGAGTTAATAGAAACCTATTGTGAAAAGTAATATCTGATATCAACACATAGTAGAGTTATAAATTATGAGAAAATACAGTTATTTAAGAAAACTGCAGAAAAACACAAATTATTACAATGGATCCCCTGTCCTCATGTCTTTAACAGGAAACTCCCCAGTGTGGTGTTTCATATATTCTAGAAAAGACAGAGTTTAAATGAACTTCTCTTTTGTGTCGCCAACTCAATTTGGTCCTGTTTTGTCCATTCCCATTGTCAATAACTTCATTCAGTCCACTTTCATCTCTCTCCTTATTATAATGACTTTCAAATGCTTTTTCTGTAGCTTTTTCCTAATTTTGCCTCGTCTAAACTAGTTTCTGACTTACAACCTAGGTTACTTTTATATAAATAAGTTTGATGATCTCACCAACCTATTTAAAATTCATTCAAGAGTACTCAGTAAACCCAATATAATGTTATTTCTCTGAGAGTATTCTTTACTATACACTTCACAAACTTCTACCACTACTGTCCATCCTAACTCTTTTTCAGTTCTGCAAAAATATGTCATCTTATAGGCCTCCCATGCTTCACATATGCTGGACTCCGCTCCAGCAACACTCCCTGTCTTTGTGTAGCTAACTCTTAGTTTTACATTTATTCCAGATATAAAGACAGTGACCTCCATTCCTGGGCGTTTGTTTCTGTTATGTGCTTCCATAGCAGCTATCAAGGCAGTCATCCCATTGTATTTATTTGTTTAATTAACTATCATTTTCTTCACTAAAATATGAGTTTTTCAAAACTAGGGACTAAGAAAGCAGTGTCTGAATCCTTTTCAGTACTCCACTGTGTTACATTTTCAGCATGTTAAGTGGCATAAAAATATACAATTGCAATCATTGAATGGATACAGAAATTAATAAATGTAGTATATAAAAATCTAAGTAGTCATTAAATATAATTTTAATCAATGAATATTTAATATATTTTTCAGCACCCAATGAATATTTATATAAATGGTATGTATTATTTCAAAAAGGAAAGCTCAACAAATTCTGGTAAGAAAATATTACATGAGCTACATTTCATGACAAAAATACCATAAAACTATGAACAAAAATTAACCAGAAATAATCTAACATTTAGAAAGTTTTACATATGATTTTTTTAAATCTCCTGAGCTAAAGAGGTAATGATAACATAGAAAAAGATGTGTGTAGTTGATGTTAGAGGTCTGGAAGCTGAAAGGCTGAATTTGTACTCATCTTTTCATTATTAGATTTTTTCTTTTCTGAGGGACAGAACCTAAATAGTTTGTTGAGGTCATTAAAGCTTTGATTTTAAAAGGGAGACAATGGACCAACCTGCTCTTCATATCTATAAGACCCAGGGCAAGAGCACAGATGGAAGTTGCTGGCCTCCCACCATTACCTTCCCACTCTCCAGCGTCAACATCACTCACAGTCCCCACCTCCGTAAGCAGGTTCAGTGCTGCTGTGGCAGGGGATATCTGGACTCAAACATCCAGAATGTGGTTAAAAAAGGATGCAGGAATGACAATTCACCCGATCCAAAGATTTCTTATCTTAAAGATGAGTGTGCAGCTTAGGACGGAAGTAGTCTCCCTAAAATTATTTTCAAAATCAGGGTACTATAAAAAAGAAAAATATAAATTACATATTAAGTATAAATTTTGGCCGGAGTGTTAAAGAAGGGCTCTTTAAGGAAGTAATTATTATTCTAAGACCAAATGGATGTAGACATTAGACATAAGGTGGTTTAAAGAGAATTCTAGAAAGAGTGAGTATATGAGCATGACTCTAAGATAGCTCTGAATCCTCCAAGAGCTTGTAATGCTTAAGTAACTCAAAGAGTGGCTTTCAGTAGCTAATAAGAGAAATAGGCAGACACCAGATCAGGCAGGGCCATATAGACCAAATTAAGACATTTTTATTTTCCTCTAAATTCAAGAAACAACGCTTGAAAGGTTTTAAGCAGGGAATTGCAATAATTTTAAAATTACTACTCTGACTGTTCTGTGAAAAACAGACCAGAGGGAGGCAAGTGTGGAGTTACGGAGACATTTCAGAAGCATTGCAACAGTTTGGATGACAGAATGATAGCTCGTGTAATTACATTGGAGATGAAAAAACGTGGATTGGTTCCAGATATATATTGCTAGTAGAATCAAGAAAATGTTATGATTGATTGGTGTAAACGATGAGGATAAGGGATTTTTCAAAAATAAATTCCCCCAGCATTGTTCTTTTTGTTTAGGATTGTCTTGGCTACACCGGCTCATTTTTGGTTTCATATGAAATTTAAAGTAGTTTTTTCTAATTCTGTGAAGAAAGTCAGTGGTAGCTTGATGGGGATAGCATTGGATCTATAAATTACTTTGGGCAATATGCTCATTTTTACGATATTGGTTCTTCCTATCCGTGAGCATGGAATGTTTTTCCATTTGTTTGTGTCCTCTTTTATTTCCGTGAGCAGTGGTTTGTAGTTCTCCTTGAAGAGGTTCTTTACATTCTTTTTAAGTTGTATTCCTAGGTATTTTATTTTCTTTGTACCAGTTGCGAATGGGAGTTCACTCATGATTTGTCTCTCTGTCTATTATTGGTGTACAGGAATGCTTTTATTTTTGCACATTGATTTTGTATCCTGAGACTTTGCTGAAGTTGCTCATCAGCTTAGAGAGATTATGGGCTAAGACGATGGGGTTTTCTAAATATACAATCATGTCATCCGCAAACAGAGATAATTTGACTTCCTCTCTTCCTATTTGAATATGCTTTATTTCTTTCTATTGCCTGAATACCCTGGCCAGAACTTCCAATACTATGTTGAATAGGAGTGGTGAGAGAGGGCATCCTTGTCTTGTGGAGTTTTCAAAGCGAATGGTTCCAGCTTTTGCCTGCTCAGTATGATACTGACTTCAAACTGTACTACAAGGATACAGTAACCAAAACACCATGGTACTGGTACCAAAACAGATATATAGACCAAGAGAACAGAACAGAAGCCTCAGAGATAATTCCACACATCTGCAAGCATCTAATCTTTGACAACCTGACAAAAACAAACAATGGGGAAAGGATTCCCTATTTAATAAATGGTGGTTTGAAAACTGGCTAGCCATATGCAGAAAATTGAAACTGGACCCCTTCCTTACACCTTATACAAAAATTAACGCAAGATGGATTAAAGACTTAAACGTAAGACATAAAACCATAAAAACTAGAGAAAAGCCTAGGCAATAGCATTCAGGACATAGGCATGGGCAAAGACTTCATGACTAAAATACCAAAAGCAATGGCAACAAAAGCCAAAATTGACAAATGGGATCTAATTAAACTAAAGAGGTCCTGTACAGCAAAAGAAACTATCATCAGAGTGAACAGGCAACCTAAAGAATGGGAGAAAATTTTTGCAATCTATCCATCTGACAAAGGGCTAATATCCAGAATCTACAAAGAACTTAAACAAATTGACAAGAAAAAAAAAACCATCATAAAGTGGGCAAAGTACATGAACAGACGCTTCTCAAAAGAAGACATTCATGCGGCCTACAAACATGAAAAAAAGATCATCATCACTGGTCATTAGAGAAATGCAGATCAAATCCACAATGAGATACCACCTCATGCCAGTTAGAATGGCAATCAGTAAAGTCAGGAAACAGGCTGGGTGTGGTGGCTCATGCCTGTAATCCCAGCACTTTGGGAGACTGAGAAGTGTGGATCACCCGAGGTTGGGAGTTCGAGACCAGCCTCACCAACATGGAAAAACCCTGTCTCTACTAAAAATAGAAAATTAGCCAGGTGTGGCGGCACATGCCTGTATTCCCAGCTACTCAGGAGGCTGAGGCAGGAGAATCACTTGAACATGGGAGAAAGAGGTTGTGGTGAGCTGAGATCATGACATTGCACTCCAGCCTGGGCAACAATGGTGAAACTACGTCTCCAAAAAAAAAAAAAAAAAAAAAAGTCAGGAAACAACAGATGCTGGAGAGGATATGGAGAAATAGGAACGCTTTTACACTGTTGGTGGGAGTGTAAATTAGTTCAACCATTGTGGAAGACAGTGTGGCGATTCCTCAAGGATCTAGAATCAGAAATACCATTTGACCCAGCAATCCCATTACTGGATACATACCCAAAGGATTATAAATCATTCTACTATAAAGACCCATGCACACGTAAGTTTATTACAGAACTGTTCACAATAGTAAAGAGTTGGAACCAACCCAAATGCCCATCAATGATAGACTGGATAAAGAAAATATGGCACATATATACCATGGAATATTATGCAGTCATAGAAAAGGATGAGTTCACGTCCTTTGCAGGGACATGGATGAAGCTGGAAACCATCATTCTCAGCAAACTAACACAGGAACAGAAAACCAAACACCGCACGTTCTCACTCACAAGTGGGAGTTGAACAATGAGAGCACATGGACACAGGGAGGGGAACATCACACATCAGGGCCTACTCGGGGGTGGGGAGCTAGGGAAAGGATAGCATTAGAAGAAATACTTAATGCAGATGATGGGTTATTGGGTGCAGCAAACCACCATGGCATGTGTATACCTATGTAACAAACCTGCACATTCTGTACATGTATCCCAGAACTTAAAATATAATAAAAAATAAAATAAAATAAAAAATAAATTCCTGATTCCGAAGGGATGTTGGTATCCTCAAATAATATGATGAAATATGAAGAAGCACACTTTGGATGGAGACTCATCATGTGTTTATATTTATGGATATTACATTTCATGTACTTGTGATCTTTTCATGTGGATAACACTCAGAGGAGAGGTCAGGTTGAAGATACACACTCAAGAATGACCAGAATATATATTGAATATGAATCCATGAGTCCAGAGGAGAACAACTAGGGGGAAATTAGAAGGTAGTAATAAAGTAACAAATAACAGACTTTAAGACTGAATCCTGAATTATTCTAACATTCAAAAGACAAAAGAGAAGGAGCTAGCAAGGGAGATTGGGGAATAATGGAGTAAGATAATTAGGAGTGATAACAATAGAGTGTGGAGTTTCAGATATCAAAAGGAAAAAGAGAGGAATGAGTCGGAAACTTGAATGTTTCTGAGAGAACAAAAATGTCAATACGTAAAATTGTCCATTAAATATGCCATCCTAGAGATTCTCTGAGCAAGAAAAATCTTAGTATTGAGGTAAGAGAAGAAAGTCCTAAAGTGAAGGTTAGATTAGTGGATGAAGGCAGTACTGTTTTAATACTTGTTGTTGAATGTTGTGGTGATGTCCATTATTGGCTAACTATTCAAGTGCTTCCCTACCAGACTCACACTGGGCTGATCTCATAGACATCATGCTTGCCCATGCAACTTGCTTTGGCCAATAACCTGTGAGTGGAAATGTGGCAAGCTATCCAAGCAGAACCATTAGTAGTTATCAGATGGTTCCACCATGCTTCTCTTGCCCTGCCACGAACCCGGTATGACTTAAACTTGGGCTGCATCATCAGCCTGGGTACCAACGGGAGAGAAAGCCAACCCAAGAGAGATGTATGACATGAGACTTCAGGATAAACTAGCAAAAAATAGTTAAAGAGGGTTACTATTGCCTTTGCTGTCTTGATTTGTACCTGATGATGTGTAATCATTGTGCAGCAATTTCCTACAGGGAAAAAAGTAAATATAATATGTAAGAGGAGATATAAGTACGTTCCTTAAAATATGTAGAGCGATATTTTTAATGTAGAACAGGCTAAAAGAGTTAATATTATAATAAACATTATAATAATAAAGCAGAATTATATCATACAAGCTGTATAATCAGGATTATATAAGCTACATACAGATATATTTGTGTGTATTTATATTATATAAGCTGTACATATATGTTATCGATAAGCTGTATATATATAGATATATATTTATACACATACACACACACATAAATACGCAACAGACAACAATCCAACATAAATTGTTATTCTTAAGGGAGTCTGTAAAAAATCAAACAATGACTAGATTCACCTACATTTTTCTAGCCTACTTTGCTTATGGCTGGTTGTTCTATTACTCCAGGAAGTGACAATGAGGCTTTAAAAGGTTCAGAACATAACATTTTGCTTATTATATAATTTATTATATATATAAATTCAAGTACATGTTACTTAGAAAATTATTTCCTACAAAATTATTTTGAGATAAGCATAGTTTTTCTAATTTTTCTATTTCTCCATCTTCTGTGGCTTATTACTAAAAAAATAGTTATGATTGGAGCCTAATTATGTTTTACTGCCATGGAGATTTATACTCTTTGGTCACTTGTTACGTGTTTGAACATATCAAATACTTTCCACTGGAAGCAATTTTTAGAATACTACATTTTATTTAAAAGTAATAGTACCTTCCTAAAAAAAATCCTGTGTAACATCTCTTTAAGAAGCAAGGTACAGTATTTCCAAAGATGTGACTCTATAAAGCTGACACATCTTAGTGCTCCAGTTTTCTTTCCCATCAGTGACTTTGCTGTCACACTCACTCAGTTGTTACCAAGTTTTTTTGATAATGCAGGCAGTATGCAAGCTTAACCACTTATTTGAAAACCAAGCTATGTGCTTTCCACTTTATACATCATCACCAGCAATAAAAATCCTGAGATCAGGATGTTACTGGCAGCATTTTGACACTGCATTAGGTAGAGTAAAATCCAACTTGCTTTCTGGAAGTTCACGGCTCAGCATTGATGATAATGGTGCAATTGTTTTTCTTCTGTGAAATAAGCAGACCTTATTTCTAAGGCTTACTAGGCTGAATAAATGTGCAGTGAAAGAATGCTATTTCAAGTCTGAAAGGAAACTTTTCTGGTCATAGTTTTACTTTACAACTAATGTACTCCATTCATGATGATAGAAATTGCAATGTTGTTAGTGATCATGAATGTATGGTTATATATAAAAGAGATGAGTCTATATGTAGGCTATATGTAGAATTCAAATTTTCAGGATTTTTTCATTATATTGGATAAGTAGGACAGAGCTTTCTGTGCCCATCACCTACTGTGTTTTTACTCTTCTCACCCGTGGTTGAAAACTTTTTCATTGCCGCTGTTGTTTAGAATAATCATATACTAAAATTTGTTCATATTAGCAAGAAAATATTTTGAGAGGTTGCTCCGAAAGATAATCATGGATTATATTTCCCACAATGCTACCAAGATAGCATCAGGACACAGGATCTGGAATGAAAGAGAGGAGGGGAAAGATAGAAAACAGTAGGAGAATATGGAGAAGGAAACTAGGCAGAACAAAAGTGGTACTTGGAGCCTGGCCTTGAACCTGTTCAGAACCCAAGAGGAAATACATATTTGTCTAAATCCCAGGAACTAATATGAGTTGATGATCAACAAGTAATAAGATGGTTTCCTTGTCCATCAGTATGTTTTTGGAAATAAATATAATTTGTATTTAGACACAATGGAGGAATTGCATAAGCAAGACAGCCAAATGCCTAGAGTGATGAAATATGTGTGTGTGTGTGTGTGTGTGTGTGTATGAATGTGTATATATAATATGCATATATACAATTATATACACACATATGAATATATATTTTATATATATATATATTCATTCTCCAGTTTCAGGCATTCATAATCTGGGGCAGTCTCCTTGACACAGATACACAGCTTTTCAGAAATAGGGTGAAATGTCAGTATACACTCATGCCTCAAATAGCAGTATAGAAATTGAATCAAAATATCAGTCACAATTAGAAATGTGGGTAACTAGAAATTTCTGAGTACCTCTAAATATCTTTTTGAGGAACAACTATGTCCTTGAGGGAGAAAAGAATATACAAAATTTCCTTTGGCAAGATATGAAAGTTTACCATCCTCAGAGGATTTTTTTGAGAAATAAATTATCTATATAAATGTGTGGCAATATCTATAAAAATAATTTTAAAAATTTAAACATCCAGACTTCCCAAATTAAGACAAAAATCTCAAATACACTTCTCCTAGCATGAATAACAATCACAATTATATATAATGTATTTATAAATTTATAATTTATATACCATGTATAATGTATATATGATATACAACTTATAATATATAATATGTATATAATATACAGTATATATGCACAAAATGATATATGTGCCGTGTGCGTGTGTTTAGTCCAGCCACAATGCCTGCTATAAAGAAAGTGTTTGAAAAAACTGTTACTATTTCTTTATAAAACAAGACATCCAGAGTGTTGAGCACAAATATGCTATTATTGTATGAATGATACATGATAATCTTTACCTATGCATAAATTAATAGATTAGGATTAATATGATTACGTTGGGGAAATAATGCTTTCCTTGAAATAGTATATAAAGTACTTAGACAGCAGCCACTTACGGTTATACAGGTTGTGCACTGTGCAAAAATACCCAACTAAGGAGAGTAAGAAAGGGCAGAATTCCAGCATTTGTGCCATTCGGGAGATGAGATTTCTCAAGAGGAATGATTTTACAAATATTTATCAAGTTGCCTTAAAGGCTAATGTGGTAATACCTATAAAATAACTTTTATATTTTGATCATCTGGACTTCTCAAGTTTAAGAAAAAATTCTCGAATACTCTTCTCCTAGCACGAATAACAATCATGAGAATCTTAGATTTATGTGCAGACAAAATTGTTAATTGTAAAACTTTAGGTGACTGTTTTTTCTTTTTTCCAGAATACTAATACTCATCTTGAAATATATTTTATTATCCATCTATATGAAGTGAGAGAAAAAATAAATAGGCATCTGGGTTTAATTTGTTACATGAGGACACTTGGGAACATTTTTGGAGTACTGTTTTAATGGGTTAGTCGGCTAATGTTTTTCTTACTTCCTTTGTTTCTCTGTTTCTTGATAATCATTAATTATGTTCAGAAAATAATGCCAACATCATTATAAATATAAAACTCAATGTCTGATTAATATACATCTAGTTTAGAAAAGTCCTCTGGATTATGATCATCCTGCACTTCCTATGAAGAATTAATTTCTCACCCTTGCTGCTAATACCTCCATCAAAAATAGTTCTGGGTCTGTTGTGACTCCTAGTGGCTTAAAGTAGCAGCTTTCTCTGCTTACTTCATACCGATGTGTCATATTTCTCTCCACTTTCCCTTCACTGTATTTTATTTTTTGGTTCTAGCAAGTTACACATGTGTACATCTTTATCTCCTTCTTTCCGTTGTTACTTCCTCCCTGTACTCAGCTTCTTTCTGAAGAAAATGGAAAATCCTTCTCTTCTTTTTTCCACAAAAGTCATTTATATGTCCTTATCTTTCTATATTAAACCAGCTTTTCCCCCAAAAAATCCTCGAAATGTCATTAAAAAATTGTGTTGTTTAGTAGCTTGGCTTAATTCTGAATGTAAAAACATGATTTTATCTTTAAGATAATAGCCACCCTAACAGGTGTGAGGCGATATCCCATTGCGGTTAGGATTTGCATTTTCATAATGAATACTGACGTTTAGCATTTTTCATATACCTGTTGGTCATTGTATGTCTCCTTTGGAAAATTTTCTACTCAGGTTATTTGCTCATTTTTAATTGGCTTGTTCGTTTTCTTATTATTGGGTTGAGTTCCTTATATATTTTGAATATTAATATTTTATCAGATATATGGTTTGCAAATATTTTATCCCATTCTGTAAGCTGTATCTTCACTCTGTGACTGTTTCATTTGCTGTGCAGAAGCTATTAGTTTGTTGCAATTCTAGTTGTCTATTTTTGCTTTTGTTGCCTGTACTTTTGACAATCCCTTTTGAACTTTGAATCTTTGAATAATTCCAAGGAACAAGCAAAATTCTGATTCCTTTGCAGAGGTTCTGTGGAGGTGAAAATATGCAGGTGTGGTTGCAAGTACCCAGTGCTGGTGGTAGCAGTGGCAGAATCATGAGCAGATCCTTACTGTGGAAGGATTTTGGTTGTTCTCATCTTGCTTCGTAAGCTTCCCAGTATTCTCCTTGAACATCCAAAGCTCCGTAAATTCCTTCCAATAAATAACGTTGTAACAAATTCTTTTGTTCCTAAAGTTAGTCTTACTGCCATTATTACCATTGAAATCTTGACTGCACAGTCATTTCTCATAACATTCTAAAGTGGATGGACCATGCAAAAGGGCTCCATCTTTTTTTTTTTTCGAGACAGAGTCTCGCTCTGTCGCCCAGGCTGGAGTGCAGTGGCATGATCTCAGCTCACTGCAAGCTCCGCCTCCCGGGGACACGAAGGGCTCCATCTTAATGACCGCAACTGAAGTTCCAGGCTTGTCGATGAAACTGTGAGACTTGATCTCAGAATCGAATAATATTTATTCTCCCAATCCAGGAAGCAGAAGTGTTATTCTAAAATAATATCAATGCCTATAGTATAATATACTTTTGGTAAGACCATAAATAAATAGATGGCAATGGGTAATATTCAGTTCAGCCTGCTTCAAACCACTTTTCGTGAACACCTATTTATGTTTGGCATTGGGCTTAAAATGATTAATCAAGTGTTATACTATTCTTCACAAAGTTTAGAGTCCAGAATAGAGACATAGATCATAATACTCATAATACAATGTAAAAAGAGAGAGACTGCATAGCTATTGCTGAGGGTGCAAAGTTCAGGGATAAAGTGAAAAAAAAAACAAACTGTCCTAATTAGAGACAGTGAAGGATGTTGAAAGAGGTGATAATAGACTTAACACAGAGAGGAGCGCCTGAAGACTGAAGTAGTAAATTGTGGAGCAGAAAAAAAAAAAAAAAAAGAACGAACGAATAAGTATTTTTATAGCGTTTGTTTGTTATGATAAAACCAGCATGTTCAGTGTCTATCAGATGCTACATAAAGCAGACCAAGATGCTTGCAGTCACTGGGGAGGATTGTGTATGCAGGATGCAGGTATAAAGGAGACACAAAAAAGTCCACAGCACCACACTGAATAGTCTCTCAAGTGTCTCAGCTTTAGCATCATTTTCCTACTTGTCATGAGCATAATTTCCCAGTGCTATACTCTTCGTTAGGCAGACACTGCAATTAGCTATTAGCTGTCACACAGAGAAGCAGAGGAGCCCAGCTCAGGTGTAACAGCCAGGCTTCCTTTCACCAAGGCTGGAGGGAACCTCTTCTATCGGTTTGTTTATTTGTTTGTTTACAGGAGACAGTGCTGACTGCCAAATACATTTTAAGGACAAAAGTTGAAGCAGAAGGAAGGCAAACGTTAAATCTACAAAAGTGATTATCAGATTTCTTAAAGCTGTGATCACACTCATAATCTCTATTAAGATTTTACTTCCCCCTTTTCATGTTCAAAAATATTTGCTTTTCAAATAGTTTCTCCATATTTAAAAATTCTAGGCAACATTTGTGAAGTCTTTTTGAAGCCACAGGAAAACATATATACATATACATATACGTGTGTGTGTGTATACATGCTTATATATATCACATACATGTATATGTGTTTATATGTTTTCCTGTGGCTTTAAAATGTTGCCTAGAATTTAAATTATGTGTATATATATGTGTGTATGTATGTATATAATACATACATACAAACATACATAATTTACATATCCACCATTACTATATATAGTAATATGCACACACATATACATAATCTATATATAGTATACATATACTGTGTGTGTATACTATATACATACACATACATTTATGTGTAATTTATATGTACATACACTTACATACATTTATACGTAAATTTTCAGTGGAATGGTTTGAACTTTACCTGGGGTGAATTGACCTCATTTTAGTAGGCAGCACAACTTAATGCCCAAGAATAGAGACAATCTTTAAAGGTCATTATAAACGAACTATTTGAAATTTTCTAGAAACATCTAATTACATAAAGGTAATAGTAATAAACTTACTAAAGCCATTATATGGTCTTATCTACCGTATATACATATTAAATTACATGGCTAAAGATTCCTAAAGTAATACTTTGTTAGGTTGGTTTGAATTATGGCATATGCTCTAGATGAGCAAATTGGTATTTATTTTAAATTAGTATAGATTTTACTTTTTCCTGACAATTGTTGATAACCTCACAGACAGCATGAATTAATAATATTTTATTGTAACTTCTAAAGTTACTTATTTTCTTACCTATTCCTAAAACATTTCCTAGAATATATTCTAGCTATTTATAAGCCTTGAACTATCTGATTGTTACTGTTGTCACAGTGAAATTAGACTATCTGTGGAAGAGACAAGCAACATATTTTTTAGTTGCATCTGTCAACTAAATTAGCAGGGCACATCCGATATCTAATATAATATTTCAATAATTATTATCAGTTATACTAGATGTGAAGAAGAAAGAACCACTTAATTTTTAAAGTGAAGATTGAACTTCAACACTGTCAAAAAAAATCTTGTTTTGACTTGTAGAGTGGTCATATTTGCTATGTAAGACAGAGATGGAGAGAAAATAAGAAACAGCAGAATGACATCTTGAGAAGTCCTTTTTTGACCAAGACCACAGGGCAAAAACGTTTAGAGTATAACTGTAAAATTGTTTTAACATTGATTCTTAGCAGGAAAAAAAATTAAAATGTAATTGCGCTCACATGTTTTCTTTTTTTGTGTTGAATTTGTTTTGTTCTTATGAAAATGAATCTGATTCAAGAGAGGCCTGCAGCTGAAATCCCTACCTGGGGACTCTCAGTCACACTGATGAGCACAGGTTGTAGCTCCAGCCTCCAAATAAATCAGGTACAAGCAAATCACTCCACTACTGTCAATGCTCTGGATATTTCCTTATTTGCTGTACTTTCCGAGCACTTGAAATCATCCCTTAACTTTAGTCTCAAAGGCCTGAAATATAAAGATGTCTGTATTAGATTCCAATTGCTGCCTTAGCAAACTGCTACAAACTCAGTGACATAAACCTATACAAATTTAAAATCTTGCAATTCTGAAGGTCAGAAGTTAAAAATGAATTTTACCGGAATAAAATCAAGGTGTTAGCAGAGCTTCATTTCTTCTAGAGACTCTAACAGAGAATCCTTGCCTTTCTAAAGGCTGCCGCATTTTTTGGCTTATGGTCCTTTTCTCCATCTTCAGAGTCAGCAGCATAGTATCTCCAAATCTCTCTCTCTCGCTTTTTCTCTCTCTCACACACACACAATAATATGTCTACAAACCTCCTATAACTCTGCCTCTCCAGCCTTTGTGATTATGTTGGCCCTATGTAGATAATCTAGGAGGGATAATAGATAGTAATTAATAGCAACTAATGAATGGTAAGAAGTTATTTAAATGTCCCTTTGGTGATATTAAATACATTCCATTATGTTTATTGATAATATGTATTTTCTCTTCTATGAATTGCCTTTTTACATTATTTGCTCATTTTCCTAATAACAATGTCTATTTTTATGTTTTCCATTTGTATGATCATTTTGAATACTAAGGAAAGTAATCCTTGCAGTGTCACGTACGTTGCAATATTTTTCCAGTTTGGAAGTTGTCTTTTGATATTATCTCTGAAAGGTTTCCTGCTAAATGGTTTATAGTACATTCATTCATTCATTGATTCATTCAGAATTTGCTCACTCAATGAAGGAGAAGGAAGGAAGGAAAGGTCTAAAGAGCACATGTGAAAAGAAGGTGAAGGTAAGTAAAGAGTTAGTTAAATATAAAACCATGTAAAATCTCACTTCGTTCTACAACAATCTAGAAGTGTAGACAAAAGCTTTTCAGTTTTGCAGCTTAATAAATGGAGGCTCAGAGTTTAAGTAATGTCACCGGGATTTAAAACAATATCTGAATGGCTTAAAAAGCTCTTTTATTAAACTATGGTACCAAATGTGGTGATATTACTGCAAATCTCTTCAGTGTTATGCAGTGACCCTTTTATCCTACATAATCCAATTGAGTTGACCTGTCATGTTTTATGAATAGTAAAAGAATTAACCTTAAAGTATATATATTATGAATTAAGCAACTTCATATTTCAAATAAAATACACACACCCACACACAGATTTTCTGCCCTTTGTTTTAACATGGATATTAAGTGACTACAAACACAAAATGTTTGAGTTTGTAAACATAAGGTATCTGAAAATGACTAAAAAATCGATGATTAAATTAAATGTACGTAATACTGCAGAGTTATTGATTAAATGTTCCTTTGTCATTGCAGGATAAAATACTCTGAACATAATTTTAGCAAGAATTGCATCATAAAGAAATCCATCTAAGGGAAGTCATTTTGCATTACGCATCTATTTAAAAATATGTATAAACAAATATGCTTACTAATATGGTAAAGAAATTATAATGTGATACAACTTTTCTTTTTAGACAAAAGATGAATAAAAACAAGTAAATATACTAATTCATATTTTAACGTAGGTCTTGTCTTACATCCAGATTATATCTTAATCCAACTGGGAAACTGATAAGTCAACCAGAATTCTATTTATAGGAGGGCCTGGAAGCCACTCATCTTGTTTGTTCTGTCCCGCAATTTCCCTATGGTGTTAAGCTCAAGTAGCTTCATCTTGAAATGCATCTTAACTGCTTCTCATTATTTGAATCACCTTCTTAACTCCTAGCAAGGGTTTCCAAGCTTCCCAAATTAACTATTACACTCAAACCCCTGTCTTAGAATCAGTTTCTGGGGAAACCCAATCTAAGACACTTGGTACAAGAAATTCCCTAAAATTCTGATCTTTAGGATAGAGTTATAAAATAGCACAAATTGGTAAGATGGCAACAAGAATCCCATAGCTGATTGTAAGTTGGTTGAGGAAGGATATCACTGGCATGCTATAGTGTCATTATTGCTGTGGTGAATTGAGATGTGATATAGTTAAAAGAGAAAACACTGGTTTATGTAATATCTCCAGTATTCAGGCAAAATGAAGATAACAGTGATCTCAATGATTGCAGAATTAGATGGGTATTAAAGAATTACAGTGGCAAGTTCAACCTAGCCAATAGTCAAGTAAGGGCATGGTGTGAAAGCCAAAAGGCCTATAAAGAGATTCATAATCTACAGTGGGAAGGTAGATTAGGCAGAAAATCAAGCCCAAATTATTACAGTAATAGCATTACAAAGTAGTCTTAATCCAGGACTCAGCAAGCCTCCTAGACTAAATTCTGGGTCCTAGCATGGGATTAGTGAGACATTGAGACTTGGGAAGGATATCTTCTGTTCTATTCAACCCTCGGAACATGCAGAGCTGTCCCACACAATTTATAGAAGATTGTAGCATCTCTTTACATAGATAGCATGAAGAAAAGAACTCTGCAACCTCATGACAAGTGTGTTTTGCAATGATTTCCTCAAGGCATCCCTAAAGTGAACTAAGTTAATTTACATAAGTAACAGTACCCAAGCACTAGTACACTGAGCCAACAGGAATACAAAGTGTTTTTGAGGACAGTTCTATTCAGGATCTGAGCTGAAACTAATGTTGGAGTCTCAATGATTGCAGAAAAATGGAGTATCAATGATTGGAGTTTCAATAATTGCAGAGCATTGGAGCCTAAATAAGCATCATAGTTCTCCTATCCACATGACGGCAGACAGAGACTAAATAGTAAATGGAAAAATGGCATGAGTACAACTCATTGTAGATTTGATCTCCATGAATGCACCCTGTGGTCATTTTGTCAGATTCTGAGCACATAATTCAGGTATATACACTTAGCAGCTGCTGAACCCTTATTTTGTTTCCTGACTGTTGGATAAGGGCTGTAATTATAAGAAATGCCAAGAGAAAGACTATGAAGCCATCCTCTCACCTACTGAGATATTTTCACTTTCGGGTCTTGTGTCATTTTACTGGATTCCATAGATTTCTTGGATTGGGTTTTGCCCTTCTCCTGAATCTCGATGATCTTTGTTCGTATCTGGATTCTGAATTCTATCTCTGTCCTTCCAGCCATGTCACCCTTGTTAAGAATCATTCCTGGGGAACTATCCTGGTTATTTGGTGGTAGAAAGACTCTATAGTTTTTGAATTTCCAGAGTTTTTGCACTGATTCTTTCTCACCTTTGTGGGCTGATGTTCCTTTAATCTTTGAAACTGCTGTCGTTTGGATGAGTTTTTTGCTTTTATTTTCTTTGGTGCCCTTGTGGAATTGACTGTGGTATAATGTGGGTTCAGTCAACTGGCTTCATGTCTAGAAGATTTCAGGAGACCAAGGGTCAGTTCAGCACACTTGGGTTGCATGCTCTAACCCTGGGGGCTTGTACAGGTCCAGTTGCCTTGCTCTTTGACCCCTCGAGGTTAAGCACCTACCGCACTGGAGGGGCCAAGGTATTTTCAGTCCACTGGCCACAACACTCCCGAAAAGTATCCTTAATGCCTTAAAAAGACATATGTGTGTTCAAAAAGTGAGAGATAAAATCTAAAAATTCAGAAACCTATTATTGGTGAAGATTTTAGCTATCCGGTTGTTCGAGGAATGTCAGGACATCACCTCTGAAGTGTAAAGCGTGATATTGTACTGTGTACCTCCCGTCACTGAGAAAGAACACATCAGTTGACTCAAGAGATCCCAACTAACCACGTTCCTTTCACTTTAAGCTGGCAGACGCTGTTAAAATCTCTAAACATTGAGAAAAGAGAAAATAATTTTAAATTCTCAAATTAAAAATATTAAACTTAAATTTTAATTTAAATCTGTCAAAAGAGAATCTAGAAGGAAATTCTCAAAGATTCTTCAATCTTGCTGAATTTATTTCTCATAAATAATATAACCAGAGATCCTTCAATTCACAGGATAATTAAAAAGCTCCTTTATTCAGGAAAATAAATATGGAGAGATCATAAATTCGGGGCACTCACATAAGAGAGCAAACGTCCACAGAGTTTATTTAGCTGTAAAAGTCACAATGGTGGTCCTTAAATAATTTATGTGGCTGAGTGGTCACATAGGGAGCTGCAAATATGCCATTTACTATCCTTACTAAGGAAATGCATAGTTTCTCCATGAGAATCATTTGATTTCCTGTGAGAATTCTCTTTTTTTAATAACTTTGTGCTTTCTGCTTATGATAGTTTGATAAAATTCCTGTTTCTATAAGTTCTTATAAAACCAAATGCACACATTTACATGTGTAAATTCGTGACATCTCATTATTCAAAAGTTATTACTATTCCTTCTCCATGTATTTACAGAGTCTGATTAGCAAAAGCAAAAGACATGACAGAAAGAGTTTCTTTGTTATAGTTATCTGCCAAATGAAAGCAAATACTTGGCAATTCTAAATATATGTGGCAAAGAGAACAGGAGATAGGGATAATTCAAAGCATTTCCCTTAGGAATTTAGATATGGTGCTGCATGTAATAACATTTCAATTCTAAAGGTATGTGGAAAGGCTTCGCGGGTAGAAAAGTAATCCAAACCTATCAGTCTATGACATGCTTCAGAATGCAGAAGAATGACCTTTAAGTGTGTGTGTGGGTGGGTGTCTGTTTGTGGGTGTGTGTGTGTGTGTGTTTGTGTGTGTGCAGGCATACTTATGTATTGTGTGAGGAAGAATTCCTCTAGCAGTCTCTCCAGAACTGTTGTTTCTCCTGTGTAGATAGTAAGAAATTTTTTGAGCAATGTTTTAAAATGTCTGGACTCAATGGGTATAAGCAGACAGAAGAAAAGACACACTAATAATCTGAAAAGTCCACTTCTAAAAATATAAAGGTTTTATTTTTCAGAAAATTGAGGAGAATCGTTAAGCAACGTGCTAAATATTTAATGCCCAAGAATATGAATTAATTTGCTTAGCTGGTGGAATGTCTTTTGGTACACAAACAAGTTTTCAGTTCAGTGTTTCTCATTCTTGGGAAATTTATTCGTTTTTTTCTTCATGATATATTGATGCAATTCTGTGCCAGAAACTACACTAGAAATTGAGGATAGATAATGAAAGATGCAAAAAGCTCACCTATATAAAGTAAACATTTCTGTTCTGGTGGTGAGAGAGGAGACATACAATTAAATTAAATAAGTAAACACATAGGCCAAATTTAGACTGTAATTATGTACAGCAAATGAAATAAACAAGAGTGTTAGTAGGGAATAACTTGCCTGGGTGATTGTTAAAAATGCACAGGGGAGAACTCTGTGGAGAAGGGACGTTTAAGTTGACCCTAAAAGATAACCGGATCTGACTAGCTACGTGAAGAACCAGTGAGGAGTTCCTTTAGACTAAGTAATTTGCCCATGGCCAACTACTTCATTAGAATAAAGCCTAAACTCAAACTCAGGTTTTCTCACTACCAGATTACTGTGCTTGGCACAAATTTTTATACGTGTAATCACACCCTATTCAAAAGATTCCAATTTCTGTTCTTCCCCTTGTATCCATCACCTTTCAGTGTTGGAATGTTCCAGGACTTGATCTTTGACACTTCCCTTTTCCCCACCTATGCTACACAGTATGACCTTTGCAATCATGTTTCAGCTCATGCTTTAAATAATCACCTATAAACTGATGACTAAACATATCTTAAATGTATCTCTCTAGTCTGAATCTCTCTCAGATCTTCAGATTTATTTTCCTAATTGCTTACTTGATAATAGCAGTGTCTAACAGATACATCAGAATTAACATATCTTGAAGTGAAATACTGGTAGTCCTCCTCCAAACCGACTCCATTTTAAATGCAATTCCATCCTGCCATTTGCTAAATCAAAACAATTTGTAGTTATTCTGGATTCCTCTTTTTCTTTTATAAACTGTCTCCAATTCATGAGCAAATCTCGTTAGCTATACTTTCCAAATATGTCCAAAATATCTTACTTCATAACAAGGTAATTTCTTCAGATATATTTTCTAGTTTCCACTATATGTATTCTGTGATTTTAGTATATTGTTGATTTTCTACTTCTAATATTGTGTTCTTTTAATTTCCATCAATTGCATTTTTCATTCACATTTGCCTATACATTTCTAGTAATCATGTGTTTCTCCCTCATCTTTGTAATTGTCTATTTCTTCTTGTTAATCCTTTTGAAGGATCGTCTAATTCCTTATTATTAGTTCATTTACTAATATCTTATGCAAAGCCTCATAGATCCTCTAAAACAGTGATCCCCAACCTTTTTGGCACCCTGGACTGGTTTAGTGGAAGACATTTTTTCCATAAGGGAGAGGCAGGTATGGGGTGGTTTTGAGATGATTCAAGCATATTACATCTATTGTGCACTATATTTCTATTTTTATTATTAAATACATTGTAAATACAGCTCACCATAATGTAGAATCAGTGAGAGCTCTGAGCTTGTTTTCTTGCAACTGGACTGTCCCATCTGGGGTGATGGGAGACAGTGACAGATCATCAGGCATTAGATTCTCATAAAGAGCATGCAACCTGGATCCTTCACATGCCCAGTTCACAATAGGGCTCATGCTCCTGGAAGACTTTAATGCCTCTGCTGATATGATAGCAGACGGAAGCCAGGCAGTAATGCAAGCGATGGGAAGCTGCTGTAAATACAGATGATGAAGCTTCACTCTCCTGCCTGCCACTCATCTGCTGTGCAGCCCAACTTGGTTCCTAATGCCATGGACCAGTACTGGTCTGTGACCTGGGGGCTGGGGACCCCTGATGTAAACTACTCTTTGTTCAACCCTTAGTAGTACAAATATGATACTTTATTTTTACTGTTACTCATGTTGCCTTGAAAACTCCTGTGTTCTGTTATCTTTGAATGTGAGCTAGTTACTTTATTTTAATTTTTGGAAGTCCTGTGGGTGTAAATTGGGAAAACTTTCCTACAGAAACCCACCAGCTGCTTGTGGTAGCTGGTAAGTACCAGTTACATGGAGATTCTCTTTGGTCTTTTGCTTGTTTGTTTGTTTTCCCAGGTGAACATTCTCACTAAAGAGTCCCAGCCATAGTTCCTTCATCTTGATTTTGTCCCAACTATTCAGATAGTTTTTATAGTACTCATATTGATTTTGCCTTTACAGCCACCTGCATCTCTAGCACCAGTTCATGTTTTGTTGTTTGCTTACCTGTTTGAGGAGGTGTTATCCTTGGAGACCACTGCTACTTCATATGAGACCAGCATTGCCTCAAAAAGTGTGTCATGTTTATGATCTAGTTGTTTAAAGTTATAAGGTCTTTTATACCACCAATCTAGTGTAATACTGGACAAGGGGGAAAATGGCGTTTCTTATATTTTAGTTTTATTTTCCAAAATCTGTATTAAAAGTATGCTATAATTATTAATTTTTTTTCCCTTAAGTAATTATCTCAGGTTTTACCTTATTTTTTCTAGGCTATGCTTTCAGGTACATATAAGTATATGATTGATATTATATAATTAAGTAAACTCCTTATATTCTATTCAATTATTTTGCCTTAAATTACATTTTTTAGATAATGCTACTCTTCTTTTGAATCTTTGTCTAATGAATCTTTTTTCATCCTTTTATTTTCAGCCACTTTGTATTGTTTTACAATGGGTGAATTTTTAATAGAGTTATATTTTTACAATTTCAATTTCAGAGTTTCTTATAAAAGACAAGTTTATTATCTTCCTTATTGTGAATATTAATATTAATGTGTATTTCATCCTTTTGCAATTTTGTTTGTATTCCATGCTGCCTTTGATACATTGTTTTCTTTTTACCTTTTGTTGAATTCATAAGCTCCTCCTTTTCCCCATTACTCATAATTAAGTTATACATTCTATTTTTAACCTTATTGATCAGCCTTAAATACAAAACAGACTTATTTACTTTCAAAGTTTTCTGAAAAATTTCAAAGCCAGTACAGAAATATATTTTGCCTTCTCTCCCAACTGTTTATTCTTCCTTCTTCTTCTAAACTTATTTGTATTAAACAACATGGTTTATCAATTAATTTTTTAATCATTTCTTCCTGCTTTCCACTCTGTTCTTCTGGATTCATTTTATTTCTTATTGAAATGTATCCTTTAATAATTTTTCCCTTAAACTACTCACATCTATGAAACTCTTAATCATGTTTTGCCTATACATGTATTTATTTTATTTCTACTTTTGAATAAAAGATGAGCTTAATAGAAAATTCTAGGTTGCACAATTAGAAACAGCAAAGGGGATGATATCACTAACGCCAGAGAAACATTTCTCTGGACACAAATTAGAAAATCTAGAAGAAATTGATAAATTCTTGAACACCTTACCTAGACTTAAACAGGAAAAGTTGAATTTCTGAACAAACCAATAACAAACTCCGAAATTGAATCAGTAATAAATAGCTTACCAACCAAAAAATCTCAGGACCAGATGGATTCACACCCAAATTCTACAAAATTTACAAAGAAAAGCTGATACCATTCCCACTAAAACTATTCCAAAAATTTGAGGAGGAGGGACTCTTCTCCAACTCATTCTATGAGACCAGCATCATCCTAATACCAAAGCCTGACAGATAGACAGACAAACACACACACACACACACACACACACACACACACACACAAAAGAAAACTTCAGGTCAATATTTTTGATGAATATAGTTGCAGAAATCCTCAACAAAAATACTAGCAAACAGAATTGACCAGCACATCAAAAAGCTAATCCAGCAGAATCAGTAGGCTTTATCTCTAAAAGCAAGGTTGGTTCAACACACACAAATCAATAAACGTGATTCATCATATAAGTAGAACTGAAAACAAAAACCACATGATTATTTTGATAGATGCAAGAAAGACTTTCAATAAAATTCAACATATTTTTATGTTTAAAACATTTCAATAAACTAGGTATTGAAGGAGCATACCTGGAAATAATAAGAGTCATCTATGAAAAACTCACAGCAAACATCATACTTCATGTGCAAAAGCTATAAGCATTCCCTTTGAAAACCAGCCCAAGACATGGATGCCATCTCTCACTATTCCTATTCACCATAGTATTGCAAGTCCTGGCCAGAGGAATCAGGCAAGAGAAAGAAAAAAAGTCATTCTAAATAGGAAGAGAAGAAGCCAACGTATGTCTGTTTGCAGACAACATCATCCTATACCTAGAAAACCGTAAAGTCTCAGCCCCACAGCTCTTAGAGCTGATAAACAACATCAGCAAAGTTTCAGGATACAAAATCATTGTACAAAAATCACTAGCGTTCCTGTATACCAATTACAGCCAAACCGACAGCCGAGTCAGGAATACAATCTCATTTAAAATTGCCACAAAAAGAATAAAATACCTAAGAATAGAGATAACCAGGGAGGTGAAAACCGATACAATGAGAATTACAAAACACTGCTCAACAAATCAGAGGACACAAACAAATGGAAAAACATTCCATGCTCATGAATAGGAAGAATTAATACTGTTAAATTGCCATGCTGCCCAAATTTACAGATTCAATGCTATTCCTATTAAACTACCAATGACATTCTTCACAAAACTAGAAAAAAAATATTTAAAATTATATGAAACCAAAAAGGAGACTGAATAGCCAAGGCAATCCTAAACAAAAAGAACGAAGCTGGAGGCATCACATCACCAGACTTCAAACTGTACTAAAGAGCTACGGTAAACAAAATAGCATGGTACTCGTACAAAAACATGCACAATGGAACAGAATAGAGAGGCTAAAAATAAGGCTGTATACCTATGACCATCTGATCTTCAACAAAGCTGAAAAACAAGCAATGGGGAAGGAACATCTTATTCAATAGATGGTCCTGGGATAACTACCTAGCCATATGCAGAAGATTGAAACTGGACCTCTTTCTTATACTACATAAAAAAATCAACCAAGATTAATGGAAGACTTAAATGTTAAACCCAAAACTATGAAAACTCTTTAAGATAAACTAGGAAATTTCATTCTTGACATAGGATCTGACAAAGATTTCATGATAAAGATATCAAAAGCAATTGTAGCACAAGCTGAACTTGACAAATGGAACCTAATTAAACTTAAGAGCTTCTGCACAGGAAAAGAAACTATTAACAGAGTAAACAGACAACCTACAGAGTGGGAGAAAATATTTACAAACTCTTCATCTGACAGAGGCTTAATAACCAGAATCTGTAAGGAGCTTAAACAAGTTAACAAGCAAAAATCATGCAAGGCCGTTAAAAAGTGGGCAAAGTACGTGAACAGACACTTTTCAAAAGAAGACATACATGAAGCCAACAAGCATATGAAAAGAAGATAAACATCACTAGTCATTAGAAAACTGCGAATAGAAACCACAATGAGATATCATCACCACCAGTCAGAATAGCTATTATCAAAAAGTCAAAGAATAACAGATACTGGTTGTTGATAAAAAGGAATGCTTATACGTTATTTTTGTGACTGTAAATTAGTTCAACCGTTATAGAAAGCAGTGTGGCAATTCCTTAAAGAGCTAAAAACAGAACTACAATTCGACCCAGCAATCCCAGTAATCGGTATAAATCCAAAGGAATATAAATTGTTCTGCCATAAAGACACATACACAAGTTTGTTCATTGCAGCAGTCCTCACAATAGTAGAGACATGGAACCAACCTAACTGCCCATCAGTGGTAGGATAAAGAAAATGTGTTACATATACACCATGGAATACTACGCAGCCATAAAGGAATGAGATTATGTTCTTGGCAGGAACATGGATGGAGCTGGAGGTCATTATCCTTAGCAAACTAACATAAGGACAGAAAACCAAATACTCCATCTTCTCACTTATAAGCAGGAACTAAATGATGAGAACACATGGGCATAAAAAGGGGAACAACAGACATGGGGGCCTATTTGAGGGTGAGTGTGGGAGGAGGGAGAGGGTCAGAAAAAGAAAACTATTGGGTACTAAGTTTAATACCGGGGTGATGAAATAATCTTTACACTACACTGCCATGATATGAGTTTATCTATGTACAAAACCTGCACATATATCACTGACCCTAAAATCAAGGTTAAAAAGAAAAGAAAATTCTAGGTTGCAATCAATTCCTTCTTTTTTTGTTTTGTTTTGTTTTTCTGAAACATAGTCTCACTCTGTTGCCCAGGCTGGGGTGCAGTGGCGTGATCTTGGCTCACTGCAGTCTCTGACTCCTGGGTTCAAGCAATTCTTGTGCCTCAGTCACATGAATAGCTGGAAATACAGGCATGTGCCACCACACCAGGCTAATTTTTGCATTTTTTAGTAGAGATGGGGTTTCTCCATGTTGGTTAAGCTGGTCTCGAACCCCTGACCTCCATGATCTGCCCTCCTCAGCCTCCCAAAGTGCTGGGATTACAGGTGTGAGCCACCATGCCCAGCCAATTCCATCTTAAGAAATGGAAAACAGAATGTTATTGTCTTCTGACATTTTTTATTATTGATAAGTTCTGCTATAATTAGGTATTCTTTTGTCAGTAACCACTATTTTTTCTTTATTAGAATAAACCTGCTTAATATCAAAGACAAATAAATTCCAAACTATCAAAGAAAAAATAGTGGCTTTTGTTTGATGAGAGGAGTAAGCCCTGTCATAAAGGATACAGACTCTTTCATGAAGCTTTTCTGGGCATTTTTCAGATAAAGCTTTGGCTAAGTTTCCAGTCTTCTTCAATTAGAATAATTTTTTCCTGAAAAATTAATATGGTCTGCTGTCACTAGCTTCATTTTCAGTATCAACTTGTCCCTTCTGAAAATGAGTTTTCTGTTTCTAAATTGCTGATTTTTTTAGCATTGTCCCCATAAATTTTTTAGAAAGCATCTATGATTGATTTCACTATTCTTTCACTCAAACTTCACCATAAATTTGATGTTTCTTCTTGCTTCAATTTTAACAGAATTCATATTGCTCTAATAAGAACTCTTTCAAATTGATGTCTTATTCTTTGTATCGCCTCAACAAGATCCTGCTTAGACATGTTATAATAATTTAGTAAAAGTTTATTTTGATGCAAACATTTTTTGAAGTTTATCCATAGTTTTTTCATAATATATATTTTCCATGAACTTTTTGAGGATTTCTCTTGCTATATTTTTAATTCAAATATTGTAATTGGTTAATTTTTATATTAACTTTTCATTGATCAATAATTACATGTTTTTATTCCATAACTTCTTTGATTTTGAGACTCCTAGATGTCCACTAACAGACTTTAAGCAAAAGCAACATGTGTCATTTCCAGCAATGGCCCATAAATTTTCCATCCATGCTTTCCCTTGCTCTTCCCCTTTTCTCTGGCTTTTAAAATGGTAACAGCAACCTCTGAGCCCATCTACTAAAGATAAAAAAACCATCCATAGGTCTAGGTCCCTGACCAAATATATATGTCAAAGCCAACACCAAACTAAAATTCTCATCCTCTACCTTTATGTGAGAAAGAAATAACCTTTTTTTCCTTTAACTTAGTAAATCTTAGCTTGAAAACTCATCTTGCACTGGAGTATTTCTCTTTTCCTCAAGATCATCCCTTCCTGTTTAGAATTCTGTGAAATAATTCTCAGCCCAGACCCAAGGATCCACAGCTCAGAAATAGGTTATCCAGAAGTGTTCCTAACACTAGATGACAGTATCCCAGTCTCCAAACCAGCTTATTACTTGGCCAGAATTCAAGTTGTACTGTGGTTTTTATTCTCTCCACCACTTACAAGTAGTTTACTTTTCCAGCAAGTGAGCAAAACTTTACCAACTATATTCATGTAGCTAGCCTAGCTTTATGACCCAAGCAGGAGCAATACGAGGTCCCTGTTCATATGCATAGGTTGAAATTCCACATTCAACTCTTGCTTCTGAGCCCAGCAACTCATGGGGCACATGGCTTTATTTCCTGGTGTAACTTCCCAAATAATTATTGTTCATGTATTTTTTAACACTGTGATACTGTTTATTTCATGAACTGTTTCTATGTATTTGTAGAAGTGAGAGCAGATATTCTTGTGTATTTAACCTAACATCATGACTTCTAATAATTTTACAGTAAGCTCTGTGCACACATATATGCAAAAGAATATTTATTTTAGCACTCTTGAAGGGGTGGCCTGCCCCTCCACACCTGTGGGTATTTCTAGTCGGGTGGGATGAGAGACTGAGAAAAGAAATAAGACACAGAGACAAAGTATAGAGAAACAACAGTGGGCCCAGGGGACCGGCGCTCAGCATACCAAGGACCTGCACCGGCACCAGACTCTGAGTTCCCTCAGTTTTTATTGATTGTTATTTTCATTATTTTAGCAAAAAGGAATGTAGTAGGAGAGCAGGGTAATAATAAGGAGAAGGTCAACAAAAAACATGTGAGCAAAAGAATCTATATCATAATTAAGTTCAAAGGAAAGTACTATGCCTGGACGTGCACATAGGCCAGATTTATGTTTCCACCCAAACATCTCAGCGGAGTAAAGAATAACAAAGCAGCATTACTGCAAACATGTCTCGCCTCCCACCATAGGGTGGTTTTTCTCCTATCTCAGAATTGAACAAATGTACAATCGGGTTTTATACTGAGACATTCAGTTCCCAGGGGCAGACAGGAGACAGTGGCCTTCCTCTATCTCAACTGCAAGAGGCTTTCCTTTTTTACTAATCCACCTCAGCAGAGACCCTTTATGGGTGTCAGGCTAGGGGATGGTCAGGTCTTTCTCATCCTACGAGGCCACATTTCAGACTATCACATGGGGAGAAACCTTGGACAATAAACTGCTTTCAAGGGCAGAGGTCCCTGCGGCTTTCCGCAGTGCATTGTGCCCCTGGTTTACTGAGACTAGAGAATGGCAATGACTTTTACCAAGTATACTGCTTGTAAACATTTTGTTAACAGGGCACATCCTGCACAGCCCCAGATCCCTTAAACCTTGATTTTATACAACACATGTTTTTGTGAGCTCCAAGTTGGTTCAAAGTGGCTGGGGCAAAGCCACAAATTAACAACATCTCAGCAAGGCAATTGTTTAAAGTACAGGTCTTTTTCAAAATGGAGTCTCTTATGTCTTTGCCTTCTACATAGACACAGTCAGTCTGATCTCTCTTTCTTTTCCCTACACTCCTTATAAAAATTACAAATCAGAAATGAAATAAATCATTGGCAATAACAGTTTGCTTAAATAAATTACACTATTCCATAGAAGAGAATACTGTGGAGTTAGTAAAAATAATTATGTTAAAGATACTGACAAAACATATGTTAATTTTAAAACTTAAAAAATAGCTGTTTCTGCTACATGTCATATATATTTATGTATTTGTAAGCTTTTGTATGTATATATGCATACATACACAAGTGATATGCAGTTGTTTTACATTTTTGTGCTCTTAAATTGCAGTTTCCAAAATTTATATAATAAAAACTTTTAATCTCAGAAAACAGGATAAAATGTGAATTTTCTTTCTTTTTTCTTTTTTTTTTTTTTTAGACAGAATCTCACTCTGTCACCAGGCTGGAGTGCAGTGGCGCAATCTTGGCTCACTACAACCTCCGCCTCCCTGGTTTAAGTGATTCTCCTGCTTCAGCCTCCCAAGTAGCTGGGACTACAGGCATGCACCACCACGCCAAGCTAATTTTTGGATTTTTAGTAGAGATGGGGTTTCACCATGTTGGCCAGGCTGGTCTTGAATTCCTGACCTCGTGATCCTCCCTCCTTGGCCTCCCCAAATCCCAGCACTTTGGGATGGGGTGAGCCACTGCGCCTGGCCAAAATATGAATTTTCAGTGGTAAAGCCAGACTTTCACAGTGAAAATAGAGTTGGTAATAACTAGCAATATACTTAAAAACACATGATTAAGATATTGTTTAGCTTATGATCTGTTCATTCTACCGTTTCCGGCAAAAACAAACAAACAAACTAAACCAATACATATGCTTACTTACAACACTCCAGGACTCAAATCTAGGATACTGATCCTGCTGCTTCATCTGGCATATATGTGACAAACAGATGGATCTCCCATTATGCCCCAAGAGCCAAAAAATGTGGGCTCTTACAAGCAAAGCAGTAAATTACTTGCCAACTTCTTCACAGTTTCATTAATGACCTGATAGATATTAATAAGTAAATCAATGCAATATATAAATTATACTAAGTTGGTGGTAGTATGAAAAATTCAATGACTATAAAAGAAAGTAACAAATTGTTCAATGAACCACAGAAGGAAATTTGCCAATATAAACATGCATTCCTTGGAAAACTCTAAGGGAAATAATAAATGAGAGTGGTGGAAAGAAGTATCAGGAAATAATTAATTTGGAATCATTAGAAGATTATTTTTGGTCTCGTGTATGTTTAGAAGAAAATTAATATAAAGAATTGTGTTTTGATCTATGTCTCAAAGAGACATTTTGAAACATGATCTAAAGGGTAATTTTATACAACTAAAGAAAATACTAGATTAGATTTATTTTAAAGCACTATATATAATCTAAGCTCCTTAAGGTCTGAGCAAACAATTCTCATTTTTATTTTCTAATGTGTCAGGCTAGTGCTCTCCATGTAGTATGTAATCACTAAGTCATTGACACATTAAATAAAATTTATTGAAGTTTCCAGAAGTAAAAAATAGTAAAAACAATGATATGAATGTGAAAAATAATAAGCTTTAATTCAGAAAACCTAACTTTATTGGATATAAATATTTTGTTCTCTAATTAGTATTTGTCTTATAGAAACTACCCTTTAAAATTGTTCAGATTTTACAAGATTTATCTTTGTTTCGATTTTTCCTATGCCATGTACTTATTCATTCCCATTTTTAGTTTAAGAACTGGGACTAGCACACCAGTCAGAATGGCAATTATTAAAAGGTCAAGAAACAATAGATGCTGGTGAGTCTGTGGAGAAATATGAATGCTCTTACAATGTTGTTGGGAAAGTAAATTAGTTCAACCATTGTGGAAGACAGTGTGGCAATTCCTCAAGGATTTATAACCAGAAATACCATTTGACTCAGCAATCCCATTACTGATTATATACCCAAAGGAACATAAACCATTCTATTATAAAGACACATGCACATGTATGTTTATTGCAGCACTATTTACAATAGCAAAGACATTGAGCCAACCCAAATGACCACCAATGATAGACTGGATAAAGAAAATGTGGTATATATACACCATGGAATACTGTGCAGCTATAAAAAGGAATGAGATTAGGTCCTTTGCAGGCACATGGATGAAGCTGGAAGCCATCATTCTCAACAAACTAACACGGGGACAGAAAACCAAACACCACATGTTCCTACTTATAAGTAGGAATTGAATAATGAGAACACATGTACACAGGGAGGGGAACATCACACACCAGGGCCTATTGAGGAGTGAGGGCTGAGGGGAGAGAACCTAGATGACAGGTCAATAGGTGCAGCAAACTACCATGGCACACATATACCTGTGTAACAAACCTGCACATTCAGCCCATGAATCCTGGAACTAAAAGTAAAACAAACAAACGAAAAGAACTGGGAGTAGAAGTGAATTTTCTTCTCAAAGTGAAGAATTTTCAAAACTAAAAGTTCATAAATAAGGTGCATTAGCACATTGGCATAGAATTTAACTTATGAACCCAATAAGTGGCCTACTCTATAAGGCTGATGTATCCCTATGCTTTGGAGGCAAAAATAGCTTTAAGCTTTTCAGATGGAGAGAAAAAAGGAAAAAAAAAGCAAGCATCCCAGTAGAGGGCAGCTATGTTTATGAACCCTGATGCTCGGCCAATAGATATTTTTGCATAAAATGGGGCCTGCTATCGATGGAAACATAAACCTAAATCATGTTTGTCAGCCAACTTTGATGGTGAGACACAGCTGTAATGTAGAATCTGACTCTAACAACAGCCTTGGCAGCTTTTTATGTTGCTTCAGCTAGTATACATAAGTATTCACTCTGCAAGGGACAATACTAAGAACCAAAGGCATGCAGCTAGGGCACAAAGATGAAATAAAGAAATGAAGAGATAACAAAATGTGGATCCTCACCATGGAACACAACTTATTAAAAGTCCCTTCATGATATGTGTCACATCAAATATCATGCTTTATTATTCCTAATTCTTGTAATTAATAAAGAATTTTTGATAATGGCATTCTTTTTTAAAGGCAATACATTGGTATCAAACTACAAAATAAGTTACTTAAGTACAAGGTGATTTCTTTATATGTCATATTTGTTTATGTTTTCATAAGATAAACATTTTGCATACAGCCTACATATTATATGCTTTGTATCTTATTTATAATGTTCTCCCATGACTATCTATTTCATACTATTATAACCTGAGCTGCCTCTAAAATCTTAATAAACTACACTTTTGTAGTTATCTAACCCTTTAATAGTTGAAACTGTGTCCACAACCACTTTTTATAATCCATAGAAAAAACAAATAATCATGGGCCCTATAATTCACTTTTTAAAACCACATTCCATCAAAACACAATACATGTTAGAAGATTAACTAGAATTTATTTTTATTATTTATTTATTTTTAATTTCCACTTCTATTTTAGATAGGGTAGTACATCTGCAGGTTTGTTACATGGGTAAATTACATGATGTGGAGGTTTGGGGTATGGATCCTGTTACCCACATAGTGAGCACAGTAACCAATAGGTAGTGTGTCAACCCATGCTCCCTCCCTCCCCACCCATTAGTCCCCATTATTACTGTCTTTATGTTAATGTCCACTGAATGCTTAGCTCCCACTTATTTAGAATCTATAAAAATCTTACACAAATCAACGAGCAAAAAACAAACTACCACATTAAAATATAGGCATACACTTCTTAAAAGTGTATGAAATAATCAAAGAACAGGCACTTTTTTTTTTTTTGAGACGGAGTTTCGCTCTTGTTGCCCAGGCTGGAGTGCAATGGCGCGATCTTGGCTCACCACAACCCTCCACTTGAATTCTAGACACCCATCACTCATGCTTTCTAGAGGACTTTGATTTCTTCTCTGAGTCTAATTTCTCCACTTGCATTTATGGAAAAAAATAAGTATTTTCTATATTTTCCCTCTATCATGTCAAAAGCAATCTTCAACTTACCTTTATCTGGCTTATGTCCCCAATCATTAATTGATACTAATCTAGTAAGGCCACTGATAACCTTCATATTTCTAAACTCAATATATAGTTTTGTTTCATGTTATTGAAATTTTCTGCCATCTCTGATACAGTTGACCACTCTATCTTTCCTAAAAAATGTTCCTTTCTCAGCCATGATATCACTACTCTTATGCTTTTCCTATTTCAGTAGTAATTTAAACAAATTCTTCTGTGTATCTTCCTCCACTATACCCTTTGAAAACTGAAGTTTCTCAGAGCTCAGTCTGGGTCCTCTATTCTTCCAAATCTGCGTACATTCCCTAGGTAACCGGTGACCTCATTCATTCTCATAACTTTTTCCCCCTAAATCACAGGCTGCTCACACAGACACATACATACAGTTTTTCTTCCTGCAATTTGTAACCTGCTTAGTCAAAAACATATAATAAAGAATTATTCACAATCTCTGGATAATGAGGTTCCTCAAAAAAGATCTTATAATTTCTCTTTTCTACAACTAAATCTATACAATCTCCCTAGGTTATTTCATTTTTTACCCATGATCAATATTGTCATCATCTTGATAATGCACGTTAAAAAAAACTCTAGTCAAGAGCCATGGATTTAAATACTATTGCATTTTGACAATATTCAAATGCATATTTCAGTACCTCTGAGTTCTTGACCCATCCACAACTGTCTACTTCATATCCTCGCTTGGCCATCTCATCAGAATCTCTTTTTTTGGCAGCAGGGGTAGGGGGACAGGGTCTCGCTCTGTTGCCCAGGCTGGAATGCAGTGTTGCAATTTTGGCTCACTGCAATCTCCACCTCCCTGCAACCTTTGCCTCCCAGTATCCAGCGATCCTTCTGCCTCAGCTTTCTAAGTAGCTGGGACCACAGACACGCGTGACAACGACCGGCTAATTTTACTTTCTTCTAAGAGACTGGGTTTTGCCATGTTGCCCTGGCTGGTCTTGAACTCCTGGACTCAAGCATCCTGGACTCAAGCAATCCGCCCACTTTGACCTACCAAAATGCTGGGATTACAGGTGTGAATCACCGCACCCAGCCAAAATCTTACATTTAACATGATTAAAGTGAAAATCTGGAAATTCAGAAAATATTTATCTCAAACCTAATCAAACAATCATCCCTGTTCAGTTGGGGATACTACAACTGACCTAACTACTGAAGTAAAACTACTGGCAGTCATTTTGACTCCTCCCTTTTCTTTGTCTTTCCCACACAATCTATTAATAGGCCCAGTTGGTTGGTTGTATGTCAAAATTGTATCAGGTATCATTCACTTAAATCCATTTCATGTGTCACCATCCTAGTCCCATACATCACCTACATATTTCAAAAACCTCCTACCTCGTTTTTCCAATTTTCTCCACTTACTTCAGTCTATTATATATATATATCAGTCAAAGCCAAAGGAATCCTTTTCAACCCAAATTAGGTTATACAATTACCCTACCCTAGATCTTTCCACAGCTTCCTCTTCCCATTTCAGTTATAATGAAACCCAAACTTTTTGCCACGCCTTTATAACCCTGCATAATCTGGCCCACGTTGCCTTTCTGGTTTTGCACCAGACTTCCTTCAATAGCTCACTAAACCCCAGGCACCCTCGTGTTCTCTAAGTTTCTGTATTAGTTCAAATTACTTCCCATCTAGGGAATATTGAGATTGCAATTCCTTGGAATGCTTTCTCACTGATTTTTTTACATGTCTGTCTCTTCTTATTCCCGCAGGTCTCATTTTAAATGTGCCCTCTTTGAGAAGCATTTTTTGAATTTTATGTTAAGTAGCTTAACCTGACCCATCAAAACTTTTCAAGCATAACAACCCAGTATTTTTTTCAAAGTACTTATCATAATCTAAGGATTCTACCCACATTTGTACACTGCTTTATTTTCTGTCTTCCTTACTAGAATAGAAGCTCCATGTGTTTGGAGGTTTTGTCAGTCTTTCCCCTCTGTGTGAATGACTAGCACATAGAAGGTGCTTAACAAAAGGTTGTGGAATTAGCAATTAAGTATTAAGACTCACTTAGCTTATCTATGATCCAAAGAGAAACATGAAGTGATACACGTTTTAGAAAAAGGCTCTTATAGCTCTCCCTGAATAACTTGAGATAGCACCTCTCCTTCAATACCCCGAGTTACTCTTATTTCTAGCTCTTAACTTCTCATGCTACCTTTCAATATTCTAATACTCAGGATTATTTATATTTATTTAAACTATGTCTTATCCTAAAAAGAAATTTCAAAATATCTGAGGTACCTTTACAAAATAAATACCAAGAAAATTTCACATTGAGAAAAATCAAAGTTAGGAGATTGCCTCAAAGAGGAAATAATATATCAATAACTATCACTCAGTGAGAATTTACTTCATATAGGTATTACACTAATAACTACTCATGCTATCTTTTATTATCCTTCCATTCAGCTTATAATATGGGCGATTTATCCAAGTGTTTCAAAATAGGGATACTTAGGTTTATAAAAATTAAGTAATACTGAAAGCTATACAGCTAATGAAGTATGGATATCCCTGAAGTCTGTGTGCTGAACCTATTATGCTGTATTTGTCACTATGTTATGCTGTTTTTCAACAAGGGGAGAACATCCAATGAAGCCATATATGGCAAATGCTACATATCCACTTATTCAACATCCATTCCTGCATCTTTTTTAGCTTGTCTTTCTGTAAAGTAGAGGCTGAAAAGCTAAAAACAGCAATCCCTAGACTGCTTTGTAATATCAAACAGAAGTTTGATGGAGCAAAATGAGGCAGCCTCTGGCAGGGAGACTTGATCCTCTGGCATGTTTAATCACAGAGATCTATTTTTCAGGGGCAGCTATAGCAGTTCTGTTATCCAGTTTCTAATGTCACAAGTGTTAAGCGACGAGTGTGGCAGAAGTGATGTGTCCCTTTAGAAAATGTTGTCCCTGGCCAATCTAGGGCTGTTATGAGATTGCTCATAACAGTTGCTACTTAAATTAGCTAGAATGCATTGTTGTTGCACTAAGTACCTCAATTGATTTAGTAATTGTTACTAGAAATATGTTTGGTACAAGTAACAGAAACTATATTGCAGTTTAATGGAGAAAGTGGAGAGATGAAAATTCCGGTTTTGGAAACCACACACAAGAAAGCTGAACGCACTTTATATACAATGGAATATATTTGGATTCAATTGTCACTTGATATACTTTGTAAGGCAAACTATACACTGACTGAAGCTATACTATTTAAAAGAGTAGGGACTGATTAGAATATTGGCTAGTGCCGGCTCTCATTGCCACCATTAGGAAAATTCTACAAGAGCAAGATGGACCCAAGTGAGAAGTAAATAGCCTGCAAGCACAGATGGAGGGAAATGCCACTTAGATAAGGAAGCACTCTCTGCCCACAGCCTGACATTTATATTGCCAGAGAATCCTATAATTTGAAGACTTAGAAAAAGAAAGAATAAAAGCAATTTTAATACTTTACATAGAAGCCATTGCAAGGATAGCAAAGCAACAAACTTAGCAAGAGAAACTCATAGGCAGCCAGGCAAATGGAGTTCATCTAAAGGCAAAAATGAGAGTAAGGGTTTAGCCTCTTCCCAGGTATATTATTTTTCAATTATCCCAAGTCAATGAACATAAAGGCCCAGTCAATAACAGGAATATTCAATGTCAAAAATTTTGACTAGATAAGATCTTTAGCTATAGTTACTCCTACAGGATACTGACTAGATACAAGTAATCTACGAATGCTCTAACAGAACTGTATAGTGACCACACACCCTGTCTGGACTGCAAACTTTCATGACTATCATTGCTCCACTAAAAAATTTACCAAAGAATTACTACACTCTTCCAACACACAACCACAGGCAGTAGTTTCTGAGAGCTGTACAGGAGCTCTTCAGGCTTTTGAAGTATCAGATCTGTACAACATCTCAGAGGGCAGAGCCAGGGAACACAGAAACTGAATGAAGGAGTAAAATACTGCCTGACCAAGAGCTTACACTGCTCTTGGTTCAGGGAGTCCTTGTCATTCCTGATCAGTAAGATTTGAGAGATGCGAGATCAGTAACCTCTCTGTATTTGCTTAATCCCATCTTTTCCTGGATTAAATTTCTCAAAATAGCTGATCTATTTCTTCTCAAATATTGTACATGTTTTGGGGACAGATGCTTTGTCTTTTAGGTAATACAATGCCAGACAAGCAGGAATTGCTAGTTGTTCTATTGTTGAGATTACATATCACCAAGATCACACACTTTGGACTCTGAGTTGGATGGCATAACTAGAAGAGAGTTTGAGATATCTCTAGTGGAAAAGAGGTAATTATGTTACACCATTTAAAAGAAGAATGTTTAAAGAACGTTAAGTGTTAGGTAGCCAATGTATGAACTACAGAATATTTTGTTAGATTCCTATCAAATATCCATATTCATCTTTCTCTTTAAGGGACCTCCTCGTTTATTTTTTGTGAGGGTTGACAATGAACACAAATACACACACATACACACACAACCATATTTTCCAGTACTTTGCTGCTCGCTTTCTGAAATAGGAAACAATTCTGGTCAATGAGAAAAGATTAAACTGTGCTGAGGATTTCTGGGAAAATTTTGCTTTAGTGCATTAAATAATCTCTGACAATAACTCACCATAAATTGCCTCCCTTTCTTTATATAAATATTCCATCGTATATCATGAGCTGAAGTTTTATTTCTCTTTTCTTGAATCTGAGAAGGCTTTAGTGACTGATTTGGCTATTGGAATATAGCAGAAGTTACATTCAGGAACTCGTGAGACTAGGTCTCATAAAACCTTTCAGTGGCAAAAGGTTTATTGATAACACACTGCAGTAATTTAGTAAACAGAAAATGGTCCTAATGAATTCTATATCAGGATAAGGAGGTTTCCGGGCAGAGTGTTGAAAGTGCCAGTTGGTTTCTGTTAGATGCATAACATTAGGTACTCACGGAGAGAATGACATTTTTAGAAAGATAATATTCAGTGTTTTATAGAAAAATTGAGAGGAAAAAAGATTTAAGACTTACTGTGTTCAAAAATAAAATTATTTATCATCCCTAGTTTCTCCAAGTAGCAAAATTTTTCTCCAAATAAGAAATAGCCTCAGAGTAAAACTCAGTCCCAAGGTGTTTTCAGTAACACATGACATCAGGGTAGAGTTAACTTCAATAGAGCAATTACAGGACCCTTTATTGACACCTCAGAAACATTTATGGCAGGGCTGCAATCAGAAAAAGGCATCTGTGAATATGAAGGAGTATTATAAAGACTCTTTCAACTAGATAACAGGACTCCTAGGAATCTTAAGGCTGGGAACCCACGGTATCAAGACTCTAATCCTACAGTGAAGAGGAATCTATCTGACGAAAAATAAACTGTGGGGCTGACATTTGTCTAATGGTGTGAACCTCAATAAGACTGAATTAAAAGTCATAGAGGCAGTTCAGAATTTTTTTCAAAAGAGTCATTGGGGACTCAAACTTTTTCTAGGAGGAAGTAGGCTGAGAAAGATATTTAGCGGCAAACACAGGCGATTGCTAATGGAAAAGAAAGAAGTGTAGGGCACAAAGTCTGGTGCCTAGAAGGCAGAGCCAAGTGACATAGAGGCACATTATCTGGGGCAGGACTGGGCCCCAGTCAAGGAACTGGTGGCATGTGCTCAGTTAAACTTCAGAACTGCCATCGATGAGTGAGTGCTGTCTTTTACCAGAGCACAGTCTTTTTTAAAATTGTCTTTTTTTTTTTTTTGTCAGTTTCATAACCTTGTATCACCATTGTTATATTGAGCATTCAGTTGAGAAGATAACTTATTGTGTTACCGAGCAGGTAACTTGTCTCTTTGGTTCAAAATTCTTCTGTTAAAAAGAAACTAGTCTTGAGGAATTGCACCTGAGAAGTTGGACCCTCATTTCCCCTTGAACTTTATTTGAATGATGAATCCTAGACTTCAAACCGTAGTTGATTTTGCATGTGGGAGGAACATGAATACTGGTAGGCAGAGAGTACAGTGGTAGATAGTTTCCAAAAATAGTCACCATTGAGTCCTTTCTCTCTTTGCTCACATATGCTGTTTTTCGCACAATGAGGTGGGATCTAATTTCCTTCCTGCGAGTTTGAGCTCACCTTAGTGATTTGCTTGACCAATAGAATGTGGCAGAAGCAATATTCTCAAACATGTAAAACCAGATTATAAGAAGACTTGCCACTTTCACTTTAAATGCTTACTGTTGGGAAGCTTTCTCTTAGAACCCAGCTGCCACGCTATGAGAAGCCAAAGCTGTGCGTAGGCATTTCAGCTGAGCTCCCAGCCAACAGCTAATATCAACTCTCAGCCACAAGAGTGAGTCATCTTGGACTTCCAACCCAGCTGAATATTTAGATGATTCCAGTCCCAGACACAATCTGACTGTAATCAGATGAGAGATCCCAAGTGAGGAAAGCCAGTTAAGCTTTGTCAATACACAGAATAAAATATGATGATAAATGTTTTTAGCTACTAAGTTTTGAAGAGTTTTATGTGAAATAATAGGCGCCTGAAACAGCTGTTCAAAGGGCCAACCATATTTCTTTCGTTCTTTTCTTTCCTCCTTCCTTTTGCAAACAAAGGCAGGATGGCTAGAGTTGGAACAGTCATCTTAAGATCATAAAGAAAATACCAACGCGTTTTTAGAGACCTTGAGCCTGGATCCCCTGAGCTATAAAGATGTTAACAATAGCAACCACAAACTCCCTGAAATCAAGATATTAGAAAAACGCATCTCCTATTTGGTTTTTTGGTTACATGTAGCCACATAACCAAACTGATACTCCAGAGATAAAGTGAATACAAAAAATGATATTATACAGTCTTGTACTTTGGTAAACAGAGGCTTCTGGTTCAGCTCACAAGTTTTGTGGATAAAAAGAAAGAACTAGCCATATAATTACAAACACCTCAAAGCATGTAAAGTAAAAATAAAACTAGCTGCTCAATGGAAACCCAAACATTTTGATACTGAAGTAGAATATTTCTCAAAATTCCTTATAAAAGATATATGCTGTGATATAGTGTAAAACTTACTCATTAATGACACATTGAATATAACCTTATCTTTCACAGCTATGTATTTGATAATATCTCTGTTCAGCAGTGGCATAATGACAGATAGTTAAAAGAAATTCTACAAGAGGAAAACGATATAGTCAACTTGTACAGCTGTTGGCAGCCTGAATTAACTCATGGACAAAATTCAGAATAGAGAAATTGGTGACTAGTGATTTCTGCCACCAGTCTTTATAAAAAACTTGTGCTAGTGAGCTTTAGGTAAATGAATATAATAAAATCTTACAGTGAAAACATTACCTATTATTAAAGATGAACTCAAATGCTTAGATGGAGATAGAGTTAAAATTCTCTGGTGGAAATTGGAGAGCCTAATTAGTGTATGTGCCTGGATGGAAGGCCCCAATTCAATCTGGAAATTGGCTCAGATAGTACCCAGTAGAACAGTAAGGACTTTTCTCATAGGACATTTCTGTTTATTTCACCAAAAAAAAAAAAAAAAAAAAAAAAGACATGGCAAACTGAGATGTTAATTGTCTAGCCCATAGAACATAGGTCCAATAATTTTAACTTGAAAAAATTAATTAGGTATTGCTAATTTCCCTATTTGATTGTATGCATATATGAGCAAGGTGTTGCTTAGGGTATGGAAGGTGATGGAGATGCTAAGAGAAGATAGCATGACTTCTGGCTTGGACACTTGAATGAATGTTGGTGCCCTTCATTGAGATTGGTAACACAAAGTAAGGGTAGTTTGTGTAAGAATGATAATGACCATCAGTTTGATGTATCTCTGGGCCATCCATGTGGGGTGGAAGAGATATATAGATAGATATATAGATATATATAGATATATAGATATATAGATATATAGATATATAGATATATATAGATATATAGATATATATAGATATATAGATATATAGATATATATAGATATATAGATATATAGATATATATAGATATATAGATATATATAGATATATATAGATATATAGATATAGATATATAGATATATAGATATACAGATATATATAGATATATAGATATACAGATATATATAGATATATAGATATACAGATATATATAGATATATAGATATATATAGATATATAGATATATATAGATATATAGATATATAGATATATGTAGATATATAGATATATAGATATAGGTAGATATATAGATATATAGATATAGGTAGATATATAGATATATAGATATAGGTAGATATATAGATATATAGATATAGATAGATATATAGATCGATGTATGTGTGTGTATGTGTATATACATACATATGATTTGTATATAGAAGCTTGAAAATATGGGTTTTAAATATCAGATGAAAATCTAAGGAAATCCACATTTCTGATTAACCTGTTGTCCAAAACAGCATTAATGTTCCCCTCAGCTTGACTGAACTTTAGACAGGCTTCTATCTAACTTGTGGCCACTTATCTACTTTTTTGCTTTTTTTGAGTATACACCTTAGACAACATAATTATAAAATTACTATTTGCCCATTTCAGATGTAAATATTTTTTAAATCCTCTTGCCAAATTTAGAACCCCGGCATATTTTCCTCAAGGACCAAAAAGCCATCTTTTTGAAGTCTAAATAAATGTCAAGGAAGATAGCACCGACAGTTTCTATGATAGAGTTTATGACAGTTTATGACAGATGGTAGTTTTGCAACTTGGCTCCTACCTTCCTGAAGCCAAGTTGCAAAACCATTCTCTATCACAAAGATGTGAGAAGTTTAGTTTTCCATCGGGTAAAGCCAATTAGCAAACAAATACAGGTGCCCTAGGATTCTCCCCTGGTATCCTCCAGTATGTTTTGGCCAGGCACCCAGTGCTTAAAAAGCCATTCCTGCCTTTTGTTCCAGAGAAGATGAGTTTAGATTTAGTTCTGGGATCTCACCATTGCAACGGCCTTGAATAAAGTCTTCCTTGCCTGTTCAACTTTGGTGCGATGTTTTATTTGAAACTGCATTAATATCATAACTGAAGTAATGGGTGGTTATGACCAGGGAAAGATGTTAGTGTGAAGATGAGAAGATCTAGGAGAAACATAAGAGGCAAGGAGATGCATAAGTACAAAGAGATACAAACAAAGGGAGAAAGAGAAAAGAAACATACAAATAAAAAAGGAAGATATCAGAGAAGCCACGGAAAGATGCTGATTGTTTTTATAGGTTGTTTCACAGACTGTATTTTGGGAAAGGCTGTCTTAGATGGCATTAAAATTTACCCTTCAGTTAATATAAACTATTAAATAATTTTAAACACACAGGATTATTTTGCTTCTCTGAAATGAATTTTACTGGATTATATTGTAGTGTAAGTACATCTAGTGTAAGACATGCTAGTATATGTTAAAAGGCATTATAAGAAAGATGTGCACGATAGTTTTCTGAGGTTACTATAAATATATTGAGGAAAGTGTTCACTAATTTATACCATGGGATCTCCTTACATTACTCCTTGAGAACCTTGGAAAACAAATTTCCCTCTGGTTTCTGCACTGGCAATAACTGAACAGCTTTTGCCTCTCTCTTGAATGAAATTTATGGCACATTTTTAGCAACTTATATGATAGATTTGAGGCCATGAAATTATGCTGTGACCTTATTTTCCTACTTTTGTTTCTTTGTGCCCTAATATCCTCACCTCCTCAAATTGATTCTTTTTTATTTAACATGCGTTTATAAACAAACTTTTCATTTTTTTGGAAACAAATGGAGATTTTTCTATTAGCAAAAATAAATTTTCTGAACTTATTTAGCAGGCCATTTTACTACATTTTAGCTGTTTTCTTTGGGGCAAATTCTGCAATTTTTCTGAGCTTTAGTATCCTTATTTGCAAAAATAGGGATAATAGTCTCTCCCTCAAAGTTATTGTGAGGATTGAATGAATTAACAAATCTAAAACATTTATCATACTAGTATTCAATTAATCTTAACTATTAATTGTATGTGGAAAACAGTGGACTGTGGAAAAAGAAACAATGAAGATAAATAAGATTCAAAAAATAATGGAGCCAGAAATTAATATAAGGTACGGTCATCTCTGAACTCTGCTTTAGATCACAGTGTGATTATCTACACACTGACAGAAGTTTCCCATTTGGAGTTACAACAGAATCACTCATGGAGCTTTCTAACTGTTATAGATGTTTAGGCCACTTCTCATGGCAATATAATGTGGATTCTCAAGGGTTGGGCCAGTACACATATATTAAAAATATATATTTTCATAGGCTAGGGACCATCACATTTCCTATACAAGTTATCTTGCTCTTCAGCACTCCTATGAAAAGTCCCTTTTGTCCTGCTAACAGTTTTTTGGCTTTCAGGTCCTTAGATATAATTTTATACCAAAGACAGCAGAAAAGAGTTAAAGGAAAATAAACTGTACACAGCTATTCATTGTAGGTGCCCTTGTTAGGAATAATGTTCAGTGCCTTAACAGGCAACTAAATCAGAAGCAATAAGCAGCAGCCTCCTGTGGATGCAAGAAATAAAACTGATGAACCTACCCTTATCCAGAAAAGATGATTTTACCTGTAGAAAGTTAACATAATAAAAGTATGTGATATTTTAAAATAATTCACGTCTTGAAAATGGGATATTAAAGTTCATTAGAAAATACAAGTCAAATAACTGGGATGTTTACTTTTGGAGCTAACCTAGATTTGGTCTAAGAATAAAATAATTATCAGCAGAAATGACGCAGACTTTGTCTTTTCTGAAAGATTATACCTATTGATTTTACCTTAGGATTTAGGATTTGTTAAATCCATAGCTCTAGGTATATTGTACTGCAGATCTGACAAGCCAAGGACAGCTAATCAAAAGTCACATTTGTTGCTTGGAAACAGGTAAATCTGCAGACTTCCTGGACTCCCTGACTACACTGGGACTAGTCTACCTAAACATTAGCTTATTTATCCAACAGAAACTATTGGTCCATGAGAAGTTTCCTAGTACTGGGAAAATAGTGTTAAAAAAATTAGTCAGAGGGTCCAGTTAGAAGGTGGAAAGATACATTTCTTTATGAGGTTGCTGTAAGGGCACAAGCTATCCTATTACAAAACAACAAAAAACAAACAAAACCAAAAACAAACAACTGGAGTAGGGAGTCTCACTGTCTCCCAGGCTGGAGTGCAATGGCACGATCTCAGCTCACTGCAACCTGTCTCCTGGGTTCAAATGATTCTCCTGCCTCAGCCTCCCAAGTAGCTGGGATTGCAGGCACCCGCCACTATGCCTGGCTAATTTTTGTATTTTTAGTAGAGATGGGGTTTCACCATGTTAGTCAGGCTAGTCTTGAACTTTATATTTTAGGGAGGGAGCTTGAACCCTGCATGGATGAATAACAATATATTCGTTAAGAAAAATACATGAAACAAGGGAATAAGAACCAAAGTCTGGAGCTTAAACATGCTCATACTTCCGGCTTTGGAGACAAAGAATCAGAAAAAGTCAGCCCTCAGCGAAAGCTGCATGCTATGTCAAGAACTTTCTTCTGGTAAGGGAGTGAGAAGAATCCGAGGATGAAATGAACTTCCACTCCATTTTAGGCAAATAATAATACGTACAGGCCCAGGTTGACCTAAAAAGAACCCTGGCAGATTAAGAGAAGTAACTATCAGAGTTGTTTTGCTTACTTTGCTTCAAAAAGCCTATTTAAGAAAAAACACCTGAGTAATTTCAACATATTCCTGGTATATCACCAGGCATGGGTACTGGCATGGGTACTGAAGGAACCTGTATAATAAGAATGAAGAGAAGTGCAAATAAAACCACATATACTAGAATCTGATGCAAAAATAGAGCCAGAACACCTGGCTATAGGTCCTATACTGTGGATCTACAATGAGATCTTTTGACGGGAGATGCAGCAGCCATAGTTTCTTACCAGCCAGACATAGAAGTTTTAGAGACAGTTCCTCCCTAAATTTCCTCTCATCTACTTTTACCTCCTGCCATATAACAGGTGACTGACATAGACAGGCAAAATATGTTAAAGACGATGAATTTAAAATATTCAATTTCTAATGTTAAGAAATGGTGAGAATTAATGGAAATAACATCCATCTTAGCAAATCAAGCATAAATTGGTGTTGAGAATACTTTTTGCTTGATTCTTCAAAGGCACAGAATATAAAACTGTTTATTTAAAAAATCCTTGAAAATGATGGGATGGCCAGAGGGGTATTTAGGGAAATAATTAGTCTAACTGCCCATTTTTATGGAATGGATCATTTCACTGTCTTCATCCCTTCATTTATTTCCTTATAAGCTATTTTTCACCTCCCAACTTAAGAGAAAACAATCTTTTCTTTATTGCTTCACTTAATGGAAGTGGTTAGAGAATTAAAAAAAATAGAAAAGTAAATAAGGTAAAAATGATAAAACTATAATGAGTAAATTAAAATGAATATAATTCAAACTAAAGTACCAAAGAAAAACATTAAAAAAAGACATAGAGGATAGGTGATTAAGGGCAATGGGCTGTATCCTTGGTAAAATAATGAAACTCAAACACCAGCTAGAATCTGATGAGGTGCAGGCAGCCCAAGGGTTTGTTTTCATAGCAGTGGGTATCCACCTAATAATTAAGAGAAGGTGGGCAGAAAGAAGTTACTTGATTTTCTAGCTCCACACAGTGGGTTGGACAGAAGCTTCAAGCATAAAAAAACACCTGTAAGTTACTCCAAAACCTATTCTTTCTTCCCACTTATTCTCCTCCTGCGCTATAGACTCAACTGTACCAGCTCTACTGATCTCTAATTCCTAGGTTTGGCTAATACCAATAATACCACTAAAAGGAGGTACCAAATGGGAAAGGAGAATAACAACATGTTTTTATTACATCTAAGGTATCACCAGTTAATTTTAAATGTACATATAGAGTTTTAGGGTTTTAGGTAAAAATCCTAACAATTTCATCAGCATGCTTGTTACGTATCTAATGAAGCTAAAATTCAGCATATCAGCTTTGTAGGTGATTTTGTAGATGTATTATTGAGCACTTTAATAAAAGTGTGGCTTATTATAATAATTATAACTAGATTTGCAGTATATGAATGACTATATGAAAATAATAATGGAAATAATAAAGGAATTTTTAATAAACATGACAAAATTTCCATGTCCAGTTGAAGGATATCCTTTTCGAAGTAGTCATCTAGAGAAATTGTATATTTCTAATTAAGTTGGTGCCAGTGCTGAAAACATTTTGGTAACATCCTCTTTAAAAGCAACTTGGAGACCATTTATGAAAATGATCCTTACTTTAAGTTGCCTTAATTATCAGAATTTTTTTTTTTTTTTTGAGACAGTCTCACTCTATCACCCAGGCTGGAGTGCAGTGGCACAATCTTGGCTTACTGCAACCTCTGTCTCCCAGGTTCAAGCGATTCTCCTGCCTCAGCCTCCCAAGTAGCTGGGACTACAGGCGCACATCACCACTCCCAGCTAATTTTTATATTTTTAGTAAAGACAGGGTTTCACCATGTTGGCCAGGATGGTCTCAATCTCTTGATCTCGTGATCTGCCCACCTCGGCCTCCCAAAGTGCTGGGATTACAGGAGTTAGCAACTGCGCCCAGCCACTTATCAGAATTCTTATTCTTTGATTCTTACTTCTAATGAGTGTTAATGAAAAAGCTAGCTTATAAATGACAGCAGTTATTAAATAAATTATTATTTCCAAGATACTACAGTATATGATTTTTTCCATGTCATAAAATATAAGGTATGGGGCCAAATTTAATCCAAATATGTGTTCTGTGCTAATAACATTTTTTTTTTTTTTGAGACGGAGTCTCGCTCTGTCGCCCAGGCTGGAGTGCAGTGGCGCCATCTCGGCTCACTGCAAGCTCCGCCTCCCGGGTTCACGCCATTCTCCTGCCTCAGCCTCCCGAGTAGCTGGGACTACAGGCGCCCGCTACCACGCCCGGCTAATTTTTTGTATTTTTAGTAGAGACGGGGTTTCACCGTGTTAGCCAGGATGGTCTCGATCTCCTGACCTCGTGATCCGCCCGCCTCGGCCTCCCAAAGTGCTGGGATTACAGGCGTGAGCCACCGCGCCCGGCCGCTAATAACATTTTAAATTAGGGATATTTCATACACAATATCTGTAGGTTTGGCTTCTCTTGGAAAGTAAAAACTAAGAGCTAACAACACAGGCAAGGACTTTCTCATGGTAACTATTAGTGGGATCTGAAGAGAGGCCGATTCCTTTAGAAGAACAAATACCTTCCACTTTAGTCTCTGCTCACACAATATATATATATATATATATATATATATACACTGACATCATGGTGACTTGATTCACTATGGAAAGCCAGTTGGCATATAGGTAAAAATAAGTTTGCATTGTGGATAGCCAAATACTCCAATTTACTTCCTTGCGAAAGAATTATCTATCCTTGCCTTGTAGAACTTGGGTGCAGCCTTATGGTTTGTTTTGGCCAATAAAATGTAGGTGAAATTGAAATTTATCACCTTGAGGCAAAAGCTAATGAACTAGCATGCAGTGCATTATATCTGGATGCTTAGATATGAGACAACATTTGGGGCAGAGGTTTTCACATCATCTTTGGTCCTGGAGAAAAGACTACAAAGAGCAGAATCATAGTTCATAACAAACATGTAGCAGAAGTGAAAAATAAATCCTTGTTGCAACCCACTGTGATTTGGAACCATATGTTAACTCTCTCTGACCTAGCCAATCCTGACTTACATGCACATTTAAATTACGTCCCTGGTCTCAGTAAGCAACTGAGTTCATGACCCATGCTTTTCCTATAAGTTCTCCTCTAACTTCTAGAATGTGAAAAATTGAATCTCAGTGAGGTTAAATAATTTGTTCAGAGATCGTGAAGTCAGTCTCTGAATATAGATCTGACTCCAAAGTCTATGTGTTTAATTCCTCAATCCCCTGTTCCATAACACAATGAAGTATTTGAACTATGCCATTATTGCCATTTCTACATCTTACTATACAGTAAAGATATTAAATGGCTGTAAAATTCACAGATTTCTGAAATATCTAATCAAAGCAGATATGTTACATAGTAGTTGCTAAAATAGAATAACATTTTGATAGATTTTCCGACAAATTACAAATACATATATTAATTTTTAATTCTATAGTCTTATGTTTATTTTATAAACACATAATTTGGACCACTTTAAGAGAATTTAAAATCATATTTATTGTTTTGCAAACAATAACTTAGACATTTCTTAATATTTTAAAAACCCCAACACAAAGTAATAAATTTGGCTTCTTTTCCCCACAAAAATGGGAAATACCTTTCAGTAAAGGAAATTTTAAATTATTTTTACACACCAGTTGGTTGTTGGAATTTATAGCTCTTTAACATATGACATCAGCAAAAATAATTAGCATTAACTGATTAATACATAAAACAATTTACAATCATATGGTAAGCAGGAAACAAAAACCGATCAGAAAACACCGTTTTATAGTAATTTTCAAACAGATAAATTATTACAGTATACTTTATCCCCAACATCTCTGAGCCCATTAACAGAGTACTTCTATACATATAAAGATATAATAAAAGGATACGGTATTTATTGCAACAGCAAATTAAAGGTTGTTAAAATATATGTAACTTAAATACCCCCCCAACATTGATATAGTGGCTTCTTATTCCTTAAACATAGAAATTCCACTCTTCATTGTAGAAAGATAAAGTTCTTTCATCAAAAGGCACATTCTTATCTGCAAGAAAAAGAAAAAAATACCATAAATATCCTTTCTAGAACAATTTTAAAAACATTTAAAACTATTCAGAAAGATTTGGAGGGGAAGGAAGAATATAATAAAAGTACTTAGTCTTAAAAATTATTAAAAAGAACACCAATAACACATGCTTATTTTGTCTAAATTATTTCAGAAATTATCTATTAAACAGAAATTCTAACTATTTAAAGGAATTTTATATTTAACTACTGTGAGTAAAGACTAGGTTATATTCATAATAAAGTTTATCCTCATATAATATTCATAAATGACTTTAGTTGACTTGAGTATACAATACAGTTGACTGTTGAATGACATGGGTTTGAACTGCATAGTACCACTTATGTGCAGATTTTTTTCAATAAATATATTCTAAAGTTTTTTTGAGATCTGAGACAATTTGAAAAATATTACAATGAACTACATAGTTTAGAAATATCAAAAAAGGCCGGGCGTGATGGCTCACAACTGTAATCCCAGCACTTTGGGAGGCCAAGGCAGGCAGATCACTTGAGGTAAGGAGTTTAACACCAGCCTGGCCAACATGGTGAAAGCCCATCTCTACTAAAAATACAAAAATTAGCCAGGTGTGATGGCGCACTCCTGTAATCCCAGCTACTCAGGAGGCTGAGGCAGGAGAATCACTTGAACTCGGGAGGCGGAGGCTGCAGTTAGCAGAGATTGTGCCACCGTATTCCAGCCTGGGCAACAGAGCAGGACTCTGTCTCAAATAAAGAAAATGAAATATTAAAAATTTAAGAAAAAAGTATGCCATGAATGGATAAAATAAATGTAGATGCTGATTTATTTTATCATTTATGATCCTAACATATATACAAATCTACTATGTTAAAATTTATCAAAACTTATGCACATAAGCACAGACTATACATGGTGCTATTTGCAGTCGAGAGATATGTAAGTAAATATAAAGATGTAGTATTAAATCATAACTGTAGAAAATTAACTATAGTACATAGTGTACTACTGTAGTAATTTCACAGTCCCCTCTAGTTATTATTATGGTGAGCTCAAGCGTTGTTGGTATTTATTTAAAATACCACGTGACACTAATCATCTCCACATGGGCAATTCGTATCTCCAGTAAATTGTGTATTGCAGTAAAAGTGATCTCTCATGATTCTCGCATAGTTTCTACTGCATTTAGTGCAATATCATAAACCTTGAATAACATGATGACACCCATACAAAATGCCACTATTGATGATGGAATTGCTTTTGCTGGAAGCAGAAAAAAGTCATGACATTACAAAAAAAAAAAGAAGTTGGATTGCTTGATATGTATTGTAGATGGAGATCTGCAGCAGGGGTTGCCTGCCATTTCCAGAATAATGAATCCAGCCTAAGGACCACTGTAACAAAGGAAAAAAAAATGTGAAACTGTCACTGCAGCTTCATTAGCAAGCACAGCATCTTTGCATTTTTTTTGAAATAACTTTTTTATCTCATATTGAAAATTAAGCTTTTGTGTGGTTGCATGATTGCTGTAAGAAATGCAAACCTACAGACTCTAACATGATTTGAGAAAAAGCAAAATCATTGTATTATAATCTAAAGCAACAGGAAGGTGGAAGATCTAAAGCTGGAAAATTTAATGCCAACAAAAGATGGTTTAATAATTTCAGAAAGAGGTTTGGCTTAAAAAAATTGTCAAGCTAAAAGGAGAAGCAGCTTCTGTTGACCAAGAGGCAACAGACCAGAGTCCCCAGAAACCACTGAGAAAATCATTGAGGAGAAAAGACATCTGCCTAAACAGTTTTTAATACAGATTAAAGTGCCCTGTTCTGGAAAAAAAAGCCACAAATGACACTTATTAATACGGAAGAGAAGTGAGCAGTATGATTTAAGACTGAAAGGATAGGCTAACAGTACTGTTTCATGCAAATGCAGTAGAGTTTCTCATTAGGATTGCCCTTACATACAAAGCTGCTAACCACCAAACCTTGAAGGGAAAAGACAAACACCAGCTGCCAGTCTTTTAGTTGTACAAGAAGAAGGCCTGGACACTGAAAACTCTTTTTCTGGACTGGTTCCACTGATGCTTTGTCCCTGAAGTCCAGAAGTACATTGCTAGTAGGGGACTGACTTTTAAAGTTCTTTTGATTTTGGACAATGGCCTGGGCCACAAAGAACCCCAGGAATTCAACACTGAAGGCATTGAAGTGGTCTACTGGCCTCCAAATACAATGTTTCTAATTCAGCTTTGAGATAAGGGGGCCATAAGGATGCTTAGGCTTATTACACCCAGTACGCTATGGAAAGGTTTATTCAACACTATGGAAGAGATCCCAATAGAGAGAACGTCATGAAAGTCTAGAAGGAATATACCATTGAAGATGCTGCTATTTTATTGAAAAAGACTTGAGAGCCATCAAGTGCAAAACAGTAAGTTCTGCTGGAGGAAACTGTTTCAAGATGTTGCACATGACTTCACAGGATTTACAATAGAGCCAATCAAGGAAATCATGAAAGAAACTGTGGATATTGCAAAAAAAAAAAATCGGTAATAAAAGATGTCAAGATGAGGATCTTGGAGTAATTCAAGAGCTAACTGACATTACAATGGAACAATGAACAGAAAATGACTTGATGGAGATGAGTGCTTCTGAACCAGTGCCACATGATAAGGAAGAAGATGTAGAAGAAGCTGTACCAGAAAACAAATTGGCAGTAGTCAATGTGGCAGAAGAATTCCAATTATTCAAGACTGCTTTCAACTTCTTTTATGACATGGACCTTTCTATGATATGGACACTAAAACTAAAGCAAGCTGTGGAAGAAGAATTGGTACCAATAGAAACAGTTTTAGAGAAATCAAAAGGCAAAAATCTCAGATGTGTTTCTGTAAAGTTACACCAAGTGTGCCTGCCTCCCCTTCCACCTGCTTCAACTCTTCTGCCTCTACCACCCCTGAGACAGCAAGATCGGCCCCTCCTTCCTCCTTCTCTTCAGCCTACTCAACGTGAAGACAAGGATGAAGACCTTTATGAGATCTACTTTCACTTAATGAACAGTAAATATATTTTCTCTTCCTTATGATTTTCTTAGTAACATTTTCTTTTCTTTAGCATGCTTTGTTGTAAGAATAGAGTATATAATACATATAACATACAAAATACATGTTAATTGACTGTTCATGATATTAGTAAGTCTTCCAGTTAACAGCAGGTTATTAGTAGTTAAGTTTTTGGGGAGTCCAAAAATTACACGTGGATTTTTGACTGTGTAGTTGGTGCCCCTAGCCCCCATGTTATTCAAGAGCCAACAACAGTTATTCATTTCTATGGTTCCTATAAATACAGTTATTTGTTCCTATTTCTAACCTTCAGAAATGAGGATTACTAAAGCTACAAGCTACTAGGTATAATCTATAAAACAATCAATGCTTTGGAAATTTATAATACGGTAACAAAAATTATCCATACTAAAGACAAGATTTCCAATAAACACTACAATGGGGCAAGTTTGCCCATTTACTCTCTTATTGCCTAACTAGTTTATTATAATATAAAACTATATTTTGACATACAAATTTTTATAGATTTTAATTCTAATTATACAACTTTACTACTACTTAATTTAAATCCTGCCTTCCAAAAATATTTCTGCTAGTAAGAGCCATCGTAATGAAAAGCATTTGATCAAACCAAATTAAAAAAAAAAACAAAATGTGCATATTTTACAAACTTAATAAATCTTCCTTTATAATCATCAATAACATTTAGAACTTCATTGGAAAAACATCTGAAAATGAATAATGCTCTTTTTCATCTTATCTGAATCTTTAGTCAGCAGTCTGTAATAGTTCTCTAAATGATTAGTATAAGATAATGAGGTTCTAATATATTTTTACTTTGAAAGTAAATTTAATCCTTTAAAAAATATACTGAAGGTTATTAAAAAAAAACATGTAACACTTAGAATTCTTTTGTACAGCCCTTGTCCTTTTAACGCTTGAAACCCATGATAATACTGATAATGAATTTGTAGACTATGAAAAAAAGTCAATCTGTAAAATCAAAATTGCAGTTTCATAAACTAGGAGAACACAAAATTACTAGAACCTAATCCAAATTCTATCACTAAATAGCCTTTTGAACTTGACTATATATGAGACCCTGAGGAATATCTAAAAGATTTTTTTCAAATAGAAAATTACCTACCACATAAAGAGTCTCTTAAGATATGGTTTCAGAAAGGCGTTTTGAGACTCGTAATTAACCTCAAAACATATGCAAATTAGCATAACTATTATGATCTAGCAATCATATTACATTGTGCCCAACATTTCCTTGAACCTGTTTATATTTATAAGACTGTATGACCAGCTCTCTCATTTAGAGTATTTCATTCCTTGAGTGGGAATTTCCTCAGAATTCTATTCTGGATGTTTTCATGCTGTTCAGGGGCTACTGTAGGAACCACCACTCCCCACTCCCTCCCTGGCATGACTCAACCACGACCAAATGTAATATTGAAGAAGGCATTCTTATTTATATGCCCAATTGGAATTATTTTTAACTTATCAAGAATTAAGCCAATTCTCTTCCAGCCTTAAGCATGGTCTTCCAGCCTTAAGCGAGGTCTTGAATTCCAGACCTCAAGTGATCCGCCCACCTTGGCCTCCCAAAGTGTTGGGATCACAGGCATGAGCCACCATGCTGGGCCTTCATAGGCTCTTATTTGATTAACTTATATCTTTAAAAAAATAACTTTAACTCAATTGCCACCTACTCAGTGAAATCCATGTTGCTATCCCTCAGTTGCTCTTTCTCAGGAATTCCACAGCAGTCTGAAAAAAGTGGAGAATCAATATGGTATGAGAAAAGTAGCTAAGGATTCCTACTCTCTGGAGAGGTGATATAGAAGTTGTAGAAGGTAGACTGGTTGACTCAAAAAAAATGCCGCAGGCCTTGTGCAGTGGCTCACGCCTGTAATCCCTGCACTTTGGGAGGCCCGGGTGAGTGAATCACCTGCAGTCAGGAGTTCGAGACCAGCCTGGCCAACATGGTGAAACCCCGCCTCTACTAAAAATACAGAAAATTAGCCTGGCATGGTGGCAGGCACCTGTAATCCCAGCTACTTGGGAGGCTGAAGCAGAAGAATCGCTTGAACCCGGGAGGCAGAGGTTGCAGTGAGCTGAGATCACGCCATTGTAGTCCAGCCTGGGCAACGAGAGCCAAAATCTATCTCAAAACAAACAAACAAACAACAAAAACAAACAAACAAACAAACTCTGCAACAGAACCAGGAGTACACGGTATAATCTTAGTGGGTCTGTTAACAGGACGCTCTTTTGGCAAGAATGGCAGGGATAGAGGCTGTGCTCCAAAACCAAGCAGGACAAGCTATCCCTCAGCTGTGGCCAGCAAAGATAGAAGACTGCAAGTGTGATGGTTAATACTGAGTGTCAACTTGATTGGACTGAAGGATACAAAGTATTGATCCTGGGTATGTCTGTAAGGGTGCTACCAAAGGAGATTAACATTTGAGTCAGTGGACTCAGAGCGGCAGATCCACTCTTAATCTGGGGTGGCACAATCTAATCAGCGCCAGCATGGCTAGAATATACGCGGCAGAAAAATGTGAGAGACTGGCCTAGCCTCCCAGCCTACATCTTTCTCCTGTGCTGGATGCTTCCTGTCGTCGAATATCGGACTCCAAGTTCTTCAGTTTTGGAACTCGGACCTGCTTTCCTTGCTCCTCAGCCTGCACATGGCTTATTGTGGGACCTTGTGATCGTGTGAGTTAATACTTAGTAAATTCCCATACATATATATTCCATTAGTTTTGTCCCTCTAGAGAACCCTAATACAGCAAGTATGACCTTTCCTATGAACGGTACTATATTTCAGAGTTTATAAGACACACATTTTTCACATTTTAACATCTCTGAACTTCAGATGCATCTTTCAATTGATGGCATCTTACAGTAGCTGTCAGACAGGGGCAATTCTTACATAGTTGCCATTGGCTGTATTTGTGGATCAAAGCTCTTTGCATTGTTGTCACTTTGAGTGAATTATATGCATTTTTGGTGTTATAAGGATGAATTTAATGAGGTTTAAAATACCTTCAAAAAGTTTATTTCATGAATCACCACTGAAGCGAATTTTTTTGTGTGTAGAAATACATAAAAGAGAATAGTAAACTATAATTAATATCAGTGAAGCAAATATTTAGCACTAAATGATGACATGAATCCCATACATGCTTGCCAAAAACAAATATCTCTTAAGATGGAAAGATACCCTGGATAAATGAAAACTCTGCTAGTTTCTGTTTTGAGAAACTATTATACACCAAGCAATACAACTGCAAACATAAATTGCCAAATTCTTCAGAAAGAAAGCACAGTGAAAAAGTACTAAGAGGCTAGTGTGCACAATTCTTGTATAATTTAAAAATATCATGGCCAGGCACAGTGGCTCACGCCTGTAATCCCAGCACTTTGGGTGACTGAGGTGGGTAGATTACCTGAGGTCAGGAATTCAGGACCAGCCTGATCAACATTGTGAAACCCCATCTCTACTAAAAAATACAAAAATTAGCTGGGTGTGGCGGCGGGCATCTGTAATCCCAGCTACATGAGAGGCTGAGACAGGAGAATTGCTTGAACCTGGAAGCGGGAGGCTGCAGCGAGACGAGATCGTGCCATCGCACTCCAGCCTGGGTGACAAGACCGAAACTCCATCTTAATTAAAAAAAAAAAATCGCTACATAATTTCACAATTTAACTGACAGCTATTTCTTTTCTTTCTTAATGATCTGCTTAAAATTAATGGTGTCTTAGATTAACTGAATAATGAAGTGTGTCTCCACAGAACTTGGATCAATTTGAAGTGAAGAGAGAGGAGAAAAAAGGGGTAGAATCTTTATCAGGATGATATTTACATCCTGAATTGACAAAATTTAAGCTGAAAACAACTGAACTAACTGGAATTTTCAGTTTTCCACCATTATAATATAAAATAAAGAAAAACTAAGAATGTTATATTCTTGCTCAATCACATTATATGGCAGTGACATGGATTACCAGTACACATAAATCTATTTCAAATATATAGTTTCACATGAAAACAAACATAAGTAACCACAACATTTAATGCCTTGATGGCTTTCAACATATTTGAAATAGGTATGCAATACATGGGCTACGCATGCTGCTAAGCTTCATAAATACAAATATTGAAATAGGTATGCAGCACATTGGGCTATGCATGCTGCTAAGCTTAATAGGTACAAATATTGAAATAGGTATGCAACACATTGGGCTATGCATGCTGCTAAGCTTAACAGGTACAAATATTGAAATAGGTATGCAACACATTGGGCTATGCATGCTGCTAAGCTTAATAGGTAAAAATATTTTTAAAATTACATTCATTCTTTTAATCACCAAACATGTGTTGAGTTTTTATTAACTGTGAGGAATATCGCTTGGTACTGAATGGGATGATGGTGATCAAAAAAATAGAGAAAAAATATTAAAAAAAGAAAAACAATATCCTTCTTTATTAGTGCAAAACTACAAATAAAGCTTGGAAATATTTCAGAAGGACAAAAAACCTTGGCCTAGAAGGGAAGCCTGAATTCTAGTGTCATCCTGATCAATTATTTGCTGGATGTTCTTAAGTTTTTTGGATTTTTGTTGTTGTTTTGGATAAAATAAATAGCTTTCAATTAAGACTAAGGATTGTCTTTTTAGGGTAGTCTACAAGATTAAAACAGGCAATTACAGAGACCAAAAACTGAGAAAGATTTTAGAAGTGCAGTCCAACTATATTATTTGGCAGGCAAATTGGTAATGAGGAGGAATCAAGATTCAAGAGATTGGTCTAAGGGCATTCAGTCAATAACAGAAGCTCAAGAAGCACTTCAGTCTATATGATTATGTCCTGTTGCTCCTTATTTTATTATAATACTTCTCAGTTCTGGAGGGTTTAGTCATTGAAATCTGAAGATTAGATCCTATGTAAAATGCTCAGTTTTCTATCATTTACAGAATTTCCACGGTACTAAAAATAAAAATGCTACTCTGGTTATAGCAATGGATTCCTATTTCTTCTACAAACAAACAGACTATAAAATAATAAACAACCAAGACATTCTATTAGTATGCGCTATGCTGTATCCTACACACTTATTGTCCTGGATACCTCTTCTTTCTCTATGAAACTGCTATTCATAAATAATAATGCCTTAGAATCCATGCCTTCATTCAGTGACTCCAATCCCAAATATTTCTTTTTCATCAATAGCCAAATTTAATCTTCAGAAAAATTTTGGAAAAAATTATATAAAAGTTCCTTTTTGCTACCTGTTTAATGACAAACACAGCAAAGTTCCCTTTAAGAGAAAAAATTAAGTAGGAACTATCCTACTACCAACATACCAGTGAACAAACTAAATAGAAATTTCTAAAGTAAATATTAGTACTTTAATACAATCTTATATTCTATTTACTTTGACTAAGGTTAGTGTTTATTCTGATACTATGTTATACCCAACAATTAAGACAGTGTTTTAGAAATTAGAACTACAGTATTTTCAAATTGATAACTGTTTGAATAAGATATTCTTAACGAGGATTTCTCACTAAATACTTATATTGAATCTGCAATCTGATTCTGATATACTGATGTTAATAACCAGGAAATATTTTATGGCCAAGTATCGCATTGAGCACAAAATGTAATCAACACATATAACACAATAGTATATTTAATGAAGCATAACAGCAGTAGCCAAAAAGCAAATTTAGGGCTTTTTAAGTTACATATTTGGCAGAAATTACTAAAGTAGCCTGAAATGACAGCAATATTAGCTTTTAGAATCTGTTACCAAGATTGTCAAAATGTCCTCTAGTTTATATCATTATAAAATTATTATTTAAATGATTTTAAAATAATTTTAAAACTTAATTATTTTTATTATGGATACATAATAGTTTTACATATTTATAAGGTACTTGTGATATCTTGATACAAGCATACAATGTGTAATAATCAAATCAGGGTAATTTAAAAATAATTTTACTAAATCAAACAAAATAGCAAGAAGGTATTGTTTCCATTTGTTGATTCATGCTGTAAAGCATTCTTTTAAACTTGTGTTTCTTGAGACTGCTTATGAGAATTTGTCTCCATTTTGCTTCGAGAAAAGCGAGAGTAATTTTTAGTCAGCATATGCGGCCTCTGACTCCTCATCAGTTTTTCTTTCTGGAAAAGCTGAAAATTCTACCAACAGTCCAAGAACTGAGATTTGTTTTTCAGTTTTATAATTCCTTTGTGCAAAATGATTTAGCAACTAAACAAAAAAATTGCCTCTAACTAACAAAATTAGGATAACAATAGCAAATTCAAGAAAAGTTATATTAAGCAGCACAAACTATTTTTTTTCCCAGAAACCTACAATTTTTCCCCATTTGACTGTATTGAACTTCAATGGTTAACATACAAGACACAGTTGGTGGAACGGTGGTTAGCTACTCAATATCCATTCCACCTCAACTGGTAAGTCTGAACTAATCATGGTACTTCCATTTTCCTCCCCATGTCTTAGTTTATGAATGATCTCATAATCTAATCCTGGACAATGATGTGAAAAAAATAAAAATAAGAAACAACTGTGTTGGAGGACTTTAGGGAAACCTTTCTCATTCTTAAGAAAGAGACATAAAAGAGTGTGGCCCTAACTTCCAGTTAAAGTTACCATCTGGTTGCAATTATAGGAACTGCTAGTATGATCCTCTTATCAACCTAAGAATAAAAACAACACAGGACAATGAGCGGAACCAAGGGAATCACAGAGGAGAGGAGCAAGACCCTTGAGGTACTGTGCCTGGTGAGGCCCCTATCTGTGACATTCTGTTACATGAAAAAAAACACTTCCTTTAGGAAATTTATATTAAACCATATATTGGTATTTTCATATGGCTCAATTTAATATAAAGAAACAGAAAAAATAATTACTCTACATCTTAATGACCAATAACAATCATTGTTAATAGTTTGATGTATTTAAGGCCACATTAAAAAACACCACTCTCAGAAAGAGCTGACTACAAAAAGCTAGTTTCATAAAATTGTAAGCAAGGAAATTCATTTGCCTCTCTGGAAATGACTTGCTTCCTGTTATTCTGTGGATAGAATTTGGAAAATGAAGAGGGACTAATTTTAAAAACAGTTAAACAAGAAGACAGCACCAGTAAGGGATGATCTCACAAGAATTATTATAAGTTATACTGTAGACTGTTCATATCCTTTGCCCACTTTTTGATGGGGTTGTTTGGTTTTTTCTTGTAAATTTGTTTGAGTTCTTTGTAGATTCTAGATATTAGCCTTTTGTCAGATGAGTAGATTGCAAAAATTTTCTCCCATTCTGTAGGTTCCCTGTTCACTCTGATGGTAGTTTCTTTTGCTGTGCAGAAGCTCTTTAATTTAATTAGATACCATTTGTCAATTTTGGCTTTTGTTGCCATTGCTTTTGGTGTTTTCGACATGAAGTCCTTGCCCATGCCTATGTCCTGAATGGTATTGCCTAGGTTTTCTTCTAGGGTTTTTATGGTTTTAGGGACATGGATGAAGCTGGAAACCATCATTCTCAGCAAACTATAGCAAGGACAAAAAACCAAACACCGCATGTTCTCACTCATAGGTGGGAATTGAACAATGAGAACACTTGGACACAGGAAGAGGAACATCACACACTGGGGCCTGTTATGCGGTGGGGGGAGAGACGAGGGATAGCATTAGGAGATATACCTAATGTAAATGATGAGTTAATGGGTGCAGCACACCAACACGGCATATGTATACATATGTAACAAACCTGCACATTGTGCACATGTACCCTAGAACTCAAAGTATAATAAAATATATATATATATAAAAGTTATACTGTAGACTAATTATATTCTGTACTGCAATTGAAAAGGCAGACAAATCATTCTACTTATATGCTTTATTTTGGGAGTCTGTATTTGAAAAATTAACAGTAATACAAGTGGTAGTATAGAAGACAGAAGGAACAGAATTTAGAATTATCCTCTTTAGGTATAAATCAAATAAATATTAAACAAAAGGAATGAGATTAATTGCAGGATATTGCAGACAAAGTCATTTGAACTAAGCCTCAGTTTTCTTATCTTTCAAATGAGAACAATAGGAACTACTCTGCAAGAAATGTTTTTAGTGATTTCATAGTGAATTTGGATCCTAACATAGTCTCTAATACGTCCTGCAGTAAGGGTGTGTTTTATTAACAAGCAGCTGTCACAATCACTCCTACTGTAGTTCTGTTACTTCACTCTGTCCAGGCCAGAAATAAAAATTCCCTTTTATGAAAAACTGCACCATTTACTTAGATATTCTTTTCTGCTCTGGCTTTTAGTTATTTGAATATTATCCCCGCCCCCTCCTCCCTGGTAGAATATAGGTTCTTTGCTAATTTTTATTCAATAAGAGTCAAATTTGGGTGAAGAATTATAACAAGAGAGAAGTAAATAGGAATAGAAGTAAAGCCAAAAGCTTTATTGCTAAACAAGTTAAGATAGCTGAAATAGGACTTAGTAACTTCAAATAAAATATTTACTCCAAGAATGAAAGCTGGACCAAGTCATCAGTTTAAAAATAACATTTTAAGTTTGAGGCCCGGTGCAGTGGCTCACATCTGTAATCCCAGCACTTTGGAAGGTCGAGGCGGGTGGATCACCTGAGCCCAGGAGTTTGAGACCAGCCTGGCCAACAAGGTAAAACCCTGTCTCTACTAAAAATACAAAAATCAGCCAGGCTTGGTGGGCACATCTGTAATCCCAGCTACTGGGAAGGCTGAGGCATGAGAATCACTTGAACCTGGGAGAAAGAGGTTGCAGTGAGCCGAGATAGTGCCACTGCACTCCAGCTTGGGTGACAGAGCAAGATTCCATCTCAAAAAAATAAAAAAAATAAAAATAAATTATAAGTTTGGAAATCTGCGGAACTGTATGCTTCTTTGTCCTTTAGAATCCAATTCAGTGGTACATTGTGCTCACATATACAGTTCATTAATCAAATAAAAATAATGATTGGTTTATACATGACTGTCTTAACCATGTAGTTAGGATGTTTTCAGAGAGTTTAAAACAGGTTCAAGTGCTGTTTTATTAGGAAATGTCACATTCTATTAAGAAAAAAAAACCCTCAGGTTTGTCAAAGATCAGATAGTTGTAGATATGCGGTGTTATTTCTGAGGGCTCTGTTCTGTTCCATTGATCTATATCTCTGTTTTGGTACCAGTACCATGCTGTTTTGGTTACTGTAGCCTTGTAGTATAGTTTGAAGTCAGGTAGTGTGATGCCTCCAGCTTTGTTCTTTTGGCTTAGGATTGACTTGGCGATGTGGGCTCTTTTTTGGTTCCATATGAACTTTAAAGTAGTTTTTTCCAGTTCTGTGAAGAAAGTCATTGATAGCTTGATGGGGATGGCATTGAATCTGTAAATTACCTTGGGCAGTATGGCCATTTTCACGATATTGATTCTTCCTACCCTTGAGCATGGAATGTTCTTCCATTTGTTTGTATCCTCTTTTATTTCCTTGAGCAGTGGTTTGTAGTTCTCCTTGAAGAGGTCCTTCACATCCCTTGTAAGTTGTATTCCTAGGTATTTTATTCTCTAAAACTGGCTAGCCATATGTAGAAAGCTGAAACTGGATCCCTTCCTTACACCTTATACAAAAATCAATTCAAGATGGATTAAAGACTTAAACGTTAGACCTAAAACCATAAAAACCCTAGAAGAAAACCTGGGCATTACCATTCAGGACATAGGCATGGGCAAGGACTTCATGTCTAAAACACCAAAAGCAATGGCAACAAAAGACAAAATTGACAAATGGGATCTAATTAAACTAAAGAGCTTCTGCACAGCAAAAGAAACTACCATCAGAGTGAACAGGCAACCTACAAAATGGGAGAAAATTTTCGCAACCTACTCAACTGACAAAGGGCTAATATCCAGAATCTACAATGAACTCAAACAAATTTACAAGAAAAAAACAAATAACCCCATCAAAAAGTGGGCAAAGGACATGAACAGACACTTCTCAAAAGAAGACATTTATGCAGCCAAAAAACACATGAAAAAATGCTTATCATCACTGGCCATCAGAGAAATGCAAATCAAAACCACAATGAGATACCAGCTCACACCAGTTAGAATGGCAATCATTCAAAAGTCAGGAAACAACAGGTGCTGGAGAGGATGTGGAGAAATAGGAACACTTTTACACTGTTGGTGGGACTGTAAACTAGTTCAACCATTGTGGAAGTCAGGGTGGCGATTCCTCAGGGATCTAGAACTGGAAATGCCATTTGACCCAGCCATCCCATTACTGGGTATATACCCAAAGGACTATAAATCATGCTGCTATAGAGACACGTGCACATGTATGTTTATTGTGGCATTATTCACAATAGCAAAGACTTGGAATCAACCCAAATGTCCAACAATGATAGACTGGATTAAGAAAATGTGGCACATTTACACCATGGAATACTATGCAGCCATAAAAAATGATGAGTTCATGTCCTTTGTAGGGACATGAATGAAATTGGAAATCATCATTCTCAGTAAACTATCGCAAGAACAAAAAACCGAACACCGCATATTCTCACTCATAGGTGGGAACTGAACAATGAGATCACATGGACACAGGAAGGGGAATATCACACTCTGGGGACTGTTGTGGGGTGGGGGGAGGCGGGAGGGATAGCATGGGGAGATATACCTAATGCTAGATGACGAGTTAGTGGGTGCAGCGCACCAGCATGGCACATGTATACATATGTAACTAACCTGCACAATGTGCACATGTACCCTAAAACTTAAAGTATAATTAAAAAAAAAAAAGACGTAAAAAAAAAAAAGATATTACATAAAAAAAAGAAAAAAAAACCTTTACTTGAATCAACTTTACTACATTTAATTACACAGATTAATATAACTTCCTTAAGCAGGAATACTACTGAACTGATTTATTTATTAAATCATATAGATAATATTTTAAAGTACTTCTGTAAAACTTTCAACAGTTCTTAAAAAAATTAATCAGGAATATCTGAGTCAGCAAGGGAATCATCTTTTCAGTTCAATGGTAAAACCCAAACTGCAACAGTTATATGTTTCCTGATATTCTTTGATGGCAGACTTGAATTTGCCTTGGTTTACAAAATATGTGGCTAATATAATCAGTACAGTAACATATAACACATGTAACTATAGCCATCAGAGACTTTGCTGTAAAAATGGTTGTAAAACCTACTGTATCCATTGCAGGGTATTTGTAGCAACCTTGGCAATGGAAAGTAGATTTACTGATCACAATAACAACAGTAAAAGATGCCACATTTCTCAACCTTTCTATTACTTTATAATAAAGTAACAGTAAAGTAATAGGGTGTGTGTGTGTATATATATATATATATATACACACACACACTTAGGTATATACTTTATATATTGAAGTACATATATATTTATATACTGGAATATAGAAATATAAATTTAAATAAATATTTCTATATATTTATATATTTATTGGAATATATATTTATACATTTAAGTATTTAAATAATCACAAGGAAAAGCAGTTATGTGAAAATTACGCACATAATTCACCACTTAATTGATTTCTAAAGTCCAGTGTATTATGGACAAATTTCTTGATAAAGCAATTTACAATTACATGAGAAGTAACAGAAAATCTGAATAGCTCTATGTATATTAAATAACTCTTCCCATCCAATAAAAAAGTCCCTTCACTTAACAGTTTCACTCATTTGTTCTATCAAATACTTAAGGAAGAAATAATGGCAGTGTTACACAGATTTTTTAAATACATAGATGCAAAGGGATCACTTCCCAACACATTTTATGAGAAACGCAAACCCTAATATCAAAACATGATAAAGATAATATAAAAGACACACACACACACATATATATATACACACACATATATATGTATATGTACATATAAACTCTATAAACTACAGACAAAAATACTTTAAGAAAACATTAGTGAATTGAACCCAACGATATATAGAAGGGTACCATGACAAAGAAGGATTTGTCTCAGGACTATTATGTTGGTTTAACATTCAAGAATCAATTAATGAAATTCACCATGTTTATTTACAGAAAGGAAAAAAACAATCACTTTCAGTACATGCAGAAAAAGTATATGATAAAATTCAACACTATTCATGATAAAAACTCTTAGCAATCTAGAAATAGTAAGAAATTTACTTATGCTAACAAGCAATATCAAAAAAACTGACAGCTAACCTACTTAATATTGGGGCAAGCCTTATCTGATATTTACTTCCTACAATGCTACAGCAATAAAAATAATTTGATATATTATATGCATATAATCCGGGATATCCAACTATTTTAAAATCCACCTATTAGCAATCTTAATTCCCTCTGCAATCTTTGGCCATCTTTGTCATGTAACTGAACAGATTTAAAGGATCTAAGAGATTAAGATGTAGGCATTATATAGCTGTTCTGGGAAATCCTTGGTCAAGTTCCTATTTCAATGACTAAAGAGATCTTATATCTCCACATAAGTATAGACTTTTTCTTCCAATTTACTTGGGGGAAAATGGTATTAAACATGAGTATCATTTTTTACTGAAGTGAGCCACAATAAGATCAGTGTGCAGCTTTCACACAAGAAAAGTTTAAAATGTTTAATGAATTGATAGTGTAATGCATGTTTAATCTCTAATATCAACATTAAAAAATCAGATCGAGTTCTGCCCATTGAATTAAAAAGTCAGATAGGGTCCTTCTTCAAATAAAGTAATGGTATTTGGAATGTATATCTCATTACCGAAAAAAATGTCTAAGCCACAGAAGGTAATAGGAATAAACACACCTCTTCTCACACCTCTTTAAAAATGCTGTTATGTGGTAGAAATGTGGCCACCTTCCCCAAATTACAGTCACCCGACCTCTGTGTTTTAGACTCTGAAAAAAATAGCACAGATGTCTAGAATTAGTGTGAGTGTAATTTAAATGATGTTTGATATTGTTTCAAGAAGAGAATAAAAGGAGAATAGAAAAACTGTATGACTATTCTTTGCTTCTTTATGCCCTGAAATATCCATCCTTATTGCTCATTTTAAAAGAGAAAAGTAAATCTGGCTTAGAGAAGAGCATTATTCCCGATTTAGTCAAAACCCAAAAATTGTGAATCCCAACTCCATATCTAAGACTCCTTCATTCTGCACTGTGGAGATATATATATATATATCTCCATATATATGTATGTGTATATATGATTGTTAAATGCCTGAGGCTGAGCATTTTGTCCATTTTTGTGCACTATTGTATACATCCCCAGAGCTTAGTAGAGTGCCTGGGGCACATGGTAGTTAATCAGTGCTTTTAATGAAAGAATGAATCTATCCAATTTGCTCTGCCCAGTAGGATATCATCTTATAGGCACCTTCAATTTCTCATCATTAAAACTGATTTCACATTATCTGACCCATAATTCTGCTCCCAGAAATTTACCCTGAAAATCCACCTCCAACAATACAAAAACACATTTGCACAGAGTTATTCCTTGCAGTACTATTTATAATTACAAAACAACTAAAAACTACCTAAATGTCAAACCATAGGTGATTGAATAAACCATGGTTATTATGCTATAGCCACTATTGAATAATATGCAGCTGTAAATATATATATATAATAATAGCCTCTATAGAGTAATATGTAACTCTATGTCATATATGTTCATATACATATGACATAGTAAATGGCATGACTTATAGCTACATATTACTCTATTGTGATTATAATACATACATATATGGCATGACTTATAGAAAATATCAAATACAACAAAAAAGTATAATACAGCATATATAGCATATTACATCTTATGTAAGAAATGAGGTAAACATAAGAAATACATGTTTCTGTCAACTTTTACCAAAAAAACTATAGGGAAGATAAACCAGAAAATAATGAAGTTGTTTGTCTTCAAAGGATGAGGTGGGAAGAATGGAGTAGAGAGTGGAAAGTATACAAGACAGACTAGAACTTTTGTGTGTGTCTGTATATTTTTGTGTGTGTTTAAGTTTCATGTATAGTATTAACTTTTGGAAGCATGTTAGTGTTTTCCTTATAAAATAAAATAAAAATAGGAAAGGAAGAAGAAACCTAAAACAGAAAGCAAACTAAAATAAATTAAATTATATTTCAAATGACTACTATGAGCACACTGAAGAGGAGTGTGGGAAAGAACTAAGCCAAATTATTTATGAACACAGTATCTGACTATATATCCTTAGTACTGGACATGATGGGACAGTGAGGAGAAAACTGCAAACTTTCATTTTTTTTTAGAAAGTTTTTTTTAAGCAAAGCAATTCTTTAATAGGCAAAGAAACTCAGAAACTAATTCAGTTTTATTATAAGACTGAACCAATTAGTAAAAGTATTGAAGCCAGAGATCTCATGACAGTAGAAAAACACAACTATGGAAAGGAAGCAGGCAAAAAAGAACCCAGGAGAGATAAACTGGAATGGGAAGTGTGAAGTGATAATATCTAAAGTACACATATATGTGTGTATAGCAAGCACATGGACACAGGTGTATTTATGTATTATATACATAAATACATACATTTAATGGAACTGTGTGCTGAAAGGCCCAGAAACAAAGTCAACCCAGTTGCAAAGAGTTTACCTAGTGCCCATTCAAAGAAACCAGGGCTCTATGGAGAAATGCCTGATTTCAAGGCTGAATCCAAAAGAGTCTAGAACATCTGATGAGGCTGGAAAGTAAGGAGGCACTTAAAAAACATGGGACCGAGTTACAAGGACAGAAACCATTTTGAAGACGCTCCCACTGACCACATCTGGGACAACATGTGCACTAAAATAAGTACAGCAATGAATTATGAACCTTTGAAAAAGAGAAAATCATCATTACATATTGATGATAGATAGACAAGGAAGAAGGGAAGGTTTTTACTTATAGGAGAATGTCAATGCTGACTGGTAAACAGAAAACAAATAATGAAGTTTGAAAATAATTATGTTCTAACTTTCATAACGAAGATTAGATCAGGCAAGAATTGTGATGAACAGATGTTAAACATAGGGAGAAATTTAGATGAGAAATATGATATTTTCATGATTGTAAAATGTTTCCTTATTAGTTATGGAGGGGAAAAGTCATTAACACAGTGGAGAAATTAAGGAAAACCTTAAACAGGTGCATAAAAATTATCACTGCTAATGAAGTACAAGTGGACATCTGTGTTTCCAGATATGATACTTTTAGGAGAGAGCATTAACTAAGTAGTATTTCAACTAAGAATGAAGAACCTGAATCTAATTATGAGGAAACATCAGAACATCAGATAAATACAAAATGAGAGGGATGAATTCTTCTGTATACATATTATGAGAGAAAAAAAGATCAAGAGAATAAGATAAAATGCTAATAACTAGTAAATCTGGAAAACAAGTATAGAATATTTTGTACTGTTTTTATTCTTGTAAACTTTCTGTAAGTTTAAAATTATTTCCAGACAAAAATAATTTTTAAAAAAGTAACGCATGAATATATGCTCCTCGAAGAAAAAAATCAGATAGATATAGAAGGAAAACTGAAGATGAAAAATAAACTGTTAACCTCTCTAACTCATCTTTTCCCCACTGGCAGTCAAACTTCACAAAGTCAGATTTTTTTGTTTTGTTTTGTTTTGTTCTGCTCTCTAATGTATCTCAAACACATAGACCAGTGCTTGGCAAATAGATAGCTGCTACATCATTCATTTGTTAGATAAATTAATGAATAGGTAAATAGTAATGTGCTGTTCCTGTCACTTTATTTAGATATATATTAAAGAAGTTTTGCCTTATTTATTAAGTAAATTGGGTCAGATTACTAAATAACTCAAGATGATTTCATTCTTATCCCTGAAACATGCTTTACCATTATTATAACCAATTCTTGTTCTTTCACTTTCGAAACAGGACCTACATCTTGGTTAAGATGGTAATTAAGGAAGGTAATTAATACCTTCCAAAGCTGCTTAAATAATTCACTCCTCTCTGCCTTTCCTGCTGTAACTGTAATGCAAGTCATCCCATGCATTTGCACCATCTAACTACTTTTCTTCTTTGTCACCTTACTCTTTATCGTGGTCTCCTTCAACCCATGCAGTCAGGGTAATCTTCAAAACGTAACTTTGTAATCAAAGTTTCCCTTGTCTTAAAATTTTCAAAATGACTTTTTATGGTCTATAGAATTGATGATTAGCATAGATTACAACTGTTTCATGAACTTTTTATTTCTCCATCTTTACTGAGGTATAATTGGTAAATAAAAATTGGATATGCTTAAGGTGTTTACCTTAATGTTATGATGTTATGATGTGCATGATGTGCATATACTACGTGAAACAATCACTGCAATCATGCTAATCAACATATCCATCACCTCTTGAGATTAACATATTTTTGTGTGTATCAAGAACACTTAACATCTACCCTCCTAGCAAACTTAAAAGTATACACTACTGTATTGTATTGTTAACTATATTCACATTGCTGTACAAGTTATTCATCTTGCATAGCTTATTCATCTTGCATAAATGAACTTACTCATTTTGCATAACTAAAATTTTGGATCCCTTGACTAACATCTTCCTGTTTTCCCTTCTCTGCAGCCCCTGTTAACCCCTACTCTATTCACTACTATAAGCTTGACTATTTAGATTCCATATATAAGTGAGATAATGCAATATCTGTCTTTCTATGTTTGGATTGTTTCAAATAACATAAATTCCTCCATGTTCATCCATGTTGTTGCAAATGTCCAGATTTTCTTTTTTTTAAGGCTGAATAATATTCAATAGTATATCATACATGTAATTATATATATTATATGTACATATATATATATATATATATATATATATATCATACTTTTCAAATTCATTTATCTGTTGATATGGTTTGGCTGTGCCCCCACCTAAATCTCATCTTGAATTGTAGCTCCCTTAATCCTCAGGTATCATGGAAGGAACCTGGTGGGAGGTAATTGAAACACAGGGGCAAGTTTTTCCCATGCTGTTCTTATGATATTGAATAAGTCTCATGAAATCTGATGGTTTTATAAAGGGTGGTTCCCCTACACATGCTCTCTTGCCTGCCATCATGTAAGATGTGCCTTTGCTCCTCCTTTGCCTACTGCCATGATTGTGAGGCCTCCCTAGCCATGCAGAATTGTGAGTCCATTAAACCTCTTTTTCTTTATAAATTACCCAGTCTCCGATATTTCTTCCAAGCAGTATGAAAACGGACTAATACATCTGTCAATGCACATTTAGGTTATTTCCACAGCTTGATTAATATGAATAATGCTGCAGTGAACATGGGAGTGCAGATCTCTCTATGTAATAATGGTTTCCTTTGGATATATATCCAGCAGCAAAACTGCTAAATCATAAGGTAATTATATTTTTAATTTATTGAGGAATTTCTGTACTGCTTTCCATAACAGCTGTGCCAACTTACATTCCCACCAACAGAGTACAGGGGTCATGTGCCCATTTTAAAATCAGATTATGTGAGATTTTTGGCTATTAACTTACATGCACTCCTTATAAATTTTGGATATTAACTCATATATATATGTATATACATATATGGTTTATAAATATTTTGTCCCATTATTAAAGTTCCTTTTCACTCTGATGATTATCTACTTGGCTGTGCAGAAGCATTTTAGTTTGATGCAACCTCATTTGTCTATGTGGATAGCACTGTCAAATGCTTTTTCTGTGTCTACTGAAATGATCTTGTGGCTTTTTTTCTTTCAACCTATTAATGTGTTCTATTGCATTGATTTGCATGTGTTGAAAGATATTTGCATTCCAGGGACAAATCCCACTTAATCATGGTGTATCATCATTTTAATATGCTGCTGAATTTGGGTAACTAGCATTTTATTGAGGACTTTTGTATCATGTTCATCAGGAGTATTGGCCTGCGGTTTGCTTTCCTTCGTCTGGCTTTGGTATCAGGATAACACTAGCCTCATAAAATGAGTTTTAAAGTGCTTCTTCTTCTATTTGTCAGAATAATTTGAGAAGGACGAGTATTAATTCTTCTTTAAATGTCTGGTATAATTTACCCATGAAGCCATATGGTCTTGGACATTTCTTTGTTGGAAGGTTTTGACTACTGATTCAATTTCCTTATTTGTTACTTGTCTGTTTGGACTTCGAATTTCTTTTTGATTCAAGTTTCATAGATTGTATGTTTCTAGGAATTTATCTATTTTTCTAGGTTATCAAATTTGTTGGCATATAATTGTTCATAGTAGTCTCATGTCTTCTTTAATTTCTGAGGTACCCATTGTAATTTCTTCTCTTTTATTTCTGATTTTATTTATTTGAGCCTTTTCTTTTTTGCTTAGTCTAGCTAATGGTTTATTGATTTTATCTTTTCTATACGCAAAATCTTAATTTTATTGATTTTTCTCATTGTCTTTTTCAACTCTATTTAATGTATTTCTATTATAATCTTAATTATTTCCCTCGTTCTGCTAATTTTAGGCTTAGGCTTAAAGTGTTTTTCTTTTGCCACTTTCTGAAAGGGTAAAGCTAGGTTGTTTATTTGAAGTCTTTCTTCTTTCATAGCATAAGCATTTATTGCTATAAACTTCTCTCCTAGCAATGCTTTTGCTGCATCCCATAAGTTTTGTTATGCCATTTTTTTTTTGTCTCAAAATAGCTCTTAAAATTCCCTTTGATTTCCTATTTGACCCAATAATTGCTCAAGAGTGTGTTGTTCAGTGTATTAGTCCATTCTTTCATTGCTATAAAGACATACCTGAGACTGGGTAATTTATAAAGAAAAGAGGTTTAATTGGCTCGTGGTTCTGCAGACTATACAAGCATGGTGCTGACATCTGCTTGGCTTCTGAGCATATATCAGGGAGCTTTTACTCATGGTGCAAGGTGAAATGGGATCAGGTACTTCAAACGGCAAATATAGGAGCAAGGAGGAGCAGGTGCTACACACTTAAAACAACCACATTTTGCAAGAACTCACTATCACAAGGACAGCACCAAGCCATGAGGGATCAGTCCCCATGACCCAAACATCTCTGACCAGGCTTCAATTTCAGCATGGAGGGTTACAATTGACATGAGATTTGGCCTGGAGGTTTATTCAAACTATATCGTTTAGTTTCCACATATTTATAATTTTTCCTGTTTTCCTGCTGTTATTGATTTCTATTTCTATTCCATGGAGGTTGGAAAAGACACTTGGAATAATTTCAATCTTCTTAAAGTTGTTAAGACTTGTTTTGTGACCTAAGATGATTTATCTCAGAGTGCATCCCATGGGCACTTGAGAAGAATGTGAATTCTTCTGCTGTTGGGTGCAAAGTTCTGTATATGTCTGTCAGGTCCACTGGTCTACAGTGTTGTTTAAGTCAGAGGTTTCTTTATTGATTTTCTGTCTAGATAGTCTATTCATTATTGTAAGTGGGATATTAAAGTCCCATAAATTATTTTATGGCTGTCAATTTCCTACTTCAGATCTGTCAATATTTGCTTTATAATTTAGGTGCTCTGATAGAGTCATACTAATTGTCATATCTTCCTGGTGAATTGACTCCTTTACTATGTAATGATCTTTTTTTTTTTTGTCTCAAGAGATAGTTTTTGACTTAAAATCTAATTTGTCTGATATAAATTTAGCAACCCCTGCTTTGTTTTGGTTACCATTTGCATGGAATATCAGTTTCTGTCCCTTTTCTTTCATCTTATATGCGTCTTTAATTGAAAGTGAGTGCCTGAAGAACAGATGCAATTGTTTTGTTCATGTTTGCCTATTCAGGCTGTAATACTATTAAAATGTATAATTCATGAACATATTTGTATTAAATGAACAAATTATCAGCATTACTAAAAGTTCCTTTGTGTGTGTGCATATATATAAACAGCTTAGATAGATAGATGGATAGACATATATAGATATAAATATAGATATACAGGACTTAGTAGTCCAATTTTTGTTGAGTCATCTTCTTTTCTGTAATCCTAAGATTTCTGTTTTCTTTGCATTTGTACCTGACTCTGGACTCTAATTCTCCTTCACCCAAGTAATCCCTCTGGATTCCAAGATGTCTTTCCTTATTAGGTTGAATCTTTGTTGGCTTTTTTCCCCATTCTATTTACATTGGCATTTATTCTATACTCATGTCATTTTATTTATCTAAACCTCTTAGGAAAGGTCTTAACACTTACTGAGAATAGATCTCAGTATATATATTACAGCTACATGATCAGACCATAAACAATTAGTCCCCCAATTCTGCAAGGCAGCACTATTTACAAACACTAGAACCCAAACTAAAAAGAAAATATCTTCAGAATACAAAAAGGAAATTAAATTTAATAAGTATTTCTCTCTCACACACACACACACAAACACACACGCACACAAACACACATGCACACACACACCCAAGTTAATACATATTGCAAGAATGAAGAAGTTAATGGGTCCTAGGCTTAATAACTGGGTGATGAAATAATCTGTACGACAAAACCACATGACACAAGTTTACCTATGTAACGACCCTGCACTTGTACCCCTGAACTTAAAATAAAAGATAAAAACAGAAGAATAAATTAAAAAAAATATTTTGAGATGGTATTCTATTGTTTGTATCTATTTGAGCAAAACAACGTGAATGTGAGCTATGGGGTAGATAGCAAAAAGAACTTCAGTAAACAGAACTGAAGAAACTGTGTTGGAATATAAGCTGTTAAATGAAAGTCTACTTTACTTCTTCAGTTTACTTGGCAAGGACTTGCTTCCTGATTCATGGAATTAAACTACTGGAATACTTACCTTCGAGGATGATTGGCATCAAACAACGTGTTGTCATCATCCTCATCATCCTGTTCTAAAGGTGTCAATTCCATATTTTCTATGTTAGTGTCCAAAACTCCATATCTCCTAGTCTTTCGGTTTCTTCTTCTCATCCTATCAAATAGAACAAATTAATGAATAAAAATTATTTAATATGGCATAGTTTATATTTATTTATAAAATAAATTATTATTCTGTTTCTGACATAGCAAACAATATCAGAATGGTTACATTTCAGATATGCAACAAATTTACCACCTAGGATTAAACTTCATGAAACAAAACCTACTCCTACATGTTTATGTGCCATCGCCTGTTTCTTCTGTCTGACATACTCTCTTCTCTCTGTGTCAACTGATGGTGTTGACAAATAACTTTTAAGCCTTAAATTCAGGTACCGTACTTTAAACCTTAATTTTTAAAGGCTTAGGTCAGGTACTTCTTTACTGAAACCTCCTGCTCCAGCCTTTTCCCCATGTCCTCCCCGCTTTCTTACCACTGTTTAGATGCCCCTCTAAGAAACTGTATGTATATGCATATTCACAGACTAAACTGATAGCCCACAACTCTAGCTGCACACTAGAATTACCTGGGAGTATTTTTTAAAGTCCCATGTTTAGGACATAACTGAATCAAAATGTACAGCAAAAAAGAACTAAATATGAATATTTTGTTGAGGTTCTAAATGTGATTCCAATGTGATATAAACCATTATCTGAGATCAGTGGTTCTTGCAGTGTGGTTCTCTGGATCAGCAGAATCACAGTCACCTAGGAAGTTACGAGAAATGCAAATCTTCATGGCTAGCCCAGACCTAGTGAATAACAAACTTTGAAGATGGGGCCCAGAAACCTGTCTTTTAACAAACATTTCTTATGCTTTTGATGCATATTCAAGTTTGAGAACCACTGGCTTAGAGAAATTCAAAAGATTCAAGGGTGCTTAACATTCATTATTAGCCATATGAATGAAATCTCAAGATTTAGAGTCCTACTTCCAGTTTGTGTCTCAAATAACTTGTTCTTTTCCTTCAAATCATTTACCTTAATTTGCATTCCTATGTGCTGATGTATATGTTTATGTGGGGTTTATTCATCTGTCTCTCCCACTAAGTTCTCTGAGGGCAGCAACCAAGACTGCTTTATTCACCACTACATAACCACTTCCTAGCACAGTGATGTATCAATTAAGATGTTCTTCAATTAATTGTTGAGGGTCTGAGTGACTTCTACTTTGGCGACCAAAACTGTGACCCTGCAAGGAATGCCTAAGTCATCTCCAATGCAACAACTTCAACTCCACAGACAGCAAAATGTGTTTCACAAGAGTGTCCACTGGAGTTTGAAAATAAATAGAAAATATTTCAGCAAGTTATCACAAATAAAATCAGTTTACATAAATTCTGATTTACTCTGTTTGACATATGTGGGATAAGAAATACTTGGGCTATAACATCAACTGTAAAGAGCAACATGAGACTCCTCAAACATGACAGTGAAGCTCCTGGAAAACAAACATACCTTCAACAAATAATTGAGTCTTATTAAGCATCAGGTATGATATTAGCACCTGGGTGTAAAGTGCCTGGTCTCAGTGTTAAAATTTACAAAATGTTACTAAGTGTGAGTACAAACAAAGAAAATTTCCACCAGTCATTACCTATAGAGCTATCTATATACACGTCTAAAGTGATGGAACAGGAAACAGAGAGTTAAGCATAGCATTTAAAGTTACAAATGTAACCAATGAAAGGGTCAGTAAATATTAGTACTAGCAAAAATGAAGCAGTATGAAATACAAAGTACTCTTTCTTTCACAGTGAGAAATTAAGTATGTTTAGGTTGTTACATTAACATGTATATGTGTGTGTATGTGTGCAAACACACCCACACACACCATGTAGACCAGAGGTCTAAACTTTCTCTATAAAAAACCCAGGCAAACAGGGTCTGGAGTGGACCTCCAGCAAACTCCAATAGACCTGCAGCTGAGGGTCCTGACTGTTAGAAAGAAAGCTAACAAACAGAAAGGACATCCACACCAAAACCCCATCTGTACGTCACCATCATCAAAGACCAAAGGTAGATAAAACCACAAAGATGGGGAAAAAACAGAGCAGAAAAACTGGAAACTCTAAAAATCAGAGTGCCTCTCCTCCTCCAAAGGAACGCAGCTCCTCACCAGCAACGGAACAAAGCTGGAAGGAGAATGACTTTGACGAGTTGAGAGAAGAAGGCTTCAGACGATCAAACTACTCCGAGCTAAAGGAGGAAGTTCGAACCCATGGCAAAGAAGTTAAAAACCTTGAAAAAAAATTAGACAAATGGCTAACTAGAATAACCAATGCAAAGAAGTCCTTAAAGGACCTGATGAAGCTGAAAACCATGGCAAGAGAACTACATGACGAATGCACAAGCCTCAGTAGCCAATGCGAACAACTGGAAGAAAGGGTATCAGTGATGGAAGATCAAATGAATGACATGAAGTGACAAGAGAATTTTAGAGAAAAAAGAATAAAAAGAAACGAACAAAGCCTCCAAGAAATATGGGACTATGTGAAAAGACCAACTCTACGTCTGATTGGTGTACCTGAAAGTGATGGGGAGGATGGAACCAAGTTGGAAAATACTCTGCAGGATATTATCCAGGAGAACTTCCCTGGATAGGGAAGTTCTAGCAAGGCAGGCCAACATTCAAATTCAGGAAATACAGAGAACGCCACAAAGATACTCCTCGAGAAGAGCAACTCCAAGACACATAACTGCCAGATTCACCAAAGTTGAAATGAAGGAAAAAATGTTAAGCACAGCCAGAGAAAACGGTCGGGTTACCCACAAAGGGAAGCCCATCAGACTAACAGCTGATCTCTTGGCAGAAACTCTACAAGCCAGAAGATAGTGGGGGCCAATATTCAACATTCTTAAAGAAAAGAATTTTCAACCACGAATTTCATATCCAGCCAAACTAAGCTTCATAAATGAAGGAGAAATAAAATACTTTACAGACAAGCAAATGCTGAGAGATTTTGTCACCATCAGGCCTGCCCTAAATGAGCTCCTGAAGGAAGCACTAAACATGGAAAGGAACAATTGGTACCAGCCCCTGCAAAAACATGCTAAACTGTAAAGACCCTCGAGGCTAGGAAGAAAGTGCATCAACTAAGGAGCAGAATAACCAGCTAACATCATAATGACAGGATCAAATTCACACATCACAATATTAACCTTAAATGTAAATGGGCTAAATGCTCCAATTAAAAGACACAGACTGGCAAATTGGATAAAGAGTCAAGACCCATCAGTGTGCTGTATTCAGGAAACCCATCTCACATGCAGAGAAACACATAGGCTCAAAATAAAGGGATGGAGGAAGATCTACCAAGCAAATGGAAAACAAAAAAGGCAGGGGTTGCAATCCTAGTCTCTGATAAAACAGACTTTAAACCAACAAAGATCAAAAGAGACAAAGAAGGCCATTACATAATGGTAAAGGGATCAATTCAACAAGAAGAGCTAACTATCCTAAATATATATGCACCCAATACAGGACCACCCAGATTCATAAAGCAAGTCCTTAGAGAACTACAAAGAGACCTAGACTCCCACACAATAATAATGGGAGACTTTAATACCCCACTGTCAACATTAGACAGATCAACCAGACAGAAAGTTAAAAAGGATATCCAGGAACTGAACTCAGCTCTGCACCAGGCGGACCTAATAGACATCTACAGAACTCTCCACCCCAAATCAACAGAATATACATTCTTTTCAGCAGCACACCACACCTATTCCAAAACTGACCACATAGTTGGAAGTAAAGCACTCCTCAGCAAATGTAAAAGAACAGAAATTATAACAAACTGTATCTCAGACCACAGTGCAATCAAACTAGAACTCAGGAATAAGAAACTCACTCAAAACCACTCAACTACATGGAAACTGAACAACCTGCTCCTGAATGACTACTGGGTACATAACGAAATGAAGGCAGAAATAAAGATGTTCTTTGAAACCAGCAAGAACAAAGGCACAACATACCAGAATCTCTGGGACACATTCAAAGCAGTGTGTAGAGGGAAATTTATAGCACTAAATGCCCACAAGAGAAAGCAGGAAAGATCTAAAATTGACACGCTAACATCACAATTAAAAGAACTAGAGAAGCAAGAGTAAACACATTCAAAAGCTAGCAGAAGGCAAGAAATAACTAAGATCAGAGCAGAACTGAAGGAAATAGAGACATAAAAAACCCTTCAAAAAATCAATGAATCCAGTAGCTGGTTTTTTGAAAAGATCAACAAAATTGATAGACTGCTAGCAAGACTAATAAAGAAAAAAAGAGAGAAGAATCAAACAGATGCAATAAAAAATGATAAAGGGGATATGACCACCGATCCCATGGCAATACAAACTACCATCAGATAATACTATAAACACCTCTACACAAATAAACTAGAAAATCTAGAAGAAATTGATAAATTCCTCGACACATACACCCTCCCAAGACTAAACCAGGAAGAAGTTGAATCTCTGAATAGACCAATAACAGGCTCTGAAATTGAGGCAATAATTAATAGCCTATCAACCAAAAAAGAGTCCAGGACCAGATGGATTCACAGCCGAATTCTACCAGAGGTACAAGGAGGAGCTGATACCATTCCTTCTGAAACTATTCCAATCAATAGAAAAAGAGGGAATCCTCCCTAACTCATTTTATGAGGCCAGCATCGTCCTGATACCAAAGCCTGGCAGAGACACAACAAAAAAAGAGAATTTTAGACCAATATCCCTGATGAACATCAATGCAAAAATCCTCAATAAAATACTGGCAAACCGAATCCAGCAGCACATCAAAAAGCTTATCCACCAAGATCAAGTGGGCTTCATCCCTGCGATGCAAGGCTGGTTCAACATACGCAAATCAATAAACTTAATCCAACATGTACCAATGACAGAAACCACATGATTATCTCAATAGATGCAGAAAAGGCCTTTGACAAAATTCAACAACGCTTCATGCTGAAAACTCTCAATAAATTAGGTACTGATGGGACGTTTCTCAAAATAATAAGAGTTATCTATGACAAACCCACAGCTGATATCATACTGAATGGGCAAAAACTGGAAGCATTCCCTTTGAAAACTGGCACAAGACAGGGATGCCCTCTCTCACCACTCCTATTCAACATAGTGTTGGAAGTTCTGGTCAGGGCAATCAGGCAGGAGAAAGAAATAAAGGGTATTCAATTAGGCAAAGAGGAAGTCAAATTGCCCCTGTTTGCAGATGACATGATTGTATATCTAGAAAACCCCATCGTCTCAGCCCAAAGTCTCCTTAAGCTGATAGGCAACTTCAGCAAAGTCTCAGGAAACAAAATCAGTGTGCAAAAATCACAAGCATTGTTCTACATCAATAACAGACAAACGGACAGCCAAATCATGAGTGAACTTCCATTCACAATTGCTTCAAAGAGAATAAAATACCTAGGAATCTAACTTACAAGGGACGTGAAGGACCTCTTCAAGGAGAACTACAAACCACTGCTCAATGAAATAAAAGAGGATACAAAGAAATGGAAGAACATTCCATGCTCATGGGTAGGAAGAATCAATATCGTGAAAATGGCCATACTGCCTAAGGTAATTTATAGATTCAATGCCATCCCCATCAAGCTACCAATGACTTTCTTCATAGAACTGGAAAAAACTACTTTAAAGTTCATATGGAACCAAAAAAGAGCCCACATCGCCAAGTCAATCCTAAGCCAAAAGAAGAAAGCTGGAGGCATCATGCTACCTGACTTCAAACTATACTACAAGGCTACAGTAACCAAAACAGCATGGTACTGATACCAAAACAGAGATATAGACCAATGGAACAGAACAGAGCCCTCAGAAATAATGCCACATATCTACAACCATCTGATCTTTGACAAACCTGACAAAAACAAGAAATGGGGAAAGGATCCCTATTTAATAAATGGTGCTGGGAAAACTGGCTAGCCATATGTAGAGAGCTGAAACTGGATCCCTTCCTTACACCTTATACAAAAATTAATTCAAGATGGATTAAGGACTTAAATGTTAGACCTAAAACCATAAAAACCCTAGAAGAAAACCTAGGCAATACCATTCAGGACATAGGCACCGACAAGGACTTCATGTCGAAAACACCAAAAGCAATGGCAACAAAAGCCAAAATTGACAAATGGGATCCAATTAAACTAAAGAGCTTCTGCACAGCAAAAGAAACTACCATCAGAGTGAACAGGCAACCTATAGAATGGGAGAAAATTTTTGCAATCTACTCATCTGACAAAGGGCTAATATCTAGAATCCACAATGAACTCAAAAGAAAAAAACTCAAAGAAAACTCAAAGAAAAAAACAACCCCATCAAAAACTGGGCAAATGATATGAACAGACACTTCTCAAAAGAAGACATTTATGCAGCCAACACACACACATGAAAAAATGCTCACCATCACTGGCCATCAGAGAAATGCAAATCAAAACCACAATGAGATACCATCTCACACCAGTTAGAATGGCGATCATTCAAAAGTCAGGAAACAACAGGTGCTAGAGAGGATGTGGAGAAATAGGAACACTTTTACACTGTTGGTGGGACTGTAAACTAGTTCAACCGTTGTGGAAGTCAGTGTGGCGATTCCTCAGGGATCTAGAACTAGAAATACCATTTGACCCAGCCATCCCGTTACTGGGTATATACCCAAAGGACTATAAAACATGCTGCTATAAAGACACACACACACGTATGTTTATTGCGACACTATTCACAATAGCAAAGACTTGGAACCAACCCAAATGTCCAACAATGATAGACTGGATTAAGAAAATGTGGCACATATACACCATGGAATACTATGCACCCATAAAAAATGATGAGTTCATGTCCTTTGTAGGGACATGGATGAAGCTGGAAACCATCATTCTCAGCAAACTGTCGCAAGGACAAAAAACCAAACACCGCATGTTCTCACTCATAGCTGGGAATTGAACAATGAGAACACATGGACACAGGAAGGGGAACATCACACACCGGGGCCTGTTGTGGGGTGGGGGTAGGGGGGAGGGATAGCATTAGGAGATATACCTAATGTTAAATGACGAGTTAATGGGTACAGCACACCAACATGGCACATGTATACATATGTAACAAACCTGCATGTTGTGCACATGTACCCTAAAACTTAAAGTATAATTAAAAAAAAAGAAGCTACGCAACCCATCCAAAATTTAAAAAAAAATTAGATAGTATTTTATGCTCTGTAGGACACACTCTGCGACATATTCATTTAAATTTTCATTTTGTTTACCACCCTTAAAAATATATAGATGGATGATTGATAGATAGATAGATAGACAGATAGATAAACCATTCTTAGCTTTAGGCCTTACAAAAACATCAGAAGAAGGAATTTGGCCTGTGGGCCATACTTTGCTAACCTCTGATTTAGACTTATGAAAGTAATTAGCAAACAAAGAAAAGAAATAATAAATGTATTGTCTTTAGAAAGTAGAAATAGAAAAATAGTCCAGGCGTGGTTACTCACACCTGTAATCCCAACACTTTGGGAGGCTGAGGCGGGCAGATCATCAGGAGTTTGTGACAAGCCTGGCCAGCATGGTGAAATCCTGTCTCTAGTAAAAATACAAAAATTAGCTAGGCATGGTGGTGTGCGCCTGTAATCCCAGCTACTCGGGAAGCTAAAGCAGGAGAATGGCTTGAACCTGGGAGGCAGAGGCTGCAGTGAGCTGAGATGAAGCCACTGCACTCCAGCCTGGGCGACAGAGTGAAGACTCTGTCTCAAAAAAAAAAAAAAAAAAAAAAAGATAGAAAAATAGAGGGAAGTTAGTTTACTATTGGTGCTTTTGAAACATATCATTTAATGATATCTGCATGCAATTGTTTGATTTTAAAAAGTGATTACATAAGAGTGAGTGAAACTAGTTGGAAATATAAGTTAAGGATATTGAAAGTTATAATTTCTCTTTCCTTTTGTCAGTCTTTTGCTCAGTTTTTGAAACCATATGGATTCCAAACATTCTGACATTTTTAGTCAATGAAGTTAATGTCATGTGAAATTATTTTTGGAAATAAACTAGATTCTCCCGGGTCATATATATCAAATAGTCAATATGTTAACCTGTCATTGTTAGTCACAAGACATGTTGGCTAGTCTCAAAACAAACAAACAAAAATGATATGAATGTAGAGCTTAAGGACTTTAACATTCAGCTCATCTGATGTTCTTCTCTACATTCAAAGTCTTTAACGATTCCTAATCTTACAATGAGTGGTCAAACTAATTTGCCTAATAATACTATTTTCCCTATCTGTATATAGCCTAAACATTTGGCTGCATTGGTTTGAACATTTTATTCTTTATTCTATCCTTTAATTTACATGTGTATGTAAATACTATCTTCTAAAAATGAATCCAAACTCTTTAGAAACAGGAACCTATTTCATATATAAAAACAGAATGTTGTTAGGCATCAAATAAATGGGTGATGCAGTTCAAATCTAAATGAATTTACTGTTTTAGTATATGTACTGACTCATCCAAGAATGAGTAAAAAATGCTATATATTATTAAATAAAATTTAAACTAGAAGTGTAATTTCTCTAAAAATGTCTTTGCTCAGTCCAAAGTTATAGGCAGTGATAATTATGTGGTCATACAGCTACATGTCCACATAAAAACATCAACTATAATAAAACACACATGCTGTATTACTATATGGGGTGATTCATCTCAAGGAAGAAAAAAAGCAATTTCAAAGCTTTCAAATAACTTGGGTGATTCAACAAACACTACTGAAAATACTAACAAACATTAAGCATCAAATAAAATACACAATAAAACACACCAAAATTTTAAGTAAAAAGGCTACTTTGTCTTTTAATATGCATTGTGTATTATTTTTAAACAAAAGAAAAAGCAGAGCTTTAATATCTGTGCAATTTTAATAGCCAGAGTTCTTTTCTTACAAATGAATGTCATTAGGCTCATGACACTCAAACTCATCTATATGTGTGTTGACAATTACATATATATTATACACACACATGTAGATATAGACAAAGATATGCACTTTTCTACTAGACATAGTAAATGCATTTGGAAATATAGAAACAAATTTTGCCAGCTTCTAATGAAAATAAAAATAGAGACCTTATCTACAAATTTGTACAGAGGAAAGTATGGAAGCCTAAGCCGGCAAAAGAAAAAAGCTATATGGTTATTCATATAGAATTATATTCACTCATCACCTGGTATGCACAGATAAATGATCCTGGTCAGATGCTTTCTAGGTATTCAAGTTAATATTCAAATAGCTGCCTTAATATAGATGCAGATTCCTTAATGTTCCAATACACTCAGGTTAGTAAGAACTATTTCTCTTCCAATAACATGTATATAAGTTAGAGTATCAAAATAAAACTAAACCACTAAAGTAAGCTTGATAAAATTTTATGTAGAAATATATGATACCACATAAAATAAACACAACAGAATAAAATTCCATTTAATTTCACTGCTCTATGAAAGGGAGAACACCAATCAATGTAACTTGCTGTAGCCTGATATATGCACCTGATTTAAGTTTGCTGTAATTTGCTGTATCTACCTGATTTGATTTTTTCTCTTCTTCTTTTTTTTTTAACTAAGCATCTGTAGGGTAATATTATTCCTTAATTTCTTTTATAGCACATTCAAAGCTAGACTGAGGAATATATTATTTACTATACACACACATATACACACTCCCCCATGTGGTTAGACATAACAATGAAACAGTGAATAATAATCTATAACTAAAATAAAATTTTTTTCTTGACTATTCTTAGAAAAAAGTAAACTAGTGACCAAGAATAAATGTGAAAATTTCTTTACTGCTGAAACATAAATGAATAAAAATTAGTGAACCACAATTGTAGTTGTCTATACTTTTCATCAGGAAGTCCAACCCAATTGAATATATGACACATAGTAAAAATTCTTTTGACCAATCTGACATCATTCTCATCTTTATTCCCCATTTCCACAACCCAATCCATCAGTTGTCACTTCCACTTCTTCAAGAATCAGATACTAATAAGGGATATGTCTGCATGTTACAGGTTGAACTGCGTCTTCCAAAAATTCATATGTTGAAGTCCTAATCCCCGGTACTGCAAAATGTGGCCTTATTTAGAAATAAGGTCTTTATAGAGGTAATCAAGTTAAAATGAGATCATTAAGGTAGGCCCTCATCCAATGTGACTGATGTCCTTATAAACAGGGAAATTTTGGAGACAGACACGCACACAGGCAGAACGCCATGTGAACATGAAAACATCATTAAAAAGATCAAGAGAGGCCCAGAACAGATCCTTCCCTCACAGACCTCAGAAGGAACCAGCCCTGCCAGTATCTTGATTTTGGATTTCTAGCCTCCAGAACTGTGAGACAATAAATTTCTGTTGTTTAAGCCAGCCCACTTGTACTTTTTTGCAACAGCTCTAACAAATTAATATAGAATACAAGAGAATTGTTAGGGAAGGGCCTGTGAAGGATAAAGAGAGAGAGGAAAGGGAAATTAAGGAGATCTTACAAAGGGTAATAGAGATCTGACACCTGTGAAAGAGTGGAAAGGAAGGATGACCAGCTAGAAAGAGCTGTAGCTTGCAGTGCAGTTCTGGAAGAGTCTTCACCAGGCCAGTGGCATGCCTGTAAGCAAAGGCTGCCCATTAGCGGAGTTCCCTGTTAGTCAGGATGGCCAGGCTCTGCTCCACTCAGTCATCGGCTAGGGACAAGTTTAGGGGTTATTGTCCTGGCATGAATGCTGTGATGGACCCAAATCTGTGACAGCAGGAAGATGTCAAGCCACTTTGCTTCCCGTAGCATGTTCTCTTGAATGGAGGTCTGATTAGTGTATCTCCATGGCTGCCACAATCACAAGGTATTATTGATTGTACTTCCTAAAAATAATTTAAATTCATTTATATTGCTTACCATACCACTGCTATCCTATCATCTCTTCCTCTGCTGACTAAAATAGCTTCCTAATTCACTATCTCTGCCTACTCCGGCTATCCATTAACCTTCCCTTCATTCTCTAAAACCTTCAATGGTTTCCTATTACTCAACATTAAGTAATCAGTCTATAATATATGGCCTACAAAGATGAGCACAGGATGGCTCATCTTTCATTTTTAGCCTCATCTTGTTCTTTGCTCCACATTCCACTCCAGGTTCTGAACTCCAGCCGCACAGCCTTCTCTCAGTTCCTCATGATGGCCATGCTTTCTCTGCCATTGGCCTCACAGTCTTCTCTCACCTACCACAATACTGCTGTGTGAATGCCTGCTCATCTTTCAGCTGTCAGCTTAAATATAACTTCCTCAGGAAACCCTTTTCTGTTCTACCTAACTAGGTCACAAACCTCTACTATTGGCTTCCACTGAAACTATATACATGTCCTTTAAAGTGCTTATGAAAAGTTCACTTGTATACTTATTTAAGTAACTATTTGTCATCCCTACCAGACATTTGATTCCATGAGAGCAGGAGCTGTATCTGTTCTTACTCACCACAGTAGCCACAGCACACAACTTCTGTCATAAAGTTGATGCCTGATAAATATTGCTAAACAAATTAATTGAGTAAAATATATAGATTGGCAATATATCTTCCATTTTCTCTGTATAAGAAAGATATCTAAATTTTTATATATAAATTATCACCCTTGGAATAAAACAAGCCTGAAAGAACATCATTTCCAGATACATACCACAACAAAATCTAAGGGAGCTAGCCAAATTTAAAATCGTAATATGGACCTCTGGAGGCAACAGCTTTCTGACTCAGGACAAAAAAATAAAGTACTGGAATATTTAAATATATTAAACATGTACTCACATCAGGAGCTCTAAGATTTCATTTAGGATGTTTTAGGCATGATCCAGGCAACTGTCATACTCTAACCCAACTAGAATCCCTAATATTTAGTTTGTATCCTATGCTGAGTTTTATTTTTGTCCTTTTGGTATGCAAATTTACCATATTCTAAAAACACAGTTTTCCTCATATACACTATGAATAACTGAAGTTTATCCTTTCAAAAGCCAAACTGGCTTTTTGTACTACTTTTAACTTCTCAGCATTCTATATAGAACTGTATTCAATGCTAAAGATATTCCTGCCATCCTATACAGAAGAAAATGAGATATTTTAAAAGTCTCTTTTTAACCTCTCAGGATCATTATAATTAGTGACTTTGATATAAACTCTCAGGAGCTATTAAAATGTATATGACTCCATGTTGAAGTTCGCAGATTATTGTAGTTTTGAATTCCTTTAGCATTTTTTCATATTTTTAAAAAAACCCTCTCTATTAGCTTGACAGTTATCCAGCTCTGCCCCTACCACAATCTCGACCACGTGCATCCTTAACTAGAAAGTTCCTTCAACGAGGTATACTGCTACTGCTGAATTCTAATGAAGTGTTTACTGCTAACACCCAAAGGTCAAAAAAAAAAAAAAAATCAAAAGCGTGTTCATGTATGTTCAGGACACTGCAACCTTGTTTTCCTTGATAGATACCTTTTCTCTCCCAACTCCTTGTAATTCAGTACATACAATCACTTCCTGTGATTATGTTTGTCTCCTGTTGAAGGCATGTTGGCAGACACCCCCAGGTAAAGTAAATCCTAAATCAACGTTATATAGTTTGGCTTTGAAGTATTCCATATGAAAGTATGTAACACATAGTTTCCTTGTCATATCTCCTCTTTGTCTTGACATGGATTTCTTTGTCTTCCCTTTTAGGACCTAAGGCTCAGGATGTGAGACTTGGTAATTCTTCTGACCTCCATTTCTAAAAGTTCAGCATGGATTTATTTCCCAATCAACCTTAAAGTTCTATCTACAGTTCAGTACCCCCAAGATTCATCCTTTGTAGCCTCTCACTGGTTCTATGACCAACCCTTTCAGAATTATCCTATAATCTCCTTTTATTCCCCTTACACTGACTCTATCTACAGCCCTGTCAGTTCTACCATCTTGCTGATTATAGCTTTAGCAGTTAGGTACCACAGAGGTATATACATAGATACATATACGTATATATAAATACAGAGAGAGATTTAAGTTATACATAATACAAATATACATATATTTATAATACATAACAATATTTGTATACATATTTAAAGCTTCTATTTCATAAGTGAGAAAATTAAAGTATAAAAATGAAAATAGTGATAGTATTAATAGTTTATGAGACAGAGGTATTAAAAACATTATAGTAAAACTCCTCAGATAAATTGTAATTTGAATTCTAGATGTAAAAGCATGCGATTATGAAGAGCTGATGTTCTGCGCATGCACATATGCCAGGCATTAAGCTAAACAACTCATAAATATTATCTGATTCTCATAACAATCCTATAGCTTAAGTACCTTCATTTCATCCACAGAAAGGCACAAAGTAGAGAAAATTAAATGTGGGACAGTGAATGGTAGAGCTAAGATTCATACACGAGTAAGCTGACTACTGAGTCTGAGTTTTAAAATATTGAGACAAATTGTATTCCTAATGAATCTAAGTAATTTTAATGAAGGTCAAAAAATTAGGTGAAAACAGCCTGCTAATCTTCAAAACAACTATCTCACATTATACCAAACTAGATAATTGTTTTAGTTGAGCCATATTTTCTAGTTCATCCTTATGTAGTAATAATAATAATAATAACTTGGCAGCTACTTGCATTAACAAGTACAATTATGTTGTTTTGATTAGTTGTTGTTCTGATGAATCTCTCTCTTAATTTTGATCACTGTAATAGAATCTGCTTTGTTTAGAGGCAACTTTCTTCTTCTGGCTTAACAGAACCATGATTTTGTTTAGAGAGCAATTGAGCCCAGCCCTAAGGAGTACATAATGGCCATAATAATTGATTCAAACCAATCATGAAAATATAATTTTCCTTTTGCCAGCCATTGTCTAGGAGTAAGCAGATGAAGCAGTTCGGACAAATGAGATAGAAGGGGATGTCTCTGTTAGTGGGGTTTCCAGGAAAGATTTTTCTCCCTGATTATAAAACAAAACAAAAGCATACAGAAGTCTTCCGTTCATAGTCCCTTCCCTCCTTCCTGCTTAAGATACTATTGAGTGAGAGCAGAATATTTAGAGCAGAGGCAGCCATCCTATAGAAAGGCAAGAGTGGAAAAATATGGAATTCTTAATAATCTCCCAAAGCCAGTGAACCAAACCTAGGCCTATTCATATACATGATAAGTAAATGACAAAAAAAAAATATTTCCTTGTGTTTAACTCACTTTTAATTGGATATTTTATTATTTATAGCTAAAAACCTCCTAAATGATAAGGACACTTAACATATTAGTTTCTCTGAGCCACACTGCTACTGTATATCATCTGGATGTATATACTCATAGTGATACCCTTTAAGAATCTTTCAGGCGGGTTCTATCAGCAATCCGTCCACTTTGAATAAACCAATCAAATGTTTCATCAGCAATTTTCAATCTAAAATAACATTGCCACCAAAAAGCTCACTAACTTTTCATAGCTTCATTTTATACTTGTTTTCTCAGCTTAGCACAGTTTTCCCATCTCCTTGCAGATCATCATATAATTTCCATCACATTCTCTCAGAGATTTGGCAGCCCAAATTGAAAAACATGACTGTTTTCAAACTGGGCTCTTCAGTGTCCTAGGTTTCTGTGGAGGTGTGGCCAATCAGTGCATTGTTGCTTTTAGTTAGTTTATATATTAGGATCCCACCATTAAAAATATGGAAATCTACATTGTTAAAACAATGTACAAGACATATCATGCAATCTGTCATGTCCACTGTCCCTAGTCCTCAGAAAAACTACTCCACTCATACTTTTTTTTATGAATGGACAGAAATGGTTAATCATGTTTTCTACCATGAAAAATCACTTATTCCCACTGAAAACTAACACAAGCCTGGGATGAGCAACTTTCTAAACTAGGACTGTCAATCCCTAGGCTAGATTGTGATGGATGATGTGGCCTAGCCTACAAAGATAAGATAAACCATCAGAATATCAACTTTGGGAAGTCAATATGGAAGAAAATATGCACATATATATGCACACAGGAACATGAGGCAGTTTTAATGGGTGATAAAGACTAAAGGAGTCAAAATAACATTATATAGAATAAAGAGAATGACAAGTCATAGTAGATCACAAGAAAACAAAAACTCAAGAGAAGCCAGAAGCTATAGGATAGAAAAAAATATACACAGTAAGCAGTCGACAGTGAGAAGAAAATAAGAACAGGTAATTAATGAGTAGATGCATTTCGTTGACTGTTTATGGCAGCATCACTTTTTGAAGAATTGGGATAGTTTTGCAATGGGTATCAATGTGTATCTGGTATAGTGCATATAACTTATAAGATAGCACAGGGAGATAGTGCAGCTCAAGCTAATGGCAAAAGTATTTACTGTGTATTATTTCCAGGCTCAATAGAAATTTGTTTTACTATTTGGTAAGATGCAAATTCATACCAATGAAAGAGTAAAAATATAATCAATCAATTACTTCAAGAACTCACTGAATAATGTAGAAGAGATGGCAAAAGTAGAGTTCCAAATCTGAGTTCTTCAGGAGCTTGGGCACTCTTCCAGCAATATGACCTTTGGTCTATCACTTCATACGGTAGATATTATTAGTGTTCATCAAATCTTGACCTCCCTCCCCCTGCCTCCCCACACATAGTACCTACTCACTTCCCATAGTAGGCTCATGACTAGGACTGGTCAATAAAACATGAACAGATGTAACTGTGCCTTTTCTAGGTTAAGGCATTTGAAAGCTCCTGTGCATTCTCTGGTGTCTCTCACCAAGCTCTGACAACTGTGAAGGACATATGTTGGCATGGCAAGACCAAACATTAAAGCCAGCTAAATTGCTGTTACCACATGGAGGACAACTGTGTTGGAGGATAGCCCAAATCTGCAGCTGAATTTTCTTAAAGGAAAAATAGAATTTTATTGTATTAAGTCATTTAGATTGAAGTTGTTTGTTCAACTGTAGCTTGTACTATCCTGATTAAAATACGTAGCTTCTCATATCAGTTTCCTAATTTGAAAAATTATCTACTCACCTCAGAGTTGAGGCTGAAATAACACTTATCAAATAATTTTATAAGGTTTTTTGTATACATCTATATAAATTTAAGGTGTCTACAGTATACATAATGACAGGAAAAATAATAGTTCCTTTAAACAATTATAAGTGATAACACAAGGTTATAATTATGTCATGTGTTTTATTAACATGTAACATATATTAATAATGTGAATTTATGTTCTATAGATTTCAGTAATAAAAGAAAGTTAAAACTAAAACTATCATATTAACTAGAGGAATAAAGGCATGCATGGAAAATTACACATATACTCATATGTATGTAAATTAATTAGCATAGAAACATAGAGACAGTTTTATCTTTTGGATGTTTTGCTTTACTATTGAGATAACTGGTGAATACATAAAATTACAGTATAACTAAAGTCAAACCATAGTATATATTACCCCTTTTACATTACAAAAACATAATACAGTTTGGCTACACAGAAAGAATTGACATTACATGCCAACCAAAATCTCACAACAGTCAATATCTTCATGTTCTATGAATTTTCAACTCTATACCACTTTCTTCTTCCAGAAAAAAAAAGGATTATTAAAGAATATAGCAATAAAAATCTATCCAAAAACGCCAAGGAAAACCTGATTTCTTAAGAAAGTAACTTCAATTACTATAAGATTCTCAATTTATGATTTAAGTATTTCTCTAGATATGTTTTATATCATACTGAACAATGCAAATTACCAACATATCTTTCAACCCAATTTCAACATTTTACCATATTTCTCATATTTTAGAAAAGATCAAACCTAAGTAATTTTTTAAATGTAGTCTTCACCAAAGATAAAATTAGAATCAAATGCAATAATATAGAAGAGAAATACTACAATGGGCACTGGAGATCATGACAAAAGAACTCAGGAACTTTGAAGTGTAGGAGTAGAGGTGATACTCAAGATATTTAGCTATTTAACAACTGGCAGGGCATAAGGACCATCTAGTCAGAATAGACGCTTGCTGTAGCAATGGGTCCAGAAACACTGGTAGAGTGTATTGGTAGATACCACCTGAGCATTGCTACCAGTTGATAGTAATGTTCAAATGCTATTGATTTTGTTTTCAGAAAAACTTTGCAATAACTAACCAGAAGCATCTCAATCTAGTTTCTCCATTTTGTCCCACATTCAACCTCTATCAATTACAGAGGAATGCATTTTCTGGTTGTACTCTAATACCCTGAGGACTGCAGTCATGTTAGATATACACTGGTGAATAATCTGCACATTATCTTGGGTAAATACATGCAAATATACACCTGTTAAAAAAACTGACTTCTCTGCACAAGCATATATCATGAGGCTCCAGTATGGAATTGAAATGAGTTAAAATGACTACATTATTGCAGGATTGATGTTAACACCACTCTCACACAGCTACCTCACATTTTTAATCTTCATTTACATGTTTTGATTTCACATACATTATTTCTTTTTTATTCTTTTCCTTTATCTTTCTTTCTCCTCTTTTCCCCCTCTCTCTCCTCTCCTTCTCTCTCTGTCTCTCGATCTCTCTCTCTCTCTCTCTCTCTCTCCAGGATCTCATCTGTTTGAGGATGCAGGAGTACAAATGCAGGGGTACAAATGCAGGGGTATGACCTTGGCCTCAACTGTTTCCGGGATGCAGGGGTACAAATGCAGGGGTACGACCTTGACTTCCTGGACTCCAGTGATTCACTTCAGTTTCTTGAGTAGCTGGGGCCACAGGTCACCACAACTAGCTAATTTTTTCTTTTTTTCATTTTAGTAGGGATGAAGTCTCACTATATTGCCCAGGCTGGTCTCAACCCCTGGATTCAAGCAGTTTGCCTGCCTCAGAATCCCAAAATGCTGGGATTACAGGCATAAGCCACCATGCCCAGCCTGATACATTATTTCTTATTTCCTTTTGATATTAATTCAGAAAACGTGAAAATCTACTATTTTCTAAATAAGGTATAAAAAGCAAACAGTGTAGAAAAGAAGACAGAAACAGAACCACCTATTATAGTCCCCTGGAAATAATGTCATAACACAGGTATTCTCAAAATGGTCTGGAATCACAGAGATTTCCCAGTAGAGTACATGTTCCATTTCATCTTCAAAGACAACCAGGAGTTAAACAAGAGAATAAAGAAAGAATGCAAAGAATTCCATCCTTGAAAAATGTACTTGCATAAAAATATAGTTCACTAGAGACTGGAAGACAAGATAAAATAAAAAATGATGGCCGGTAGTCCCAGCCACTCGGGGAGGCTGAGGCAGGAGAATCGTCTGAATCCATGAGGTGGAGGTTGCAGTGAGCTAAGACTGTGCCACTCCCCTCCAGCCTGGGTGACAGAGGGAGACTCCATGTCAAAAACACCAAAAAATCTGATTAAGGAGCTAATTAAATACTAAAGAGTATGAACATTGATCCCATGAAATGCCATAGAATTGTGCTACCCAATAGAACTTTCTGCAGTGATGGACATATTCTGCATTGTTCTGTCCAATACAGTTGCCACTAACAACATGTGATTATTTAGCCCTCAAAATGTGGCTAGTTGGCGGGTGAAGTGGCTCACACCTGTAATCCCAGCACTTTAGGAGGCCAAGGCAGGCAGATCACTTGAGCTCAAGAGTTCGAGACCAGCTTAGGCAACATGGCAAAACCAAATTTCTATAAAAAATACAATAAATAGCTGGGTGTGGTGGCGTGCGCCTGTAGTCCCACCTACTTGGGAGGCTGAGGTGGGAGGATGGCTTGAGCCCGGGAGGCAGAGGTTGCAGTGAGCTGAGCCAGACCTTGTCTCTAAATAAATAAAAGAAATGCAGCTAGTATATCTAATGGACTGGAATTTTACATTTTATTTTTCATTAACTTTGTTTGAGACAAGGTCTTGCTCTGTCATGAAAGGTGGAGTGCAGTAGTGTGATCATCACACACTGCAGTCTTAATATCCTAGGTTTGAGTGATCCTCCCACTTCAGCCTCCCAAACAGCTGGAACTTACAGGCCTGCACTGCTATACCCAGTATGTGTATATACATATATATTACACACACACATATATATACACACACACATATACCCCCTACACATGTGTGTGAATATTATACACACACACACACACACATATATATATATAAATATAATAAGCAGGATCTCACTATATTGCCCAAGCTGGTCTCAAACTCCTGGACTCAAGAGATCCTCCCACCTTGGCCTCCCAAAGTGCTGGGATTACAAACGTAAGCCACTGTGCCCAGGTAACATAAGTTTTTAAATAGCCACCTGTACCTACTGGCTACCATATTGGACAGTGTAGCAATAAAGGATTATAAGCACACACATAGTATGATAGATTTACATCTCAGAGGGAACACCATCTGTTCAGTGTTGAAGGTAAATTGAAAGAGAGACAGGTGAAGTGGAGAAAAGTTAGAAACAATAGCACAATAATCTAGTGATGTGAACCTAAACTAATGTAAGGTCAATTGAGCTCATAAAGCAGCAATATAGTCAAGAAATATTTAGCAATTGAAATTGGATGACTGTATGTGAATGGTAAGCAAAAGAGAGACATGGGATGACTTAGGTTTCTAGTTTGAGAAACTGTGTAGATGATGGTGTTATTCTCCTTATAAAGAGAGTACAGCAAGATTTGTCCAGGGATAAAAATACTGTTTCAAGCTTAAACTTGAAAACAAGTCTGAATCATCTATCCCGTAAGAAGTTGGCTGGCTATACATGTCTGTAACTCAGAAAGTAATTAACAGCTTAGAGGTGGCCATTAAGGAAATGAATTTTGGATGGATCACCCAGGGAACATGGACAGTGAAAGCAGGGCCCAGAAAACACTGTCAGTTGGGAGGTGAAAGTCATTCTCTTCCACAAAAATTCAATGCATCTCGTTGTATTCTAGGAATCAGATTGGGCCTTTAGGGACCAAAGATGAGTAAGACAGAGGCCCTGCTCTCCAGACATTAGCTTGTAGAAGAGTCCTAATTAGGAAGAAGAGTTCATGGAATAAGAAATTCATGAAGAAGCTAGGCAAGAAATACTCAAGGAGGTAAGAAGAAAATCAGAAGAGATGTCTCAGAAGTCAAAGTAAGAACCAGTGCACTGAGTGCTACAGAAAAGGGGAAAATATCCATGAAACTGAGACAATGTGCTTATTAACCATCTTCTGCATGAGTAATTCTAGAGTGGTAGAATTAGAAGCCAGACTACAAAAAGCATAAGAGAGAATGAAAGGCATGGAAATGGGAACATTTCAATGGAAAATCTCTCTCCTGTCCTATGACAAGAGCTTTATTTAGATTCCCTCCTTAATGTCTTCTTAGGTATCTTCCTTTCCCATATCTTCAATATTTCCTTCTGTACTTGCTCTTTCCCCACTAATGGCATTTAAACAAGACTGGATAGTTCATTCTTAAATGGACCCCTTTCTACAGCTCTCATCCAATACTTCTCCCTGCCTGCACAGTTAAGAGTGAAATGAAATATATCCAAGCAGAAAAGGTCAACTGAAAATAGATTCAGTTACAGGGCAAGTTTGTAAAAGATTTATGCTGATTAGAGATAAATATTTAGTCTTCTACAAAAATATAATAGTTTTTGTTATGTTATGAAGTGGCTTTTCAGATGGCTTTGTCTAACAGGAATGATATTTAAGAGCAGCCTTCTCCAAATAGCTTCAGCTCTTGCTGCCACATTCCCAAAAGTTTAGTTTATTACCACAAAAAGCAGTGGTACTCCTTCACTAGATAAGCTCCTTGAACACAAATATGATGTCTTTATTATCTTTGAAGCCCTAATATTCAGAAGTTTGAGAGATATAACAGTCATTCAAATTTATCAGAAACAGATTTGTGTGGGCTTAAAGGTGGCCCATATGATAACTTGTCAAACTACTTTACATAGTCCACATTCAGCATTGTCCTACAAATCTCCTGAGCCAGGGTGTCATACAAGCAAATGGCTATTGATGTGGTGAAGCAAAGATCTCCTCAGCTCTTGAGATCACTAGGCAGTGTCTAAGGTGGATAGTATCAGGGCAGGTAGTCTCATACATTTACCCCGTATAGATATCAATGTCTATATGTGGCATTACATGAGCAAGCATTGCTCTGGCCTCAACGCCCCCAACAAACTAGTACATCTCCACTTTTACCTCCCAGAACTGCACACATAACAAATATCACTTAAAAACAGAGCATTCTATTATCACTTCACTTATGATATGATAATCATATCAGGGATTATGATCCCTGACATATCAGTTATGTCATCATCTTGGTATTTTGGCACTTGACCACATAGCAAACTAACTTGACACTTTAAAATATTTTAGGTGTATGAGTAAACATTTTGTGAAGGGAAGTTTCACCTTTGCAAAAAAATATTCATTACTTGCGAACTAGTACTTGTTAAATACATTTCCAAGTTTCTGGGTCTCTTTATATAGAAAACATTTGATATACACTGACTAGCTAAATAAATAATGGCAAACCAGGACAATTTACACATGTTAGGAAAACTCCACTTTCCAAGGAGATATGAACAATTATAATGGAAGTTCCATGAATGCAGGGACTTTCCTTGTGCACTACTAACCCTCATCACAGAGCTTAGTAATGGCACCCAATAGGTGGTAAATAATATTTACTGAATTAGTGACAGTCACTAAATACATAAATGGTTAAATAGTCAAAAGTACTCCTGGTTTTGCTTAAATTAAGTGATTTCTATGGATGTTTTATAATTTTGTAAATAGGGCTGGTACCACAAGACTTCTAGGAGAAAAAGAAAACAACTCATATTCTTAAGTAACCAGACAAAAGAGAAATGGTGATTAAAGTCACATGCATAAATCATTAGTGACTTGCTCCACTAAGGTGGAAATATGTGTGACCATATTAACAGACGTTTCTTTAAAATATTACCATTCCCTGACTATGTGTAGTAAATCAGGAAAATCTTTGGATGAGGGAAGGAATGCAGGGAGTTGAGGTAGGAAACAAAATTATTTCACCTTGGCACAAATATGATGATCAATAAATGTTAACTCACTTTTCAAAAAGGTAAAATTTGGAGGTTTAACATCCAACAAAATCATGTGTTTTAAACAGAAAGGCACTGGGCATATACTATCCACTTTATTTTTCTCCATAAATAAGCTAGCCATCTTTATGTGCAATATCGCTTTAAATTGGTTACTTTAAATGATCACAGGAAGCAGCATGATGGTTGAACATGTTAGGTAAGTTCCAGCAGAGCTGGGTTTGGGCAGGTCCTGTATGTGCACGCTTGGGCAAGTTATTTAAACTTGCTCAGCCTAAATTTCCTCAGTAAGAATGATATTACCTACTTTGAAGGTTTTTGCAAGAATTTCAAAATGCACATAAAGTATGCGGTATTATATCTGACACATAAATTATCAATTAACTATCAGCTATTAGGATGATAAGTAAAAGCTCAAAAATAATCTTTCAGTTACAAAGTATGGTTCTTTGAAAAAACCTAACGTTGTGTCTTAGCGTATAGGGTTGGGTAAGCATTCAAATTAAATTAATATTCTTTATTTCCTATATAATATGTATTAATAGGATCTGCATTTTAATGCCTTTTCATAGCATCCTTTATGTACTTATCTATGTGATTATTTGGTTAATGCCCCTCTGCTCCTCTAGTATATAAGTGTTATAGAAGCAGAAATGTTTGTTTTGCTCAAAACTGTATCCCCAGTGCCCAGTACTGGTCAGTTGAATAAATATTGACTGCTTAAATAAAGGCTATCATAATAAATTTCATGCTCATCTCCACTATATGAGCATGAGCACCATATTTTCTTGAAATTGGAAGAGACTTGCTAAAGAGCATAGAGATTTTTTTTAAAAAAAGTAGAGGGTTAAACTTTTAAGCATCGATTTCCTTCCAATATACCAAATTGAATAAAAAACGAAAAACCAACGACATGGCATGAAAAAGGAAATAATTCCCTGCTTTTAAGGCAAGAATCATTATTCAGCTATGACAAAAATTGCTTTATATAATTACCATACGTGCTAAAACCAACAACCATCTACAGTGATTTCCCCCCACCCCCGCTCCCTGGCCTTATACATTTTACTGTGGAGAGAATGTCCTACTGAGAGGAAGGAAATAAAAGTATTAATTGAGATCTTCGCAGTTCTTTGTTCCGTCAGTAAACAGCAATTATCCTTAAATTTCCAAATCCTTACCACCTACCTGTTCAGCAATATAATACATGAAGAGTGCTCATCCATTAGGCAACTGCTTATTCAGTGCCCATCATATATTGCACATGATGTTTAGCACTGAGGATATAGGGGAGAATAAGACAGAAAAGTCTCTTTTCATAGAGATTAAGTGTTCATTTTAGGCAATCTACTTTGTCCCTACCGTGTTCCTTGCATATATATATATACACTTACATATATATATATATGTTTTGTATTTCTACAGTGAGAACCTGACTGTTCTTTGGAATGTTTCCAGACTCAAAAAGGAAGTTATTATTACCTACATATTCATTATAAATGAATTAGATAAAAACAAAACTATTTGAAAGTCTCATGTAGTTCAATGTAATAAAATTTTACAAGTAAAATATTTTCTGCATCACCTCAAATCAGTTAAGAAAATAATGATTTTGGCCCATTCTTCTCCCTTGGCACAAATAACTAATTTCAGTGCACTGTCACACATAGTTTGAAAATGGGAGCCAAAATGAGCATTCACCAAGATAATGAAGAAAACCATAATCTGGAAGCAAAAAGTATGAGTTCGGAACACTGCCCAGACATTGTTAGCATCATTCAAGCTTTGGATGCCAGGCAGCCAACTAAATGTAGGACTTGGACTGCATGAATATGTTAGATGCTGGTTAAAGAATGCACTTTTTATTAGCCATAGTTCAGAATTTGGCTGTTAACACACATCATGTTACCAAGTCATCCAATAGGATCATATTGGAAGGACTGTATCTGTCCAAGTTTTACAACATTAATGACAGAAAATCAATGGTAATAAATATGTGTATTTAAAATAATTAAAAAGGTGGAAGCAAAAGGAAAAAAACAAGGAAGGAATATTCCCCCCAAATTATCATTATACTTATCATTTTTATGTATAAGAGATACAACATTCAAGGGGCCATGCATTTTTATAGGAACTATGTACAGACAGCAGTAAATAACAGTTATATAGTGAGGAAAATAATTTGTTTCAATATTCTTTTAATCTTTCTTTATATTAAGAAGAAAGTCTCAGTTTGGTGGTAATATGCTTTTAACACTTAGAGTGTGAGTGCAGATTTGCTAGCCTTTGTGAACCAACAATATCTAGCTCAAATAATATTTCTTACAGCTGTGGTTCTCAAATATTGCTTACGCCTGCTGTTTTGGATTTCTTTACATTCTTAAAATTGTTCAGGAACCCAAAATAACTTATATTTATGTGAATTACACATATCAACTTTACCATATTAATTAAACTTGAGAAAACCTATACTTATCAACTGATTTAAAATAATAGTAAACACATTACAAGTTAACATAACTTTTATGAAAAACAACTATATTTTCAAAAAAGAAAAAAACGTAAAAAGAATGACATTTAGATTCTTATTTCCAATTCCCTTTAATATCTGGCTTAAGGTGATAGGAGTAGATAAAAAATAGAAACAAAAAATAGGAAATGGATAGATTTTTATATTTACTTCTGCATTAAATCCTTTGCAATGTGTTGTTTGGTTGAAGCATACAAAGTAATTCCATCTTCGCACAGATATAAACTTGGAATGGAAAGAAACATTTTAATAGCCTTTTTATATATGAGTGGTTATTCCTTTATGATACTACTACACCAAAACTTGACAAGCAGTTTCTTAAAGATTAGTTGCAATGTGGAATCTGAAACAATATCAATGAACTACTTGTACCCTATAAGCCTGTAACAGAATGTATTATTTTGAAAATAGTTTTAATACTGTAGATGCCCTGAAGAGGTCTAAGTGAAACTCCCACCTGTGTGGTTCCCTGGCCCACATGTCAAGAACCACTGGCTTACACTATTTTTTAACTAGCCAAGTGATGTTGGTTTTCCATTCATGATAATAACGACTTGTTTAAAAGGAAACTTTTGCTTTAAATAATCAGTTTAAAGAAATATGTTAAATTACAATACAGAGGGTATTTATGGGAAAAACGTGAATTTTGAAAACAATAAACAAACATAAGCTGCAAACCTACCCTCTACACTTATTTTATAATGAAATAAACTGCTAGACAGCTTTCCCTCACCTTATCTCTTTGCTGGCTTCTCCTAATGGTGAGGTCTTGGCTCTGTATGTCAACTCTTCAGGAAGGTGATTCTCTGCCACTTAGGTGGCAGATTAAAGGGCAATACTAGGAAACACTGATAGTAAGGAAGAACTTTTCTTCTCCTGAATTTTATAAAAATAAAATATCCATAAGGCACCTCTATATTACTATTAATCCACTCAAATATATATTGATTTCCTATTAAGTGGCAGCATTGTACAAATAATTTGTAAGACTCACAAACCTACTAAATAGATATCCTGTCTTTAAAGAGTTTGCATTCTGATTGGCAAAATTTTGACCAGTTAGGTATACAAAAATTTAGACTAGAAAGGTAGAAGTATTACAAGACAGAGTAGTCAAAATTCTAGGGAATAAAGATTATCCTCACTTCAGAGAAAGGGTGCCCTTTGAGGCTGACGTGGGTTGTAGGTCAGATGAAGAGATTTGGAGGTAGGGCACTCATTTATAAACAAAAGGCAGCAATTAGTTATAGGTTTAAATTGCTCCAAAGGTAACAGGCCTTTAAGAAAGTCAATATCATATTCTTAAGCAGGAGTCCCTGATGCTGGGGAAGGGGGAAAGGGTCACAGAAGTCAGCCTTGCTGGAGATCACCGGCCTGCGTATCTCAGGCCCACGGGGGTGCCCCACCGAGGCTTTGCCTCACCTGACCGTCCTGACCACGAAGTACACCAGCACCGCGCCGCTCACCACCATCAACACGGTCAGGGCCCGCTGGGTCATGGGCTTGTCGCCAGGGTTGGGGCTCACAGCAAGGCCGCCACCCACCGAGCCTTCCCCGGCCTTCCCTCCGTGATCGTCCGTCTCAAGCCCGGCCACAGGGTTGCTGCCATTGCCTCCCTCGGAGCCCCGCGGCCCCGCAGCTTCAGCCAGACCACGGCCCGGCTGCTGGGCAGGGGTAGGGCCCGGTGGCAGCGGCGGTAATGTCCGTGGTCTAGGGTCAGGAGGCCCAAGACCTGGCGCGGCCTCGGCTGCCTGCAGCAGGACTGCCAGGGGCCCGCTTAGTTCAGGCAGCAACAGCAGGAGGAGGACGGAAGCCAAGAGGTGGCTGAGACAGCAGCAGCACTGCGAGGCCTTCATCGTTCCCGGACCGCTCTCTCACCACCCGGGAGCCGCCAGGCCCGCCACGCTGGCTCCAAGAGGGACCATAGGCGCGGTGGAGAATGAAGCAGAGGTGACCAAACGCCAGGGAGAGGCCCGGTCGTGGCAGGTGGCAGAAGCTACAGCAGTGGCAGCTGCCCGGAGAACCGGAAGTTCGTACATCTCAGCGGCCACTGCTGCTAAGGACGCCTTCGGTTGCTAACTTGTAGGGGCGGATGCACTTGGTGACGTCAGAGGCCTAGCGCCCAGTGCGCACGCGCACTTGTGTAAAAAGCGAGGACGTGACCGTTTTGGAAGCATTGTTCTTTTCACTGTTAGTGAGGAGCGGTCAAGGATGCGTATTAAGAAAGTAAGTAGACAAAAAGAGATTGTGTAAAATGTACAGCAACTCTCTCATGCAGGAACCCTGAGAGATTGGAAACTCATAATCTGAATTCATTGGTGTCAAACTGCAATAACACATTTAATCTGTAAGCCAGAAGGGCTTAGTTTTCCTTAGCTTCATTACAAGCTTTAAGCAGGCTTTTTTTCCTGCCTATGGGTCCCTGACCTCCCTTTCTAAAGAGCATTTGCTTGTAATGAGTTCATGTCCTTTGTAGGCACATGGATGAAGCTGGAAACCATCATTCTGAGCAAACTATTAGAAGGACAGAAAACCAAACACTGCATGTTCTCACTCATAGGTGGGAATTGAACAATGAGAACACTTGGACACGGGATGGGGAACATCACACACCGGGGCCTGTCGTGGGGTAGGGGGGAGGGATAGCATTAGGGGATATACCTAATGTAAATGACGAGTTAATGGGTGCAGCACAGCAACATGGCACATGTATACATATGTAACAAACCTGCACGTTGTGCACATATACCCTAGAACTTAAAGTATATTAAAAAAAATTACTTTAGAAAACTTTACCATTGTAAGTTATTTCTCTTCCCTTTTCAGATGTAAATATTTTTTAAAGCTTCTGGCCAGTTATATAATTGAAAACTATCTCAAGGGTATGGAAAGCCATCATGCCTTTGAAATATAATCAGCAAGGAAGGTAGTGGGCCATCTCTTATTTTGTGTGAGAGGAAAGGAACCTAACTGTTGTAGGCTTCTCGCTTCAAGTTGTAAAACCACCTCCTGTCATGGAGGAGAAAATTTACTTTTCCTTTGGGTAAAGTCAATCAGCAAACTCAGGTGGCCGGTGATCTTCCCAAAATAGCTCTTAATAACTCTCCACTCCTTTTTTTCTTTTAGAGGAGTTGAGATTAGAAGAGTTTTATCCCCTTTCCCAACAGCAGTAGTCTTCAATAATGTCTTCCTTGCCTGTTTGACTTCAGTAATATGGAACTTCAATTTGTGCAGATAACTAGAAGTGGCCGCATGATGTACCTCTCACCAATGAGATGCCTGTCAAGGGTATACGTGGGTCTTTTGAGTAAGTTATTGTTTTCATTGCTAAAAGAGAGACAGATACAGGTAGATATATACAGAGAGAGAGCCAGAAACACACACACATGCATACACACACCTACCTCTCTCATTATTCCTTTCCCCCTTTCACTTGCCTGCCCTCTCTGCACAGAAAGTTCTGGCCCTAACCTTGAAAAGAATATGACCCAGCTAGTCCTCTGATCCTAGTAGACTGTGGGATATCTGGCGTAAACTATGACTAAACCTATAGCCTGGCACCAAATGCAGCCAAGGTTAGCTTAAGTTAGTCAACCCCAGCTTGACCAAAGAAGTGAAAAATAAATGCTTATTTGCTGTATGCCACTGATATTTCTATGGTTATTGATTATGCCACATTATTCTAGCAATAGTTGATTAAGAAGCTAGAATCAAATCATGGTATTAATTAGGAGAATATAATAATGTGGCAGTAACCTGATACAAATTTCTCATTCTGAGATTTTTTCCCCTTATTTATGTATTTTTTTTTTATATCCTGTGCTTGGTACAACTTGTTTGCAAGCCAATTGATAACAAGTAAATGAACAAGTATATTAAAATTAAGAGAAAAATTCATAAACAACTAATTTTACTTAGTTTGAAAGATTGTATTTCACATAGATATTTGTGCTCAAAATTGTAACTTTCTATTGCACAAACAAAACACAGTATCTTCTCCTAGGAAAATTTTTGTTCATTCCCATGACAGATTTCAAGATGTCATTATATAATGATGTTTTACAAACAATATGGTATTCTAAAAAGAGCACAGTAACTTCCAGGTATGTTGCCTGCTTAAGATCACTTTTGTTGAGAATTGAGTATCTCTGAAAAATCTGATTTTGTTTTTGTTGTTGTTGTTTAGTTAGTTGGTTGCTATATCAGGAGAGATCTGTACTTAAAAAGTTTATCCTGGCAGTAATATAGCCATTTTAAGTGAAGGTAGAAAGTGCTGGGCACCAAGCAGGTTAGTATATAGTCCTAGGGCTATAGAGGCCTGTAGGATTGGATTAATGGGAAAAAAGTTAGGGAAATGGACAGGATATGACAATATCTGGATGCAGGTAGTAAGGGAAAGGAAAGAGATTCTTAAATTTCAGTGTACATGAAAATCACTCTGAGAGCTTGTTAAAAATGCATATATAGTCCATGTCTCCACTTCCAAAAATTCTGTCCAGAATTTCTAAAATAGTGATCTAGAATCTCCAATTTTAACAAATTCCCTTTCTTATTCTGTTTTGGGTAATTGAGAGCTGCATTTTGAGAAACATTAGAACATAGCTTTCCTAATCATTTGGAAACAATAGTTTGATTCTAAGATTTCAGAATCATTTAGCTCTTTGCATGTCCCAGTTATTGCCAAGGACTGCTGCAGATGGGAATTTGGGGTAACAAATGATACCAAGGTTTTATGCCTGCACATCTGGGAGAATGATAATGCCATTAATCAAGATGAAGAACATGACAAAATCAGATTTTGGAAGGAAGGAAAGATAATGCACATTTTCTTTTTTGTCATTCCTTTTTTTTTTTTTGACAAGTTGAATGTTGGACTTTTTTGGGAGGAGGCATTAAATACTAACTCTATTCTATTTTTTGGGAGAGGCATTAAATACTAACTCTATTCCATTTATAATGTGGAATGAAGTTCTGAGTAAGGAAGATGGGAAATCAAAAGGGCATTTTATTACTGATAAATGCCATTTGGAAGCTGACACTAGGGTGTACCACAAATGGGCTTCTTTACACTGAAACTCAACATTAAGATGCCTAATCCTTGCAGTTCTGCCAGCCAGAAGCAACTGCCTTACCCTGCTCCCTGAAAGCAGCTAAGAGACAAACTATCCTGTCCACTCTACCTAAAACAGCAGTTTACAAAATTTGTAGTATAGATCTTGTATGTTTCATTTATAACACACACTTAAGATTCCAAAATTAGTGTGATTATTTTTACCACTTGAACCTAAGTTCTATGAAGCAAGGGTCAATCTCATTTATTCACTACTCAATACTCAGAATTTAGCACAGTGCTAAAAAAGAGTATATCAAAAAAGACAAAGGTGGGCATTACATGATGGTGAAGAGTTTAACAGGAAGAGCTAACTATGCTAAATATATAAGCACCCAATACAGGAGGAGCTAGATTCACAAAGCAAGTTCTTAGAGACCTACATAGAGACTTAGAATCCCACACAATAGTAGTGGGAGAATTTAACACCCCATTGACAATATTAGACAGATCATCAAGACGTAAAATTAACAAAGATATTAAGGACCTGAACTCAGCTCTGAATCAAGTGGACCTGATAGATATCTACAGAGTTCTCCATCCCAAAACAACAGAGCATAACATTCTTCTCATTGCCACATGACACTTACTCTAAAATTGATCAAATAATCAGAAGTAAAACACTCCTCAGCAAATGCAAAGGAACTTAAATCATAACAGTCTATCAGACCACAGTGCATTCAAGTTAGAACTCAAGATTAAGAAATTCGCTCAAAACCACACAACTACATGGAAATTAAACAAACTGCTCCTGAATGACTCTTGGGGAAATAGTGAAATTAAAGCTACAATCAAGAAGTTATTTGAAACTAAAGAGAACAAAGAGACAACATACCAGAATCTCTGGGACTCAGCTAAAGCAGTGTTAAGAGGGAACTTCATAGCACTAAATGAACACATCAGAAAGCTAGAAAGATCTCAAGTTAACAACCTAACATCTCAACTAAAAGTACTAGGAGCCAGGAGCAAACAAATCCTAAAGCTAGCAGAAGACAAGAAATGACCAAGATTAGAGCTGAACTGAAGGAGATAGAGACACAAAATGCTCTTAAACAAATCAATGAATCCAGGAACTAGTTTTCTGAAGAAAGTAATAAAATAGACTGCTGACTAGACTAATAAAGAAGAAAAGAGAGAAGTATCAAAAAAACACAACCAGAAATGATAAGGGGGTATTACTACTGACCCCACAGAAATACAACCATCAGAGAATACTATAAACACGTCTATGCACATAAACTAGAAAATCTCATAGAAATGGATAAATTTCTAGACACATACACCCTCCCAAGACTGAACCAGGAAGAACTTGAATCTCAGAATAGACCAATACTGCACAGCAAAAAGCTTATCCACCACGATCCAGTTGGCTTCACCTCTGGAATGCAAGGTTGGTTCAACATATGCAAATCAATAAATGTAATTAATCACATAAATAGAACTAAAAGCAAAAACCACATGATTATCTCAATAGATGTAGAAAGGCCTTTAATAAAATTCAACATCCCGTTATGTTAAAAATGCTCAATAAACTAGATATTGAAGGAAGATGCCTTGAAATAATAATAGCCATTTATAACAAACCCACAGCCAATATCATACCGAATGGATAAAAGCTGGAAGCATTCCCCTCGAAAGCCAGCACAAGACAAGGATGCCTTCTGTCACCACTCCTATTTAACAGAGTATTGGAAGTTCTGGCCAGGGCAATTAGGCAGGAGAAAGAAATAAAGGGTATTCAAATAGGAAGAGAGGAAGTCAAATTACCTTTGTTTGAAGATCACATGATTCTGTATCTAGAAAGCTCTATAGTCTCAGCGCCAAAGCTTCTTACACTGATAAGCAACTTCAGAAAAGTCTCAGGATACAAAATCAATGCAAAAATTGTTAGCATTTCTATACACTAACAGCCAAATCAGGAATGAACTCCATTCACAATTGCCACAAAAAGAATAAAATACCTAAGAATACAGCTAACAAGGGAAGGGAAGGACTTCTTCAAGGAGAAACAAAACCACTGCTCAAATCAGGGAGGACACAAACAAATGGAAAAATATCCCATGCTTATGGATAAGAAGAATCAATATTGCAAAAATGGCCATACTGCCAAAAGTAATGTATAGATTCAATACTAATTCTATTAAACTACCACTGACATTCTTCACAGAATGTAAAAAAAAAAAAAACTATTTTAAAATTCATATGGAATGAAAAGGAACCTGAATAGCCAAAACAATCCTAAGCAAAAAGAACAAAGCTGGATGCATCACACTGCCCAACTTCAAACTATACTACAAGGCTACAGTAACCAAATCAGAGTAGTACTGGTATAAAAACAGATGCATAGAGCAATGGAACAGAATAGAGAACTCAGAAATAAGGTCACATACCTATAACCATTTGATCTTTGGCAAACCTGACAAAAACAAGCAATGGGGAAAAAATGTCCTATTTAATAAATGGTGCTGGGAGAAGTGGCTAGCCATATGCAGACAATTGAAACTGGACCCCTTCCTTACACCATGTACAAAAATTAACTCAAGATTGATTAAAGACTTAAATGTAAAACAATACTATGCAAACCTGAGAAGAAAATCTAGGCAGTACCAGTAAGGACAAAGGCACGGGCAAACATTTCATGATGAAAATGCCAAAAGCAATTGCAACCAAAGCAAAAATTGAGAAATGAGATCTAATTAAGCTAAAGAGCTTCTGCACAGCAAAAGAAACTATCATCAGAGTGAACAGACAGCCTATAGAATGGGAGAAAATTTTTGCAATCTGTCCATCTGACAAAGGTCTAATACACAGAGTCTGCAAGGAACTTAAGTTTACAAGAAAAAATAACCCCATTAAAAAGTGGACAAAGGACATAAACAGACTCTCATAAGACATACCTGTGGCCAACAGTCATATAAAAAAAGCTCAACATCACTGATCATCAGAGAAATGCAAATCAAAACCACAATGAGATACCAACTCATGCCAGTAAAAATGGCTGTTACTAAAAAGTCAAAAAAACATGCCAATGAGGTTGCAGAGTATTGGAAGTTCTGGACAGGGCAATCAGGCAAGAGAAAGAAAGGGTATTCTTTTATTTCTGTGTAAAAGGAACAGTGTAAAAGCAATACTTTTACACTGTTTGTGGGAGTGTAAATTAGTTCAACCATTGTGGAAGACAGTATTATGATTCCTCAGAGACCTACAGGCAGAAATATCATTTGACTCAGCATTCCCATTACTGGGTATATACTCAAAAGAATATAAATCATTCTTATTGTAAGGATACATGCATGTGTGTGTTCATTGCAGGACTATTCACAATAGCAAAGAAATGGAATCATCCTAAATGCCCACCAATGATAGACTGGATAAAGAAAATACGGTACATATATACCATGGAATAGTATGCAGCCATAACAAGAAAACATATCATGTCCTTTGCAGGGACACGGATGGAGCTGGACGACATCATCCTTAGCAAACTAGTGCAGGAACAGAAAAGGAAACACCACATGTTCTCACTTATAAGTGGGAGCTGAATGATGAGAACACGCGGACACATGGGGGGAATAACACATACTGGGGCCTGTGGGAGGGGCGGTGTTGTGGGGAGGAAGAGCATCAGGAAGAATAGCTAATGGATGCTGGGCTTAATATCTAGGTGATGGGATGATTTGTGCAGCAAACCACCATGGCATACGTTTACCTCTAACAAATCTGCACTCCTGCACATGTACCCCTGAACTTAAAAGTTCAAGAAAAAAAAGATAAAGAAATTAAAGGAACATTCAAACAACAACAAAAACAACAGCAAAAAGAGTAGTAGTGAATAACCCCTTCTGTTTTATCAAGACAGAAATCTTTCCAAAGACACAGTTAAGCCCAGACCTCAGGAGATTTTTGGAAATTGACCAAAATAAACTTACCTTTTGATGAGCATAAATTAATATTTCTTGTATTCTGCTAATGAAATAATAATACAATCATATATTTGATATTCCCAATGAATGTATAAGCACATTTAAATCATTTTCTGAATATTATTTTATATTGAATTACTTTTATTCTGTGACCCTAGATATTCAAATATATTTCCTTCAGAAATCCCACTATTATAAACAAACTGTGAATTTCACATTTTTGATCTTTTCAAAAATATTTTTTAATTTTTAATTTTCATAGATTAAGGGGTACAAGTACAGTTGTGTTCTATAGATGTATTGTGTAGAGGTGAAGTTTGGGCTTTTAGTTTACCCATCACCCGAGTAGTGTACTAGTGTACATTATACCCAATAGGTAGTATTTCAATCATCACCACCCTTCCTCTTCCACCTTTTGTTGTCTTCAATGTCTATTATTCCACACTGTATGTCCATGTATACCCATTGTTTAGCTTCCACTTGTAAGTGAGAACATGCAATTATTCCCTTTCTGTATCTGAGTGATTGCCCTAAGGATAATGACCTCTAGTACCATCTTTGATGCAAAATACATTATTTTGTTCTTTTTTTAATGACTGAGTGGTATTCTATGGCATACAGACACACACACACCACACATATCACATTTTCAGGCGTCAAGTTAGAGCTTTCCTGATGTGGCCAGAAAGTGGGGCAGACTGCCTTATGACTATGAGAGTATAGGTGTGAAGCAGCTACCATACTCTTAGAGGTTACTGGGATATTCATGTAGTGCTCAACACAGATTTGATCAATTGAAAGTATGAATAAATGAATGAATTAATGAATCACATCAAGCACACAACATATTTTAAAAATGTTTATCAGAAAGCTTAGAATAATACATTCTTAGAATGGAGATTACTTTTTCCCTAGTGACAAGTAAAATAATTTTTAACATAGTGTCTTGTAATCAACATCATTCTTGAATACTTGCCTTTTTTTTTTCTCCCATCCCATATGTTTGTCTTGGCTTCAGATTAATCAGGAAGCCTTTAAATTACAGAGTTTCTTTTCATCTTTCTTCTTCTGTGAGAGAATAAGTAGTTTTCACGTAACAGGATATTTAGTGTATGTTTCTAGGATTGGTGTATTTATTTGTATCCTCTAGTGATTCATGTTTAACAGAGATGTTTTTAAACAAAACATAGGAACAATGTGGATATTAACACTGGAATTCCCAGTTTCTACTTCCCTTAACATATTTTCTGTAATTGAGTGATATTTTCTTACATATATCTAATAAGACATAATAAAAAACTGTATTCACAGTTACTTACATATTCTGTAAATTTTTCAAAGCTCTTTTTTAAAAATTTTAATTGAAAATTATACATATTTATAGGGTACAATGTGATGTGTTGATACATGTATACATTGTGTAATGATCAAATCAGAGTAATTAGCATATTAATCACCTCAAACATTTATTTTTGTGTGTGTGGTGGGAACATTCAAATTTCTGTCTTCTAGCTATGCAGAGATATTCCAAATTACAATTAGAATAAGTTCTGGTGTTCTGTTGCACAGTGGGGTGACTATAGTTAATAATATGGTATTGTAAATCAAATCTCTTTCTTGAGGTTGCAGTGCACTAGGCTAGGATGTTGGCGAAGAGTAGCATATGTATCTTCAATTTCAACCTAAGTAAAAAAAAAAATATAAATAAGAAGAAGCATACCAAGAGGCAATGGCAAATTGAATAAGCGGGTCAGTGATGCTGGGTAAATATCTAAACTACACTATGAGCTTGGGGAATGTTTTGTGTGCTGATGAGAAGAATGCATATTCTGCAATTCTTGGATGGAGTGTTCTCTAAATATCTGTTAGATCCATTTGTTCTAGAGTGCAATTTAAGTTCATTATTTCTTTGTTGACTTTCTGCCTTGATGATTTGTTTAGTGCTTTCAGTGGAGTGCTGAAGTATTCCACTAATACTGTGTTTCTATCTATCTCTTTTTTTAGATCTACTGGTAATTGCTTTATGAATCTGGGAGCTCCAGACCTAGGTGCATATATATTTTGAATTGTTATTTCTTCTTGTTGAATTCATCCTTTCATCATTATATAATGATGTTTGTTGTCTTTTTTAAGTAAATATTTAATTTTTTTTATTTCAATAGGTTTTTGGGGAACAGGTGGTGTTTGATTACATGAATAAGTCATTTAGTGGTGATTTCTGAGATTTTGGTACATCCATCAACCAAGCAGTGTACACTGTACACAATTTGTAGTCTTTTATCCCCCCCCCACCCCACCCTTTCCCCTACATCTCCAAAGTAAGTCCAATGTATCCTTTTTATGTCTTTGCATCCTCATAGCTTAGCTCCCACATATGAGTGGGAACATATGATGTTTGGTTTTCCATTCCTGAGTTACTTCACTTAAAAGAATAGTCTCCAATTCCATCCAGGTTGCTGCAGATGCCATTATTTCATTCCTCTTTATGGCTGAGTAGTATTCCATGGGGGGTGTGTGTGTGTTTGTGTGTGTGTGTGTGTGTATATATACATATATATATACACATATATATACATATATACACATATATATACATATATACACATATGTATACATATATACACATATATATACATATATACACATATATATACATATATACACACATATATACATATATATACACACATATATACATATATATATATATATCTCACATTTTCTTTATCCACTCATTGATTGATGGGCATTTGGACTGCTTCCATATTTTTGCAGTTGCAAATTGTGCTGCTATATAAATGCATGTGCAAGTTTTTTTTTTTCCGTATTATGATTTCTTTTCCTCTGGGTAGATACCTAATAGCGAGATTACTGGATCAAACGGTAGATCTACTTTTAGTTCTTTAAGGAATCTGCACAGTTTTCCATACTGGTTGTACTAGTTTACATTCCCACCAACAGCGTAAAAGTGTTTTCTTTTCACTGAATCCATGCTAACACCTCTTATTTTTTGATTTTTTGAATGATGACCATTCTTGCAGGAGTGAGCTGGTATCACATTGTGGATTTGATTTGCATTTCTCTGATAATTAATGAGGTTAAGCATTTTTCCATATTCTTGTGGGTCATTTGTATATCTTCTTTTGAGAATTGTCTATTTATGTCCTTAGCCCACTTTTTTGATGGGATTTTTTTTTTCTTTCTTGCCAGTTTGTTTGAGTTCTTTGTAGTTTCTGGATATTAGTCCTTTGTCAGATGTACGGATTGTGAAGATTTTCTCCCACTGTGTGAGTTGCCTACTAATTCTGCTGATTATTTCTTTTGCTGTGCAGTAGCTTTTTAGTTTAATTAAGTCTCATCTATTTATCTTACTTTTTGTTGCATTTGCCTTTGGTTTCTTGGTCATGAAGTCTTCATTCTTTTTGCTTAGTATTTCTTTGGCTATGTGGGCTCTTTTTTGGTGCTGTATGAATTTAAGGATATTTTCTTTGTAGTTCTGTGAAGAAATGATGGTGGTATTTTGATGAGAATTGCATTGAATTTGTAGATTGCTTTTGGCAGTATAATCATTTTTACAATATTGATTCTACCCATCCGTGAGCATGGGATGTATTACCATTTGTTTGTGTCATCTATGATTTTTTTCAGCAGTGTTTTGTAGTTTTCCTTGTAGATGTCTTCCCTGCACTTGGTTAGGTATATTCCTAAGTATTTTTTTTTTTTTTGCAAGTATTGTGAAAGTGGATGAGTTGTTGATTGTATTCTCAGCTTGGTCACTGTTGGTGTGTAGCAGAGATACTGATTTGTAGTTCATTAATTTTGTACCCTGCAACTTTGCTGAATTCATTTACCAATTCTAGGAGCTTTTTGGATGAGTCTTTAGGGTTTTCTAGGTTACAATGATAACATCAAGCAACAGCAACAGTTTGACTTTCTGTTTATCGATTTGGATGCCCTTTATTTCTTTACCTTGTTTGAATGCTCTGGCTAGGACTTCCAATAATATGTTGAATAGGAATGGTGAAAGTGGGCATCCTTGTCTTGTTCCAGTTTTTGGGGGAATGCTTTCAACTTTTTGCCATTCAGTATAATGTTGGCTGTGGGTTTGTCATAGATGGCTTTTATTACCTTAAGGTTTGTCCCTTCTATGTCAATTTTGCTGAGGGTTTTAATCATAAATGGATGCTGGATTTGGTCAAACGCTTTTTCCACATCTATTGAGATTATCATGTGATTTTTGTTTCTAATTTTGTTTATGTGATGTATCACATTTATTGACTTCCATATGTTAAACCATCCCTGTATCCCTGGTATGAAACCCACTTCATCTTGGTAGATTATCTTTTTGATATGCTGTTGGATTCAGTTCTCTAGTATTTTGTTAAGGATTTTTGCATCTACGCTCATCAAGGATATTGGTCTGTAGTTTCCTTTTTTTGTTACGTTCTTCCCTGGTTTTAGTATTCGGGTAATACTGGCTTCATAGAATGATTTAGGGAGGAGTCCATCTTTCTGTATTTTTTGGAATAGTGTGAATAGGATTGGTACCAATTCTTCTTTGAATGCCTGATAGAATGCAGCTGTAAATCCTGGGCTGTTTTTTGGGTTGGCAGTTTTTAAATTACCATTTCAGTCTCGCCACTTCTTGTTATAGGTCTGTTCAGAGATTCTATGTCTTCCTGGTTTAATCTGGGAAGGTTGTATATTTCCAGGAATTTATCTATCTCCTCTGGGTTTTCTAGTTTATGCACACAAAGGTGTTCATAGTAGCCTTGAATAATCTTTTGTATTTCCATGGTGTCAATTGTAATATCTTCCATTCCATTTCTTATTTTATTTGTTTATTTATTTATTTATATTTTGAGAAAGAGTCTCGCTCTGTCACCCAGGCTGGAGTGCAGTGGTGTGATCTCGGCTCACTGCAACCTCTGCCTCCAGGCTTCAAGCAATTTTCCTGCCTCAGCCTACCGAGTAACTGGGATTACAGGCATGCACCAGTATGCCCAGCTAATTTTTGCATTTTTGGTAGAGACAGGGTTTCACCATGTTGGCCAGGCTGATCTTAAACTCCTGACTTCAAGTGATCCACTCACCTCAGCCTCCCAAAGTGCTGGGATTATAGGCATGAACCACTGCACCCAGCCCCATTTCATTTCCAACTGAGCTTATTTGGATTTTCTCTCTTCTTTTCTTGGTTAATTTCACTAATTGTTTGTCAATTTTATTTATCTTTTCAAAGAACCAGCTTTTTGTTTCATTTATCTTTTGTATTGTTTTTGCTTGTGTGTTTGTTCCAATTTCATTTAGTTCTGCTCTGATCTTTATTACTTCTTTTCTGCTGGTTTTGGGTTTGGATTGTTCTTGTTTCTCCAGTTCTGTGACGGTGACCTTAGATTGTCTATTGCTTTTTCAGACTTTCCGATGTAGGCATTTAATGCTGTGAACTTTCCTTTTAGCACTGCTTTTGCTGTATCCCAGAGGTTTTGGTAGTTTGTGTGTCACTATTATCGTTCAGTTCAAAGAATTTTTAGATTTCCATCTTGATTTTATTATTTACCCAATGATCATTCAGAGGCAGGTTATTTAATTTTCATGTATTTGCATGGTTTTGAGGGTTCCTTTTGGAGTTGATTTCTAATTTTATTCCACTGTGGTCTGGGAGAGTACTTGATACAATTTCGATTTTTTAAAAAATTTACTGAGACTTGTAGCCTTCCATATGGTCTGTCTTGGAGAATGTTTCATGTGGTGATGAATAGAATGTATATTCTACAGTTGTTGGGTAGAATGTTCTGTAAATATCTGTTAAGTCCATTTGTTGTAGGTTATAGTTTAGGTCCATTGTTTCTTCATTGACTTCCTGTCTTGATGACCTGTCTAGTGCTGTCAGTGGAGTATTAAAGTCCCACATTATTTTTGTATTGCATTCTGTCTCATTACTTAGGTCTAGTAGTAATTGTTTTGTAAATTTGGGAACTCCAGTGTTAGGTGCATATATATTTGTAATTTTGATATTTTCCTGTTGGACTAGTCCTTTTATCATTAGACAATGTTTATTGTTGTCTTTTTTAACTGCTGTTGCTTTAAAGTTGGTTTTGTCTGATATAAGAATAGCTACTTTTGCCCACTTTTGGTGTCCATTTGCATGCAATATCGTTTTTCACCCCTTTACCTTCAGTTGATGTTAGTCCTTGTGTGTTAGGTGAGTCTCCTGAAGACAGCAGAAACTTGCTTGGGGAATTCTTATCCATTCTCCCATTCTGTATCTATTAAGTGGAGCATTTAGGCCATTTATAATCAATGTTAGTTTTGAGATATGAAGTACTATCTATTCATCATGCTATTTTTTGCCCAAATACATTTTTTTCATTGTGTTATTGTTAGCAGGTCCTGTGAGATTTATGCTTTAAGGACGTTCTATTTTGGTGTATTTCAGATATTTGTTTAAAGATTTAGAGTTCCTTTTAGCAGTTCTTGTAGTGCTGGCTTGGTAGTGTCAAATTCTCTTAGCATTTGTTTGTCTGGAAAAGACTGTATCTTTCCTTCATTTAATCAAGCTTAGTTTCTCTGGATTCGTAATTCTTGCCTGATAGTTGTTTTGTATAAGGAGGCTAAAAATAGTACCCCAATCTCTTCTAGCTTGTTGGGTTTCTCCTAAGAAATCTGCTGTTAATCTGATAGGTATTCCTTTATAGGTTACCTGATGCTATTGCCTCACAGCTCTTAATATTGTTTCCTTTGTCTTGACTTTAGATAACCTAATGACTGTGTGCCTAGGCAATGATCTCTTTGCAATGAATTTACCAGGTGTTCTTTGAGCTTCTTGTATTTGGATGTCTAGATCTCTAGCAAGGCTGGGGAAGTTGTCCTTGATAATTCCCTCAAATATGTTTTCCAAACTTTCAGGTTTCTCTTCTTCCTCAGGAACACTAGTTATTCTTAGGTTTGGACTTTTAACATAGTTCCAGACTTCTTGGAGGCTTCGTTCATTTTTTATTCTTTTTTCTTTGTCTTTGATGGATTGGGTTAATTCAAAAGCTTTGTCTTTGAGCTCTGAAGTTCTTTCTTCCACTTGTTTGATTCTATTACTGAGACTTTCCAGTGTATTTTCCAATTCTCTGTGTCCTTGATTTCCAGAAGTTGTGGTTGTTTTTTATTAATGCTATCAATCTCACTGAAGAACTTTCCTTTCATATCATGTATCATCTTTTTGATTTATTTAAGTTGGACTTCACTTTTCCCTGATGCCTCCTTGATTAGCTTAATAATCAACCTTTTGAATTCTATTTCTGACAATTCAGAGATTTTTGCCTTGGTTTGGATCTGTTGCCGGTTAGCTGGTATGATCTTTTGAGGGCGTTAAAGAACCTTGTTTTGTCATACTACCAGAATTGCTTCTCTGGTTCCTTCTCATCTGGGTAGACTATGTCAGAGGGAAGATCTGGGATTCAAGGGCTGCTGTTTAGATTATTTTGCCCCATGGGCTGCACCCTTTATGTAGTGTTCTCTCCCCTCTCCTAGGAATGGGGCTTCCTGAGAGCTGAACTGTCATAATTATTTTTGCTCTTCTGGGCCTAGTCACCCAATGGAGCTACTGGGCTCCAAGTTGGTACTGGGGAGTGTCTGCAGAGTCCTGTGATGTGATCCATCTTCAGGTCTTGCAGCCATGAATACCAGCACATGCCCCAGTGGATGTAGCAGGGGAATGAAATGGACTCTGTGAGGGTCCTTGGTTGTATTTTTGTTTGGTGTGCTGGTTTTGTGTTGATTGGGCTCCTGCCAGGAGGTGGCGCTTTCAGGAGTGCATCAGCTGCAGTCCTATAGGGAGGATGCAAACTTGCCCTAGGTACACTTGGTTAAGTATTCAGGTTTGCCAGGTGGTGGGCAGTGCAGTAGAGCTCCCAGGAGATTATGACCATTGTCTTTGGCTACCAGGGCTAGTACAGAAAGACCACCAGGTGGGGGTAGGGATAGGCATGTCTGAGCTCAGAGGCTCTGACATGCTGCTCTGTTTGTCCAAGCGGGAGGTGCAAGCTAGTCCTGCCTTCTACCCTTTGTTGTCTCTTTTTGCTATTGCTTTAAAATCAATTTTATCTAAGAATAGCTACTCCTCCTCAGTTGTGGTTTCTATCTGCATGAAATATCTTTCCCCCCTCCATTTACTTTGACTCTATAAGGATCCTTACATGTGAGGTGGGTCTCCTGAAGACAGCAGATATTTGGTTTGTGATTTTTTAAAAAAAATTCATTCTGACAATGTATCTTTTAAGTAGATTATAGAGACCATTTATATTCAACATTAATGTTGAGATGTGAGATACTGTTTCAGTCATCGTATTGATGGTTACCTAGTGACTTTGTTTTTTGCATTGTGTTATTGTTTTATAAGTCCTGTGAATTTTATGCTTTCAGGAGTTTCTATTCTGGTGGGTATCAATCTTTTGTTTCAACAATTAGAACTCCTTTTAGCATTTTTTTGTAGGGCTATCCTTGAGTGACACATTCCCTTAGCATTTGCTTGTCAAAGAAAGACTTTATGTCTTCTTCATTTATGGAATTTAGTTTTGCTGGATATAAAATTCTTGGCTGACAGTTACTCTGTTTAAGAAGACTAAAGGTAGTACCCCAATCTCTTCTAACTTGTACGGTTTCTACTAAGAAGTCTGCTATTAGTCTGAGAGCTTTTCCTTTATAGGTTACCTGATGCTTTTGTCTCACTACTCTTAGAATTCTTTCCTTCACATTGACTTTAGATAGCCTGGTGACTATATGCCTTGGTGTTGTCTTTTTGCAATGAGTCTCCCAGGAGTTAAATTTTTTATATTTGGAAGTCAAAAGCTATAGCAACGCCAGAGAAATTTTCCTAAGTTATTCCCTCTAGAAGTTCTCCAAACATTTTGCTTTTATTTTCTCCCTCAGAAACACCTATAATGATTAAGTTTGGCCATTTTACAAAAATGCATATTTCTCAGAGACTTTGTTCATTTATTCTAATTCTTTTTTATTCTTTTTTTTGTTCTTATTAGGTTAATTCAAGAGCCTTCTCTTTGACCTGTGAAATTCAATACTTGGTCTGTCTATGTTAAAACTTTCAGTTGCATTTTCTAGTTCCCTAAATGTTTCTTTCATTTTCAGAAGTTATGAAACATTTTTCTTTAAAATATCTACCTCTTTAAAATTTTTTCATTTATATTCTTAGTTTTTTAAAAAATGATTCTTTATGTTGGTTTTCACCTTTCTCTTGTATCTCCTTAAGTAAATTAGTAATCAACCCTTTGAATTCTTTATCTGGTATTTCAGTGATTTCATCTTGGGTTGAATCTACTGCTGGAGAATTAGTGTGATCTTTGGGGAGTGTTACATAACTGTTTTTTTCATATTTCCAGAATTATTTTAATTATTTTTCTGGTTCTGTTTCATTTGTGTAGACTAGTGTAATTATTTTTGAATTTATTTTTGACTGCTTTTTTTGATCCTTATTTTTTTTCCCCTTGAGGATGAGACTTTATTGTTTATTTTCACCTAGCTTTGGCTCTGAGTGCCTTCAGTGGCAAAGACTGTATGAATTCCTTGGTTGTAGAGAAACAATGTGCAATGACTTTCTCAGATGCTAGTTTTAATAATGATGTACTAGGTGTTGGAGTAGGTTCACTGTCTCCTGTGAGGCTGGAATAGCAGCGATTTTATGAAGCTTAACTCATTCCCTAGTGGTGTACACCTAAAAATAATTTCTTTCCCCTAGGATCTTATTCACTGATTTGAAGAGTTCATGCATCGAGCCAGTAGGCTGTGCACATGGGTAAAAACTGGCTGCGGCTAAACAGGTAGGTAAATGCAATACTCCAATGATGGGCAGAGGTCCCAGCCTTAAAAGAGGTGGCTGGGGAAGTTCTCAGTGAAATACTCTGAGATATTTTCAGGGGAAAGGGAGGGAGTCACCATAGCTCTCCTTCTAGGCCAGCAGCCAAGTGTTTCACCTCCAAGACACACTCCTGTTGCAGTGTTCCAGCTATTCAGATCAGACAGGCACCTCTTTTCATCTGCAGGAATGCTGATGTTTCATGGAGACAGGGATTGTCACTCTACCTCTTGTCCAAGCATAAACCTGGGGGCACTCCTTCTGTGAGAATGCAGTCTGAAAGGCTGTCTACAGATGCACCCATGATAGGTTACCTTAGGAGAACCCCCAGCTGTGTCTGCAGTGGTGAGTGAGGGGAAGAAGTCTCCTTCTCCAGTTCTCCTCATGAGCCTCAGGGCTGTCTGACTGTTGGGATAGAGCTGCAGACTTCCCCACTGAGCCCAGCATTGCACTTGTGCCTCTGCTGAAAGAAACTTCTCACAAGTGGAAAGTTCAGGGACTTGAGGTTACATTGGGTGCTCCCTTAATGTGGTACACTCCCTCTTCCCCAGTAAGTAGAAGTCCCTGAGCAGACTGCTGTGAGTCCTGCTGCTGCCCTGGGTCTAGTTGCCCAGTGGGGCTGCCACACTCCAGGCTGGTTCAGGGAATCCAGTGATGTGACCTGTTCTCAAGTCTTCCAGCTGTTGGTACCAACGTCAGCTCTGATGGGAGTGGGAGGGGAGTGACATAGACTCTTAGATTTCTATGGTTATAAATAGCTTTCATGTGTTGGCTTTTTGAAATGTCAGCTGCAGTAGTATTGTACTGGGCACATGGACTGGCTCAAGAGCTCCTGGTTACCCAAGCTGATGCAAGCAATGTCAATGGCTGAGGTTGAGCAAAAATTTTCTTCTTCCTAAGTGCTGTGTTATTGTGCCTGCAGATGTTGTAACGGGCTGTGCCAGCTGGCCTCCAGCCAGAAGGTGGCACTTACAAAAGAACGCCAGGTGCAGTGGTAGTGGTTGAATCTATGCTTGCCTTTTGTTACTCAGGAGAGGCACTCTAGTGCCTCAGGCACTGGGAGGGGCCATGGAGCTCCCATAGGTCCCTACTCCTTGTTGTACTACGAGGGCCTCTTGTGTTGCAGTACCAGGACAGGTGGTAGGGCAAAGCCAGGTGGGGGCTGGGTCAGGCAATTCCATCCTTTCGCTCCCTACATGCAGGTGCAAGCAGTAGCCCGGTGAGGAAGAGAGGGAAGTTCCCTGGCTGCTGGAGTAATGTTCCAGGGAAGAGCACAGCTGCCTCTGCTACACAAAAGAATTTGCATGGGGTTTGGGGGGTTAGCAGGTGCCAATAAGCCCCACTCAGCCCCCACATACTTGGCAAGGAAGGTCCATGGTGTTCTGCTAGGAGCAGCTAGCTGGGTCCCAGGCATTCTGCACTCAACACAAAACTGCCCCCAGGACACAAACCTTTTTGCTGGAGACAGAAACTGTGGCTTTCAGGCAATGTTTCTCCCAGTCCACCCATGAAGCAGGGTTTTTCAGCTCCTGCACCCATGGGAATAGCACATTTCCTGCTGACCTCTCAATTCTGGCCAATGGGGTTCATCCCCAATCCAGATTATATCACAGATCTAAGTTGGGAGCGTCTCTGAACCTATGACCACCACCTGAGTTAGCTGGCAGACTTTCACAACTTCCCCTGTGCAGTAGGATCAGGAATGGCTTCCCTCCATGGCCACTGGAGTCTCGGGGTGCACACAAAGCATCCTTCTCATGTAGTCCAGACTGTTCATGAAATCAGCTCCAGCAGTGGATAGGGTTAAGACCTTGCCCCGTAACCTGGATTTCCTGTCCCTCCTGTTGGAGCATATGTCACAGTGGCAGTCTCTCCCTAATATTATGCTCTGGAGACTCAGTTTGCCATCTTAGTTAGTGGTGTAGGCTGCTGCCTGCCACTGCTTTCAAAGGGTCTGTGGTTTTAAATGAAACTTTTCTGTTAAGTTCTTGTGTTGCTTCATGGGAAAAAGTTTTCAGTGTGAATCTCTACATGCTATTTTGTCTTTCCAAGTGAGTGATGCATTCTAACTATGCCTACAATCTGCCATCTTCTACAGAGAGTTTCAAAAAGTTACTTTCATTTTTCATTCATTGCTCTTAGATGACAACTACAATTTTGGAGTATTTTTAAATGTCTTCAAATATCTCAAGTAGTAACACAAACCAAAAATGATCCTAATTTAATTAATTTTTAAATCATTTATAAGACTTTCAGAAGTAGTTTCAAATTGTCCCTGTTTGCAGATGACATGATTATATATCTAGAAAACCCCCTTGTCTCAGCCCAAAATCTCCTTAAGCTGATAAGCAACTTCAGCAAAGTCTCAGGATACAAAATCAATGTACAAAAATCACAAGCATTCTTATACACCAATAACAGACAAACAGACAGCCAAATCATGAGTGAACTCCCATTCACAATTGCTTCAAAGAGAATAAAATACCTAGGAATCTAACTTACAAGGGATGTGAAGGACCTCTTCGAGGAGAACTACAAACCACTGCTCAATGAAATAAAAGAGGATACAAACAAATAGAAGAACATTCCATGCTCATGGGTAGGAAGAATCAATATTGTGGAAATGGCCATACTGCCCAAGGTAATTTATAGATTCAATGCCATCCCCATCAAGCTACCAATGACTTTCTTCACAGAATTGGAAAAAACTACTTTAAAGTTCATATGGCACCAAAAAAGAGCCCGCATCGCCAAGTCAATCCTAAACCAAAAGAACAAAGCTGGAGGCATCACGCTACCTGACTTCAAACTATACTACAAGGCTACAGTAACCAAAACAGCATGGTACTGGTACCAAAACAGAGATATAGATCAATGGAATAGAACAGAGCCCTCAGAAATAACGCCACATATCTACAACTATCTGATCTTTGACAAACCTGAGAAAAACAAGCAATGGGGAAAGGATTCCCTATTTAATAAATGGTGCTGGGAAAACTGGCTAGCCATATGTAGAAAGCTGAAACTGGATCCCTTCCTTATACCTTATACAAAAATTAATTGAAGATGGATTAAAGACTTAAACGTTAGACCTAAAACCATAAAAACCCTAGAAGAAAACCTAGGCATTACCATTCAGGACATAGGCATGGGCAAGGACTTCATGTCTAAAACACCAAAAACAATGGCAACAAAAGACAAAATTGACAAATGGGATCTAATGAAACTAAAGAGCTTCTGCACAGCAAAAGAAACTAACATCAGAGTTAACAGGCAACCTACAAAATGGGAGAAAATTTTTGCAACCTACTCAACTGACAAAGGGCTAATATCCAGAATCTACAATGAACTCAAAGAAATTTACAAGAAAAAAACAAACAACCCCATCAAAAAGTGGGTGAAGGACATGAACAGACACTTCTCAAAGAAGACATTTATGCAGCCAAAAAACACATGCAAAAATGCTCACCATCACTGGCTATCAGAGAAATGCAAATCAAAACCACAATGAGATACCATCTCACACCAGTTAGAATGGCAATCAACCATCTCACACCAGTTAGAATGGCAATCATTCAAAAGTCAGGAAACAACAGGTGCTGGAGAGGATGTGGAGAAATAGGAACACTTTTACACTGTTGGTGGGACTGTAAACTACTTCAACCATTGTGGAAGTCAGTGTGGCAATTCCTCAGAGATCTAGAACTAGAAATACCATTTGACCCAGCCATCCCATTACTGGGTATATACCCAAAGGACTATAAATCATGCTGCTATAAAGACACATGCACATGAACGTTTATTGTGGCACTATTCACAATAGCAAAGACTTGGAACCAACCCAAATGTCCAACAATGATAGACTGGATTAAGAAAATGTGGCACATATACACCATGGAATACTATGCAGCCATAAAAAATGATGAGTTCATGTCCTTTGTAGGGACATGGATGAAATTGGAAATCATCATTCTCAGTAAACTATCACAAGAACAAAAACCCAAACACCACATGTTCTCACTCATAGGTGGGAATTGAACAATGAGAACACATGAACACAGGAAGGGGAACATCACACTCTGGGGACTGTTGTGGGGTGGGGGGAGGGGGGAGGGATAGCTTTAGGAGATATACCTAATGCTAAATGACGAGTTAATGGGTGCAGCACACCAGCATGGCACATGTATACATATGTAACTAACTTGCACATTGTGCACATGTACCCTAAAACTTAAAGTATAATAATAATAAAATAAAAAAGTAGTTTGATGAGATAATAATAACTGTGTATCAAGTCCACAAATTCTACAAGTCGCTGTTATAATTCCTTTATTCCCTAATTTTTCAGTGAAAATTCAAAATTATCATGGAAACTTAAAATATCCTACATATACTTTTCAAATATCTGTAAATGCCAGAGTGACCTTTGCCATAAAAATGGAATTACACATTAAACATAATAACTGCAAGGAGAAAATTTGAAGTTTATGATTGACATAATAAGTCTTCAAATTGTTAACATTAAGAGTTTCTGATGTCATTTCTTCGTGAGCAGATCTTCCTAGATTTGAATAATCTAAGTATGTTTACAAGTAGTTTTTTCTACTTTATTTGACTTGTCAAATACGTCGAAATATGATTGGCTAGCATGCCAGCAGTGAATGGATAAGATGCCACACCTAGAAGTCTGTGGCAGAGTCTTCTTACTACAATGAATATATTGTTTGACAAACTGAGATGTATGTTATATTTTTAATTTTTTTGTTTGCCTTCATCTGTTCACTCGGTATTCATACTTTATTTTGTGGATATCAGAGTCACAGAGATACATTAGTTTCACTTATTTAATTTTGAGATTCTATTCTTATTAATATTAATATAAATGAAATGATGTTATAAAATAGTATTGAAATTAGTAACATTGTAAAATTGTTTCATCTTAAAATATTGTTCAGTAAAACATTTGGGGCAATATTTTCAGTGATATATTCATACTTTAGAATAATGCAATACATTATGTTAAGTAAAGGAAGTAAAATACTGGCAGCAAATTCTAAAGAACTTCCTGAACTATAACTTAGACAAAACAACAACACAAACTTTTTTTAATATATTTTTTAAAAGATCGATATATATTATATATAAGATAGATAGTTCTCTAGGTTTTAAATGTATATACAAATAAATGCCTATTATATATGTATATGCATTGAGTGATTTTGGTCAAGTTATTTTGTCTCTCCTAGATCTCTATTTTCTCATTTAGTTGAAAAGAATTTTAGTTAAAATATGCATATGCATACATATATATGCATACTATATATGTATATGCATTTACAACCTTGAGAATTATCCCTCTTAAAATTCTTTTTAACTAAATGAGAAAATAGAGATCTAGAGAGATAAAATAATTTGACCAAAATCACTCAGTCACCTAGTTAATAAATTTTTCTTCAGGTTGTTGCTTTAATTTTTTTTTTTAATCTCCAAATCCTGTGTTCTTTCTACTAGAAAATTGAGTTGATCCCTAAACTGATTAATATCATAATGTGCTTTTATACACAAAAGACTAAATAAGTATTAATCACTCTGCTAGTTTTAACCACCCTAGGAAACCCTATACAATATCACCTTATTTATCAAACCACATAGGTGTAAATATGACACTTATGAATTGAAAATAGTTGAAATGAACAAGGAAAGGAGCCTGTGTGTGTGTGTGTGTGCGCGTGTGTGTGTGTCAGTTATGCATTGTTCCAAAACAGCTACAGTACTCCAAATCATAGTAGCTTAAAACAACAATTTACAATGTATTAAGCCTCACAAATCTTCAGTTTAATTGAGTGTTTCCTCTTCTGTTTTTACCTGTGCTCCCTCATGCTGCTAAGTCCAGCTAAGGGGTTGGATGGAGGTTCAGCTGTAACACCTAGATGTCTGGGCCTCTCTCCATGTGTTTTTTTATTCTCAAGGAGACTAGATCAGTCTGGCCTTCCTCATATGTGATGTCTACATTTCTAATAAAGTGCATGGTTTCTTGACTATAGCTCAGAAGTTTCCCATTGTCATTTCTGCCATGTTCCATTGGTGAAAGCAGGACCCAAGGCCAGACTCAAAGGGGTAGACAAATACAATTCACCTCTCAATGGGAAGAGCAGAAATGGCACATGGTACTAGGGCTTTCAAACCAGGCCATAATTGTAATAATCATATTCACTTTAAAGCATGAGTGAAAATATAGTAATAAAACTGTGTATTTCAAACTGGGTTTTATGAAATAAAATTTTTAATATATATTATGCAGTTTCCTCTTTTTCTCTCATTGTGAGATGCCTTTTACGTTGGGTTCTTTGTTACTCTCTTTCTTATTTCTTTGGAAATATACCTTTCAAGTATATATTACTTGCTTGGGAATTTATAAGTCTATTTTACAGTGTCAGTTAATGCCACTGAATCAAACTTTAAATGTCTAAAACTAGACTTGATTTTACAGAATTCCTAATTCTCTATCAATGCTACAACTCCTTTTCAGGTTCCCCCTCAATCAATAATTCAGAATGGTGTGTTTAAGTGTTAAGAAATGAACACTTTTTTTCCCCAAAAGAAATCTTACATGAAATCTCAGTAAATAAAATTGTAAACATGGTGATTAGTGAGTGTAAACTTATTTGTAAGATAACATTTATTTATTATATTTCAGACAACAAGAAATTGAAACAGTTTAGATAAAAATACTTGCGAACAAATTACAGTTGCTATGTAATGTCCTTTTGGTTTGTTTTGGTTTCATAGGAAAGGTAAAATCCTGATTCAAATGGGGAAACAGCTACAAATGCTAACTTGAAATATCACGATATTCTTTAACCTGAAATAAATGCTTATAACAAATGTAATAAGCATTTACTTATGCTTATGACATAGTAATAAGGAAAGTATATGCTTCAAAGTAGAATTCCTATCAAGAATAAAACTGCTGCCACTCTTCATAATTATTCTGAAATATAAGCAGTACCTCAGTCTGAATAATAAAAAAAATAGGACACTGTTTTCATGACAGGGCTTGTTGATAACTCTTACTGACCTAGATGTAGATGATCCTGAGTCTTGGCTGGAAGTCATTCCACTAATTTGCCTGGATACATTAATCAATAGAAGTAACCAAGAAAATATTTTCTTATCTGTTTTGTACTCAGGCAAAGGGTATGCTATGACAGATTTCTTTAATTGTACAGCTATTTCAATTTTAACAATGTAGACACTCACAAGTCTATATGTACACACAGGAAATACCCTTTCTTAGCCTGTAGCAGTGGCAGCAGATTCTTACCAACCCAGGATAAAATCTTCCAGACGTACCACATATAAAAATTGGGTAAGTCAAGACTTTGGTTAATCCCCACTACCGGTTGGAGCCTAATCAAACTAATAGGTTTGGTTTAAAAATCCGCATACCTGGCTCCTTAATAATTGTCTCACCTCATTTTTCACCATTTCAAATTCACTACACTTCTTTTACAATCTGTCTTATAGAGCAGGTTAGGTTTCATTCTATCCCCTATTCTGATGTTTCTCTTACTTATAATGTTCTCGTATTCCCCTCTCAACAAAAAGTAAATATTTTTGCATATGTATATGTATGTGTTGTTTGTTTGTTTGTATTTACTGCGTAATTATTTACTGTGAAGTTCAGAAAAGTTTCATCTTATATGGGAGGTTACATTTTAAGGTCAAAATTGCCCTTGAAAATTCCCACATTGCCCATCATTGCTTCTGATCACATTTTATTTTATTTGCGCATATTGTGAAGTCATGGTTTTTGAAAAATGCCAAGCTATAAATGTAGAATAATTTTCATTCCAATAATGTATCAATGTTGAATGAGACATGATGCAAACAGAGCAAGTAAGGGAACAGCAATTTTCTACTCCTCACATTGTACACACCTAGAATTCATGCTCATTAAGGAGACGACTAAGTGAATCAACGACATCACTAAGGTTATTTCTCTATCCTCGCATATGCATGTAGATTAATTCAGTAATTTAATAAATGTACAATTTGATGTCACTGTAATCTCCTTTCTCTATATGTCATGTATCCTAAATAGTAAAATGATCATAGGGCTATAGCATGCTCTGTATCCAGTTTCTATAGAACATCAAGTGCAATACGAAACACAAAGTTCTCAGCAATAATTGAAGGACTGTTAAAGCATGAATTAATCTAACACATCAACAATCAAATTAAGAATCTTGTATCTTTAATTTTAATAAGACAAGTTGACCTTTTGAAATAAACTCAAGGTCATAAAATATTACCTATAAACATAAATATTGGTTAAATGTGTAAACCAAATCTCAGAGTTGACAATGAATGAATTACGAATGCTCTTTTTATTAAGAAGTTTGGGAAGAAAACTAATAAACACCACATATTAAAAAATACGTATATATTTGCTATATATTTGTGATCAATTGATTTGCAACACAGAAGCAAAGGCAATTTTTTGGAGAAAGGAGAGTCTTCAATAAATAGTGCTGGAACAATTGTACATCCATAAGAAAAATAAATAACCTCAATCCATATTTTATAATTTACACAAAAATTACCTCAGCATGAATTATAGAAGTAAAACTCCTTTGAGTCTTACAGAAAACATCAAAGACTATCTTTGTGACTTTGGATTAGTCAAATATGTCTTAGATACCACAGTAAAAGCACGACTTATTAAAGTGAAAATTAATATTGCAATGGCATATTACTACACATTTATTAAGAGTGCTACAATAAAATAAATACACAAATAAATATTTATAAAAGCTGAAAAGGATATATTTTGCAGGTGAGAATACATATTGGTACAGCCTATTTGGAAGTCAGATTTTCACTGTCTTATGAAGTTCAATATATAGTTACCACATGACCAGATACCCCACTCCTGGATATTTACCCAGGTACATGAAGTAAGTTTACACAGAAATCTAAAGGTTTAACCATAAAGGTTTTAAGTGGCTTTTCTTCATAACCACAAAACTGTAAACAACCCACTTGTATATAATGAAATAATTACAGCAATTAAAAGAAACAAACTGTTGATATGTGAAGTAATTTAGATGAATCTTACCTGTATTATGCTAAATGAAAGAAGCCAGACTCAAAAGGCCATATACTGTATTATTTCACTCATAAGAATGTTTGAGAAAGGCAAAACTATAGGAGCAAAAAACTAAATGCTTACAGGTGTGTTTTTTTTCTGAGTCCTCTCTCCTCGGCATGTTCTGGACCACCTTCTCCCTGTGTCCTCACTTGGCCTTTCCTCTGTGCCTCACTTCCTGGGTGTCTCTCTTTGTGCTCAAATTTTCTCTTCTTATAAGCACACAAATCAGATTGGATTGGGGCACACCCTAACTCCATCAGTTTAATTTAATCACATTTATGAAGGACTTGTCTCCAAGTATAGTTTCATTCTGAGGTACGGGGAGTAAAGGCTTAATCATATGAATTTGGGAGAAACACAATTCAGCCCATAATTATGTGTTTGCCAAAAGTCACAGAATTTTGTAGACCAAGAACGTTAGAATGATTTCATTTGCATTACACCTTAATAAACAAAAATTAAAAGGTCATAATCAACCCCACTGGCGTTAAGTTCACCTACAAAAATGTAGTTATATCCCAAAGGAACTACAGGACCTTTTCAACGCATACTAAAAGAAACCAGTAAGAGACATTAAGGCTTGACTCTGGGGAATGCTGAAAAAGGTGACAGTATAAATTTAATGTAAATTTACATAAAAGAAAAGTAAAATTGAGATGAGAGCATTGCTAAGATAAGCAAGATCTAAATACCATAGTAGAACCCTGAGAAATGATGAAAACTTGCTGCTAGTATTACTCCTGTAAGTATCAATATAATTATTGTTAATGTTATAATTTCATTATAATTATTATTAATGTTATAATTTAACTATTACACTCCTTGGTATGTTTTTTCTTGGTGTTTGTCTTTGGAGTTGATTGAGTTGCTCAGATCTGTACCTTTATATATGTTATGAACCTAAGAATATATTCAGCCAATATTTTAATGTCTCTTCAAATTTTTTTTCTAACACAACTTTATTTTCTTCAGGTACCCCAATTACACATATAATTGAGCTTTTAATATTATCCTGTAGGTCAATAAGTCTGGTTCTAATTTTTTTCAGCATTATTTTGTCTTCCTTGCTTCAGTTTGTATAGTCTCAACTTGTTTACTTCTGGTTCACTGTTCTTTTCCTCTGGAGTTTCTAATTTACTGTAAAGATTCTTCAGTATTTGTTTCAGATATTATGGTTTTTCAGTTTCAGATTTTTCCAGTTTTTTGTTATAATCTCCATTTCTCTATTGAGAGTCCATAATTGTTTTGCCTTATGATCAGGATTTGCCTAAAAATCTTGAACTAATTTTTTTCCCTCTTTTTTTAAAATTATACTTTAAGTTCTGGGGTACATGTGCAGATTGTGCAGGTTTCTTACATAGGTATACACGTACCATGGTGGTTTGCTGCACCCATCAACCTGTCATCTACATTAGGTGTTTCTACTAGTGGTATCCCTCCCCTAGACCCTCAATCCCCAACAGGCTCTGGTGTGTGATGTTCCACTCCCTGTGTCCATGTGTTCTCATTGTTCAACTCCCACTTAGGAGTGAGAACATGCAGTGTTTGGTTTTCTGTTCTGTGTTAGTTTGCTGAGATGGTTTCCAGCTTTATCCATGTCCCTGCAAAGGACATGAGCTTATCCTTTTTTGTGGCTGCATAGTATTCCATGGTATATGTGCCATGTTTTCTTTATCCAGTCTGTCATTGATGGGCATTTGGGTTGCTTCCAAGTCTTTGCTATTGGGAACAGTGCCACAATAAACATACGTGTGCATGTGTCTTTATAGCAGCATGATTTATAATCCTTTGGGAATATACCCAGTAATGGGATTGATGGGTCAAATGGTATTTCTAGGTGTAATCCTTGAGGAATCACCACACTGTCTTCCACAATGGTTGAACTAATTTACACTCCCACCAACAGTGTAAAAGTGTTTCTATTTCTCCACATCCACTCCAGCATCTGTTGTTTCCTGACTTTTTAATGATTGTCATTCTAACTGGTGTGAGATGGTATCTCATTGTGGTTTTAATTTGCATTTCTCTAATGACCAGTGATGATGAGCTTTTTTTCATGTTTGTTGGCCGCATAAATGTCTTCTTTTGAGAAGTGTTTGTTCATATCCTTTGCCCATTTTTTATGGTGGTGTTTGTTTTTTTCTTGTAAAGCTGTTTAAGTTCTTTGTAGATTCTGGATTCTAGGCCTTTTTCAGATGGATAGATTGCAAAAATTTTCTCCCATTCTGTAGGTTGCCTGTTCACTCTGATGATAGTTTCTTTTGCTGTGCAGAAGCTCTTTAGTTTAATTAGATCCCATTGTCAATTTTGGCTTTAGTTGCAATTGCTTTTGGTGTTTTAGTCATGAAGTCTTTGGCCATGCCTATGTCCTGAATGGTATTGCCTAGGTTTTCTTCTAGGGTTTTTATGGTTTTAGGTTTTATAATTAAGTCTTTAATCCATCTTGAGTTATTTTTTGTATAAGGTGTAATGGCTGTTATAAGGTCATCTGCTAATTCTGACAACTCTGTCATTTTCAGTAATGACTGATGGTTTTCCTGGTTATGGATCTCATTAACTTCATTTTGCATGTCTATTTATTTTTCACTTTATATTGGGCATTACATATATTATCTTGGTTATTTGAATTTTGTTGTTTTCCTTAGTAAAGAAAGGCCTTTACTTGAAGGCTCCAGTAGACCTACCACTAAAATGTTGCCTCTCTGCTACCTATTGTCCTAAATAATAGCTGGCTAATTAGAATTAGAATATCTGTTCTGTGCAATTTGAAACAGTTTTTCAGCTCATGGATTCCTAGTAGTTGTACTTCCTCTGGCAGTAATTCTCTATATAGCCTTTGGGAGTGCCAGCTTACGCATGTTCCACTTGGTATTCAGCCAAAGACTGAAGATGATTCATGCAGATTTCTTAAACTCCTTCTTTACACACATATGTTCTCTCCTGTACACTGCTTTGAAAATTTCAGCCATCTCAGTAGCCTCAAATTCCTGTATTTTTCTTCTCAGCTAGTGACACCACTCTTGGGCTTTCTTTGGCTAGTCAGGAACATGCATTCACACAGAAAACCAGTCTAACTCTGTGGCTAACCTATTTTGTTTCCTTTCTCTCAGTGACTGTAGTCCTATGACACCTATTATACAATGTCTGGAAACAGTTTCTATATTTTCCAGTTTTGCAGGTATTTGTAGTGGCAGACCAGGTCCAGTAGCAGTTACTTTGTGATGGTAGAAAGTGAGTCATAAAACTGTACTCTACATAGATATTGGTAACAGAGCAGGGCAAAAGCCCCAACATATAATATGCATATATCATAGTATCCACAAAAGGAGGATAAAATTGGAACTATTATCTAAAAATATTCCCCAAATTATGCAAATTCATTTTGCAAACAAGTTAACATTTCTAAGAAATGTGTAGTTATAGGCATCATGAATATGTAAAAAATGAAGTTGCATATTAATGTGTCATTTAAGGCATAATCAGAATAAAAGCATTTAAGAAATTTAGACAGCAAAAAGTCAGGAGTATACAGGTTCAGGTTCTAAAGTTTGTGTGTGCAAGCCTTATAGATACCACAGACTTAGTCAGGCAGAGAAGCACATTAAGAAGTTTAGCAGAGAGAGAGATTATGCATAAACAATCTCAGTGCAGATTTTACAGGGCCAATGAATGATCAATATAAGACACTTCATATACTCTTGAACTCTGTGTGCTATTCTATTTCACTTATGGCAGTAGATACATAACTTTTTGTCTAGAAATTGTAATCAAGCCCAGAAGAAAGTCTGAATCCTGTGCAGGATTATGGCAATTGGGAAGCCGTTTCTCTCCCTAATTATTGTAGTCAGAGGAGAGTGTACATTATCATAATATCAGAAAGTTTCACTTATCTCACTGAAGAGCAAAGTAGCATTTTTTTCTCAGGAAAAGCCTGAAAGGCTGACCATCAAGAGGTTTTACAAGTTGAATTTAATAAGGTCTTGTGCCTTATTGCCAACTTGCAGTCACTAACAAGATTTGAATTGACATTTAAACAAAAGATACGGATGTCTAATAAACACACAAAAAGATAAATTAGTCATATGAGAAATGCAAAGTTAAACCACAGTGAGATGTCATTTTACACCCACTAGAATTGCTGTAATAAAAAGACATACAAGGCTGGGTGCGGTGGCTCACGCCTGTAATCCGAGCACTTTGGGAGGCCGAGGCGGGTGGATCACCTGAGGTCAGGAGTTCGAGACCAGCCTGACCAATATGGAGAAACCCTGTCTCTACTAAAAATACAAAATTAGCCGGCATGGTGGCACATGTCTATAATCCCAGGTACTCAGGAGGCTGAGGCAGGAGAATAGCTTGAACCTGGGAGGCAGAGGTTGCAGTGAGTGGAGATCGTGCCATTGCACTCCAGCCTGGGCAACAAGAGCGAAACTCTGTCAAAAAAAAAACAAAAAACAAAAAACAAAACAAAACAAAAACCATACAATAACAAGTGGTGAAAATGTAGAAAACCGGAACCTTTATACCATGCTGAAAGTAATGTAAAATGGTGCAGCTACTTTGGAAAACTTTAGCAGCATCTTAAAAAGTGAAATGTGTATTAATCATACAATCCAGTGACTCCATCCCTAGATATCTACCCAAAATAAAAATATATGTCCATAAAAGGACTTGCATGTGAATGTTCACACAGCGTTATTTATAATAGAAAAAAATTGGAAAAGAAATTAAATGTTCATCAACTGGTGAATGTCTAAACAAAATGTAGTATATCTATATAATGGAAAGCTATTCAGAAACCAAAAGGAACAAACAACTGGTATGTCCTGAATGGTATTGCCTAGGTTTTCTTCTAGGGGTTTTATGGTTTTAGTTTTTACATTTAAGTCTTCAATCCGTCTTGAGTTAATTTTTGTATAAGGTTTAAGGAAGGGGTCCAGTTTCAGTTTTCTGCATATGGCTAGCCAGTTTTCCCAACACCATTTATTAAACAGGGAATCCTTTCCCCATTGCTCGTTTTTGTCAGGTTTATCAAAGATCAGATGGTTGTAGATGTGTGGTATTATTTCTGAGGCCTCTGTTCTGTTTCATTGGTCTATATATATATGTTTTGGTACCAGTACCAAGCTGTTTTGGTTAATGTATCCTTGTAGTATAGTTTGAATTCAGGTAGCGTGATGCCCCCAGATTTGTTCTTTTTGCTTAGGATTGTTTTGACTATACTGGCTCTTTTTTTGGTTCCGTATAAAATTTAAAGTAGTTTTTTTTTCCGTAATTATGTGAAGAAAATTAATGGTATCTTGATGGCAATAACATTGAATCCATAAATTACTTTGGGCAGTATGGCCATTTTCACAATATTGATTCTTCCTGTCCATGAGCATGGAATGTTTTTCCATTTGTTTGTGTCCTCTCTTATTTCCTTGAGAAGTGGTTTGTAGTTCTCCTTGAAGAGGTTCTTCACATCTCTTGTAAGTTGCATTCTTAGGTATTTTATTCTCTTCATAGCAATTGTGAATGGGAGTTCACTCATGATTTGGCTCTCTGTCCATTATTGGTGTATAGAAATGCTTGTGATTTCTGCACATTGATTTTGTATCCTGAGACTTTGCTGAAGTTGCTTATCAGCTTAAAGAGATTTTGGGCTGAGACGATGGGGTTTTCTAAATATACCGTCATGTCATCTGCAGACAGACAATTTGACTTCCTGTCTTCCTATTTGAATACCCTTTATTTCTTTCTCTTGCCTGATTGCCCTGACCAGAACTTCCAATACTATGTTGAACAGGAGTAGTGAGAGAGGGCATCCTGGTCTTGTGCCGGTTTTCCAACGGAATGCTTCCAGTTTTTGCCAATTCAGTATGATATTGGCTGTGGGTTTGTCATAAATACCTCTTATTATCTTTCTAGTATGCATTTTCTGTGTAACGAGACAAGCAGTGTAAAGAAAAAAAAGAGAAAGGTGACTAAATAATTCTCCTTGTGCTGCCCAAGCTTGCTCCATTCTTATGTGAGGGTGTGATATCCTTATTTCAAAACTATTTTAAGATTTGCTGGAACCGAATGTATATTTTTTGAAATAAATATTCAAAAAATATTAAGATTTACTCAGACTTACACTTAAAGATGTCTATTAAACCTGCGAATCCTATAAGCAGACATATAATCTTTAAAGAAATGTGAAATTCATAAAAGTATTAGGCAGGTGTTCTTTGCAGTAGTCTTCAGCATACATTATTTACAACCAACTGTCTAAGTGTGTTAGTGTTCTCTGCTAACTCTCACATGAAAGTCATTATGTGACTGATAACCAGGAGGATATAATGTCCCGTGGGATAATTTCCTGGAGTATTTCTTGTAGTATTATCTGATATTCTCATAGTCTGTCCAATCAGTCATTCTCAATATGCCATTGTCTGTTTCAGTTTCAGGGTCATACAGCTGTGAGAATTGCGGTCATGTACATGAAGCTTTATACCTAAGTGTCAGGCACATCATTAGACAGAAAAGAAAGTTATATCACAAGAAAAAGATTAAGCCCTGGTCACATCCTGCATCTTCTTCAGTAAGCACTCTGGTTGGATGACTTGATGAAAGCCAACAATCTTTTGATTTCTCTCTTCACCTATATCAGCAGACCCAAATACAGTTAATAAATGGTTAAAGGTTCATAACCATCACACCCATTCCAACAACATCCATCCAAATGGAAGATGCCTTGATTGCAACAGTATCTGGGGAATAATGCTACGGGTGACTGATAAACCCTGTTTTTGATGATGTTGATGTGGAATCTTTATTTTATTTTATTAGCATATATAAAAACCCAGTTGACAAAATTTATGAAAACTTCACACCTCCCTGGCCTAAGATTTTTCCCTTGGTCTTATTAAATTTGAAAGCCACCTGCTTTAGGCTTCATAAACTTTCACCTTTTAAAATAACCACAGGCCATTCTATGTCCTTAGCTTTCTCTGCTACTGACCCTCAGTTAATAAATGGAGATGTACCCTAATATTCTAAGGGCATTATTAAACGAATGGATAAAGATTATACTTTAGTAAAACAGTCTTTCCACAGTGTGCTTCTGTGAGATGAATATGTAAGATACCATAATCTACAAACTGGTGATGTTTGTCTACTGGAAAAGATACCTATATAAGGACTCTCTGAAGCATCATTTTAAGTATCCATATCAAGTCCTTCTCACCAGTCTGTGTGTTGCCAAATTCAAAAGTATTGACTCTTGGATCCACATTTCTCATTTAAAAAAAAACTCTTATTCCTGTTTGGACCAACACCCTGACAGGCAACTTAAAGCTAAAGTTCACCCAAAATTAAAGCATATGATACCTAGACTACTATTCCAAGATGTCCAGATCAGGCCAGTATGCCCTTTTCCTTTTATCATTGGTCTCTTCTTATGTGCCTTTGTTTTCCTACAAAAACAATGCTTTACTTCATGTTTCTCAATCTGCTGCCAAAGGGGGGAAACTTAACTGGCCTTGGATTTGTCAGCAAACCCCTGATCTGTCCATGATACAAGTGAACCCTTAGTCTACTCCGTAACAGATTTCACTAATATTCCCCATGTAACTGTTCAAAGGGTACATCCAGTCAGTTTCAGTAGGTCATGTCCCATATTCGGGTTTCTTGTTTTACTCGAACAATACAAATTTATTTTAAAGTTAGGTTAGCAAAAATATTTTAAAGTTAGATTAAGATTATGTTTTTAATAATGGTAAAAGAATTTAAAAAACTTGGCAAGTTACAAAAACATTTAGACTTTAGTCTAATAATTGATGGCCTTCAATCACATAATAGTTCAATAATAGAACCTTAGATAAATACTACCAAAACCTTGCTATGAGTAACTTAATGGACAAATTACTTTATATGGAATTAATTATTCTTTGTGCTCCATTTGGATAAATTTTCATCTGTAGAGTATTCAACAGTCAACTATATGCATGGACAATATCATCTCTCAATAAATAAAAAATAAAAGGCAAATGAGGTTTAGTATATTTCTAGATTCAATTTAATTAATGAAATCTAAACATTGGATGATATCTCTTAGCATTGATATGGTACTATTGAGAGATATATAGTAGAGAGATACTATACTCTACCAAGTATCCAATTTATACTTTACCATAAATCCAACAGAATGAGCCTCATTCATTAAATTCCATTTTCCTTAGATTGGGAATAGTCACCTGTAAACAACGATCAAAAATTTATCGTTAAAAATCAGAGCCATAGTTGACTCCATAGCTAAAGACATTGCTACTCAACAAACATCTCTAGATTCTCTTACTAAAGTAATATTAAATAACACAATTACTGTAAATTGCATATAAGCTAAATAACAATTACTGTAGATTGCATATAAGGTAAACAAGGTGATATTTGTGCAATTGCTAACATTACATATAGATAAATTCTTCTGGGGAAGTAGAATCACAGTTTTATAAGTTAAGAGAACAAGCCACTTGGCTTCAACAAATTTCATGTAATATAATTGAAATTCTCTATTTGTTTAGCTGGTTTCTGAAAATCTGAAGTTTTTAATCTGTTCATGGTTTAGAACTATTATTCAGACTAGATTTGTTATATTTTTGCTGGTTATTCTTTACATTGCGATATGTAAGTTTGTTTCTTGTTGCCTGTCTTATTTGTAAAGCTAGCATCCCAACAGGAAATGTTAACTCAATTCTGCTAGACGATTGTTAATGCCTGTGGTACTAATAAGATGGAAATTGCTGCTGAACTCCAAGAGAAGCTTCCCTGAGAGGGCTTTACTTTCTGTCTTCTTTGTTGCTCAAATGTGGTCTGGGTCCTTGACATTCACTTTCATGTTTTCTGTCTTACATGAGACCCGAGACAACCAGGACAGACCCATTTAAGCATGAAGCAACAATTTAACCTAACTTCAGAGATGATTGATCAGCAATATTTTTATAAAAGGATCTTGAACAAAATGTGGGAATTGATTATACAAATTGGAATCATTTCTGTCACACCCAGTGAAAATAGAAATGAGAGGCAGTTAGAAAAACACTCAGGTCACAAAGGACTGCTCCAAAAACTGTCTCCAGAGCAAAATGGCCCTCTGTAAGTTTTGTTGTTGTTGTTGTTGTTGTTTTGTTTTTTTTGTTCTTTTGTTTGTTTGTTTGAGACAGAGTGTCGCTCTGTCGCCCAGGCTGGAGTGCAGTGGCTTGATCTCTGCTCACCACAAGCTCCGCCTCCTGGGTTCAGGCCATTCTCCTGCCTCAGCCTCGTGAGTAGCTGGGACTACAGGCACCCGCCTCCACGCCCCGCCAATTTTTGGTATTTTTAGTAGAGACGGGGTTTCACCGTGTTAGCCAGGATGGTATCGATCTCCTGACCTCGTGATCCGCCCTCCTCGGCCTCCCAAAGTGCTGGGATTATAGGCGTAAGCTCTAAGTTCAAGACTAGGTTTATCTAGTAATTGCCACTGCTCACCAATCAAAGCTCCTCATCAGCTCCTGCGTAGCTCCGTAAGTGCCAAAGAACATCCTTTCAAAACAACTTAGGTAACTTTTCTCTTTCCCAATAAAATCTCAATCTTCTTCTTTGTTTTTTTGGACATAGAAGAAGCCAACTCAGTTGATGTGTATGCCCTGAAATACAATTCTAATATTTGTATATTCCCAAATTAAATCTTTAGCTTGGAGCTTCATCTCTATATTTTTATTTTTAAATTTTTGGATATGGAGTCTCGCTCTGTCACCCAGGCTGGAGTGCAGTGGCACGATCTCGGCTCACTGCAACCTCCGCCTCCCAGGTTCAAGCGATTCTCATGCCTCAGCCTCCCGAGTAGCTGGGATTACAGGCATGCACAACCACACCTGGCTAATTTTTGTACTTTTAGTGGAGACAGGGTTTCACCATATTGACCAGGGTGGTCTCAAACTCCTGACCTCAGGTGATCCACTTGCCTCAGCCTCCTAAAGTGCTGGAATTACAGGTGTGAGCCACTACACCCGGCATATATATATTGGTCAACCGATCTCTTCTTTTAATGTCTTTATCAATGTGAACTGAACCTAAAAGTGTGAGCATGTATGTTCATTGATTTCTTTCTTCTAGTTTATTTTGCATTAGGTAAAATGTGTTATATAAATTCCTTTCCTAAGGAATAATTTGTATATATTACTTTATTTTCCTTAATTTCCCTCTAAACTTCTAGACATTTTAGAGTAAATATTACTGTAAGGCATTGTGTAAATATGAAATATTTAGAAACAAGTTATATGGTGCTTGGTCCTTCAAATTATCTTCAAAATTTCAAGATTTGTACACAAACATGAATACTAAGGCTGAAGTGCCTAGGCTTTGTTCTGTTGTTATACGAAAGAGTACTTATAGTATCAGGTTCTAAGTTACCTAAAACGAAACTAAAATAGAAATTATTATTGCAGTTAGCCATATGGCTGCTTTATTCTAAACTGATTATTTTTAAAGAGCCAGCCTTCAATATTCCTCCCTAGAGGAAGAATAAAAATAGTTTTACTACACATCAAAACTACATTGCTTAGCCAGTTGTTGTGTTAGCTGTACCAAATTCCTGAACAGCATATTACTGTAATGCCAGTCAATTGAATGGCTATGAATGGAAAGTCTTCATGTGACCTGGGATTAATCTGGTAGATATGGTATTCGTAGATATAGTTACAAAATACAACATTAATTTTAGAAGAACAGGGACAAAAAGACTCACCTTTTTTATGTGACTGCGATGGTTAATACTCAGTGTCAACTTGATTGGATTGAAGGATGCAAAGTATTGTGCCTGGGTGTTTCTGTGAGGGTATTGCCAAAGGAGATTAACATTTGAGTCAGTGGGCTGGGAAAGGCAGACCCACCCTTAATCTGGTGGGCACAATCCAATCAGCTGATAGCAGATATAAAGCAGGCAGAAAAATGTGAATAGATGAGACTGGGCTAGCATCCCAGCCTACAACTTTCTCCTGTGCTGGATGCTTCCTACCCTCAAACATCGGACTCCATGTTCTTTAGTCTTGAGATTGGACTAGCTCTCCATGCTCCTCAAGCTTGTAGACAGCAGACAGCCTATTGTGGGACCTTGTGATCATGTAAGTTAATACTTAATAAACTCCCCGTTTTATACATATATATAATATTATATTATATACAGTTTAAGACCATTTTGAATACCTGATGAAAATAATGGACTGCCCATTAAGATTCATGTGTATAAAATATATGTGCAATTTGAAGATGCTCCTATGCCTTCCCTTACTCAAAGTTTAAGGAACTTCATTAAGAAAAATGAACAGACTACTTAATTTTCAGGAAATACTTTCCAATTAATGTATTCTATATTATATATATATATATCCAATACTTTCCAATATTATATATATTATAATATATTTATATTATAATATATATTATATATTATATAATTATATTATATATTTATATTATAATATATAATATATATTATAATATATAATATAATATAATATAATATATATTATTAATTATAATTAATTATATATATATTATATTAATTATATAATTAATTATATAATTATAATATATATATTTAATTCTCTTTCTCTAGGGAACCCTGACTAATACAGTGACCAATGACTCTTCTTTATCGTTACCACTGTTGTGCACAGATTCTAAAAATAGAAAGATTCCATTTTCTTATATTGAGAATGATTCTTTAAGAAAACGCCTTCTAGTCTAAAAGTCCCCTCAGAAAGTCTCCTGCTTCCTGAAGACAACTGTGGTTTAATTTTAGATGATGACTTGTTACATTTTTTTAATCTTTCAGATAATTTTTTTAATGTTCTGTAAAGAGTTGAGTGTGTAGGGATAGTAGTAGTAAGCTGATAAAATGCTGTTTTTAAAGAACATTAGGCTAACCATGGAATTTATATTTAAGTTTTTCTTACAAGTTATGTGCATCATGTGTTTTTTGCAGTATAAGACAGATGTGAGTTCCCACTTGGCCTCATGGGTTCCAATTTTTCTCTGCACTTGCCTAGCTGACTTTTTGAGACTCGAGGCCAGAGCAAGATGCACATGCAATAGCCTTGCATAGACTCCCACACCAATTGTGTGAGGTGAAAGTCTCTATAATACATTTTTTATTCTACATCACTCATTGTGATTCTACTTCTTGGGTCAAATCCTGACAGATAAAGTAGTAATGTAGAGACTTGAACAAATTTATCAAAGAGATTAATACCAAACATCCTAAAAGGGATCTAGTAAGAAGAACCTAGAAGCATTGCTCTATGTTCTTCAGCTGGTTTCACATCTCTGGATGCATATTTCTATCCTTATTTTAGTTTAGAGAGTATTTTTTACAATAACACTGAGTTTCTCCAGAGGTGGAATATAGTTCCTAGTAGCTATTTCTTCAAATGTTCACTCTCAAGCCTACCAGACTTTTCAATCTCAAGTGTCTTCGTTTTATTTTTACCAGCCTACTTGCTGACTACTTGGAGAGTTTGTTCTTCAGTCTATGTTAACAGCCCTTAAAAAAGAGTGTCATACACTTTGCTCTTTGTGTATTGAGTGAAGTCTTTACAGCAGCAATTCACCCCAGACTTGTAAAGGAAGTGATGCGCACATTTTCTTCTCCTACTTTAAGAGCTAGTGTAGATCTGACACTTCTGGTAGACGCTGAATAGATCAATGAACATACCTTCTAGCTCAGAACTAAATTATTCACAGTTTGAGAGGGAGCAGTAGATGTGAGCTTTTTAACTAGGAGTTGCCAGATACTCATTTACTTCTATTCCAGCAAGCTTGGTTTTTGGCAGACTGGGCACTTCATTTTTCCTCCCTTACAGATATGTCTGAGTCACAGATCCACTGTGTAGGGCCTTTATCCCCTCCTACAGTGACATCAATTATGCTACAAGTATTCTCTAAACACTTATCATGTACCTGTCACAGAACTAAACCCACACCTAGGCTGGGATGAGACAGATGGTGTGGAAGCCTCTCCCATTTGTGTAAGCATATAGCATATTCTTGGGCACACAGCCTACCCCAAAAGGGCAATTGTAGTAGCTTTCATTGAGGCTAAAAAATAAATAAATATTCGTGCTTTAAAAATTTTACCTAGCCTGTGTTTGCCAGTTTTATGTAATATAAACCAAGTGCTCATTCCTTTTTCTAAGACTTAATGTTTCCATTACAACATACAGAATATGTGGCTGGGAAGAAATGTTGTACAGCAGATCATTAGGGTTTGCTTATTAGATATGCTATGCCCAAGACTTTGACTTTCCATTTACCCAGAAAATGTCTGTTCAAGTAATTATTTGATAGAAAGCACTGCAGATTGGGGAATTCTACTTAGGCCATAAAGAGAAAAAATCAGTTTCTTTTTTTTTTTAACCCTCTTTCCATTCATTAATCCATCCTACAACAAGACAATAAGATGATAGTCAGCAACCTATTTGTATGAAACAGCAGCGAAGAAGCAGTACTTATTAACTTTTTACAAATGCAAGTTTAAAACTAAAAGAAAAAACCTATTTAAATCACTGTAATTTGACTAAAACAAAAAGCTCAAACAAGCATACACACACAAGTACAATAGTGTGCCCTAAAATACGTCCCAAGGCAAAAACTTATAATTATTTTTATAAGTGGAATACAGAGTAGACTGTATTTTGAGTGGTATATTTAATTTTGTTATATTTTCTGAACAAGTGACTGTAATGTAGTACATCTATCAAAGGCAGGAATGCCTAAAGTATATTTTTAAATCTCAAATTGGGGCATGAGAGAACCTTCTTTGCTTTGCCATTCGAGTTCAAATTCTTTGGATTCATTTTTTTAATGTTGGCTCCTTTTCTCTTAGTACTTCATTAAGGATACATTAGTATCTGTTAAACTTTAAAAATAAGTACTTATAATAAAAACTACAAAAGTTTCATGTGGATTAAAGAACTATTTCTGAAACCACATTAAAACTGTGGACCATGTGAAAAAAATCTATAAAACAAACAAAATCATTTATATTCTGCCTCAGTCACTGTTATTATTTATTTATTCATTTATATTTATATGCTCAGTGCTTTTGGAAATGATTTAGGGAAGCTTATAGAAATACATAGTGTACCAAAATACATATCAAAAGAAGTAAAGAACCTTTACTTGTGGCAAAGATAAACAAAGGTAGAAACAATAGAATAAATTCAAAGGTGACAAAAAATGTATGCCCTGGAATACAATAGCTTGCATCAAGGCTGGAATCTGGAACTGCACTAACAGTAAAGCAAGAAAGAGGAGAGAAACGCAAACAGTTTCTTCAGCCATGCCTTCCAAAATATGAAGATAGGCCATTTTCTTAAGAGGCACATGTATTGCTCATCCAGACACCAAACATAAATATCTTCACTAGACCAAAGAGAACCTGTGTTCTCTTTGTTAAGTGTTGGTTTTAATGTGTTTGCTCACGCCTGTAATCCCAGCACTTTAGGAGGCTGAGGTGGCGGATCACTTGAGGTCAGGAGTTTGAGACCAGCCTGGCCAACATGGTGAAACACCCCATCTCTACTAAAAATAGAAAAATTAGCTGGGCCTGGTGGCATGCGCCTGTAATGCCAGCTACTCAGGAGGCTGAGGCAGGAAAATTGCTTGAACCCTGGAGGTGGAGGTTGCAGTGAGCCGAGATCACACCATCGCACTCCAGCCTGGGTGACAGATCAAGACTCAGTCTCAGAAAAAAATAAATAAATAACATACTTACCTCACACACAATTATATATGTTACTCTTGTGAGTAACAAATTCCAGATGCACAGCCTTATAGACTTTTTAATTAATCCAAATCAGTTAGTTTTGAAAATATTAGGTGAGGTGATTCTCCAGCCATTTCTTAGTTACAGACCATTTTGAATACCTGGTGAAAATAATGGACTGCCCATTAAGATTCATGTGTATAAAATATATGTGCAATTTGAAGATGCTCTTATGCCTTCCCTTACTCAAAGCTTAAGAATCTTCAAGCAAGAAAAATGAACAGACTACTTAATTTTCAGGAAATACTTTCCAAGTACTATTTATTTACACAAAGATTTTGAGAAATTAAGCAATATTGAACTTGAGGTCACTCCCCCTAATGAGCCTCTATTGCATGTATTCTCTGATGGTGCTTAAACCAGAGCCAGATAGGATTTAATAGACTAAGCAGGGGAGAGACATAACAGTTCTTTATGTGGGGGAAGGAGAGAAAGAGAAAAACAGAGCGGGGAATAAGACAGAGGACAAAAATGATACATACAGAAGGGATTAATGTAATAGTTCTCTTTTTCTCTGCATTGAGGTAGGACACAGAATTACTTAGGCCCTACGGTTTCAACAGGACCATAGAGAAAGCATATCATCCAATGAATGAATCCATTAACAGTGGAAGTTGTACAGATCTGTAGCAAAAATGATGGTAACAAGACTATTAGCCGAGAAAATAGGTGCAACCCATTTAAGCGTGTATGTGTGTATTTATATATATAAATATATATAAATATATTCATATATATAAATATATTTTTATATAAATATATTTATATAAATATATTTATATAAATATATTTATATTTTTATATACATATTTATATAAATATATAAAAATATATTTATATAAATATTTATATAAATATATAAAAATATATTTATATAAATATATTTATATAAATACATATTTATTTTATATAAATATTTGTATATAAATATATATAAATATTTATATATTTATATATAAATATGTATATATAAATATATATAAATTTATATAAATATAAATTTGTATATATATAAATTTATATAAATATAAATTTGTATATATATAAATTTATATAATTATATATAAATATATATATAAATATATGTTTATAAATATATATATGAATATATGTAGCTACATATATTTACATATATGAATATATGTAGCTACATATATTTACATAAGTATATGTAGATACATATATTTACATAAGTATATGTAGATATATATTTACATAAGTATATGTAGATATATATTTACATAAGTATATGTAGATATATATTTACATAAATATATAGATATATTTACATAAATATATATATATAGATATATTTACATAAATATATATATAGATATATTTACATAAATATATATATAGATATATTTACATAAATATATATAAATATATATTTACATAAATATATATAAATATATATTTACATAAATATATATAAATATATATTTACATAAATATATAGATATATTTACATAAATATATAAATATATATTTACATAAATATATATAAATATATATTTACATAAATATAAATATATATAAATATATATTTATATATATTTATATTTATATATGTTAATTGCTGGATGCACACACGCAAATTATTGGAATACAACTACCAAAAACTAAAAGATATCTTTGGTTTTGGAAGAGCTGATCTGAAGTCATTCCTCCCTGAAAAGAATTATATAATCAATTCAGTTGGCTACAAATATAAGAAAATATATTCCTGTCAACTGGATAGAAGGGAGTGTGAAGCTTTCTATTTTCACTGTAAAGGACATGTTTTCAGTTCACACAAAAGTGGCAACAAGTCAAGATTTTTCCCACCAAATATGAGTTTTTAAAAAGCATTAAAATGTAAGTACTGCATACAAGTCAGTAATGACGCATCTATGTTGATTGCAAATAGTTTTCAGGTATTGTATAAGTGTGAGATCAATTTAAGTAATATTCTCATAACTTATTAGATCCTTCCAGTCAAGAATAATCTGTAAAAATAGTTATTTTTTACAAGGACCAGTACATTTCTTTTTTAAAAAAAATCTTTTTTTTAAATTTAATTACTTTAAGTTGGGTTTTGGTTCATTTTAACCAAACAGTACAGATGTATGTAGCCCATAATTGAGTCCAAGTCATTGTGGTAAAGGGCAAGGTAAGGTCAACAGAAGTCCCATATTATTTAATATTATTCTTACCAGGTGTTTCCAGAAAGTGATGAATAATATAAGTAGTTATATACTGAAATCACAGAGCTAAGCTGGAGTACTTTTCAAATAGAGAAGCTGAAATAAAAAGTCTAGATTACCAAATGTCAAAAATAGAGTTTGCTAAGCATTTAAAACTGAATATTTACTAGATTATTAGGATCATAATTTATTGAAAGTAGAATCTTTAAAAATGGGTAAATTAGTTAATTCTTTTAGCCATCTCCTTTTACTCCACTCTGTCTGGCTAACTTATTATCTTACAGGTCTATGCTTTAATGTCTGTTTTTCAGAAAGCCTTTCCTTAAGCCTATACTTAATCGGAAGAATAACTACAATAGAAATTGGAGGGGTATTTTGCAATTTTTGCTTACATGGCAGAGTCTGCTTTCAAACTTCCTTTGCTAATGCTTCTTCTTTATTACTCTTAGATTAATTAACACTGTAGCCCTTAAATCAACTTGTATTTCCTTTTCTCATTAACTGAGTCACCCGCGATTATTGACATTTTCATTTTGTGTTTTAAATACTTTGAAATGGTCTCTTAGTTTATGTGTAGGCTATATTTAAATATAATATATTTATCCAATAAATTTATGCTATCAAAGAGGTGGACTCAAAATCTGGGGTATTCAGCTGAATACCTTAAGAAACAGGAAGATCATAATATGAACTCTGGAGAATACATTCCAGGACCGTAAACTGTTACTAAGAGGCAAGGATTACGATGGTAGGTTGACATCTCCTTATCAATATTCTGGGTTGTCAAGATGATATGAGGGGAATAATCCAGGAAGGTGCACATGTATAGTAATTTCAAAATTCCAAGCACCGTTTGAAATACTTTAGATACATTTACTCATTTTATCTCAACAACCAAGTACTATTATTTCCAACTTATACATATAGATTAATGCAAGAAGCTAGAATAAGTTGAAGAAAGGACAATAAATATGCTTAATTGCAGGATGTAAACCCCCACAGTTTTCAAAGAGATACTTACTAACCTTAGTACCTAGTATATATCCTAGACATCATGAAACAAATAAAATCACTTCCATCTATAAATGAGACTGCATTATTTGTCTTACTGTGTCTGGCTCATTTCACTTAGCATAATGTCATCCTAATTCATTTATGTTGTCACATATTTTCCCTTTTTAAAAAGGTAGAGTGAAATTTAATGTTGTATATCTACTGCATTTTCTTTATTCATTCATCCATTCATGGGCCCTTGTTTCCATATATTGGCTGTTATGAACAATAATGCAAATAAACATGATAGTGCAGATATTTTTTTGAGATAGCCATCTTATTTCCTTTGAACATATACCCAAAAATTGGATTGCTGGATTACATAGTAATTCCATTTTTAATATTTTGAAGAATTTCCATACCATTTTCCATAATGGTTGTACCATCTTAAATTCCCACCAACAATGTATATGTATGTGTTCCCTTGTCTCCGTATCCTCTATAACATTTGTTATCTTTTGCCTTTTTGATTAATAGCCAATCTAACAAGTGTGAGATAATATATCACTGTAGTTTCAGTGTGCATTTCCCTGATGATTGGTGATATTGAGCACTTTTTCACATAACTGTTTGCCATTTGTATGTCTTATTTTAAGAAATATCTATTTAGGTTTTTGCCTGTTTTAAAATTGAGAATTGAGTTATTTCTTTATTGTTATTTTTTGCTACTGAGTCGTATAAGTTCCTCACATATTTTCAATATTAACCCCTCGATATATGTTGAACAGATAATTTCTGCAATATCATAGGTCGCCTTTTCATTTTGTTGATTGTTTCCTTTGATGTGCATTACTTTAATGTCCTTATTGTTTATTTTTGCTTTCATTGCCTGTGTTTTGGGTTATCATACTTAAAAAAAATTCTTCAGACCAATGTCATGGGACGTTTTCTCTATGCTTTCTTCTAGGACTTTTTCAGTCTCAGGTCTTATGTTTTTGTCTTTAACCCATTTTTAGTTGATTTTTGTGTGTAGGTTTAGATAAAAGTCCAATTTCATGGTTTTTAGAATGGATATCTAGTTTTTCCAGCACCATTAATAGAAGAGACTATATTTTCCTCATTGTGCATTCTTGCTGCCTTACTTCAGGATTAGATGACTATATGTGTGTGGATTTTGTTATCTTTCATTGATCTGTGTGTTTGTTTTTATGCCTATACAATTCTATTTTGATTATTGTTTTGTAATATATTTCAAAATCTGGAAGAGTGGTGCCTTTAGCTTTGTTCTTCTTGTTCAAGATTGTTTTAGCTATTTGGAGTCTTTCATGGTTTTATGTGAGTTTTTGAATTTTTTTTGTATTTCTGTGAACAATGCTATTGGAATTTTAATAGGGAATGCAGATAATCCATAGTTTGCTATGGGTAGTGATATGGTTTGGCTGTTTACCCACCCAAATATCATCTTGAATTCTCACATGTTGTGGAAGGGACCTGGTGGGAGGTGACTGAATCATGGGGGCAGGTCTTTTTTGTGCTGTTCTCACGATACTGAATAAGTCTCATGAGATTTGATGGCTTTATAAGGTGGAGCTTCCCTGCACAAGCTCTCTCTTTGCCTGCCCTCACCCATGTAAGATGTGACTTGCTTCTTCTTGCTTTCCACCATGATTGTGAGGCCTTTCCAGCCACGTGGTACTGTGAGTCCAATCAAACCTCTTTCTTTTGTAAATTGCCTCATTTTACAGTCTCATGTATGTCTTTAATAGCAGTGTGAAAACGCACTAATACAGTAAATTGGTACCAGTGGAGTGGAGTACTGCTGAAAAGATATCCAAAAATGGGGAAGCAACTTTGGAACTGGGTAACAGGCAGGGGTTAGAACAGTTTGGAAGGCTCAGAAGAAGACAGGAAAATGTGGGAAAGATGGGAACTTCCTAGAGAGTTGTTGAATGGCTTTGATCAATATGCTGATAATGATATGGACAATGAAATACAGGCTGAGGTGGTCTCAGATGGAGATGAGGAATTTGTTGGGAACTGGAGCAAAGCTGACTCTTGTTATGTTTTAGCAAAAAGACTGGTGGCATTTCACCCTGTCCTAGAGACTTGTGGAACTTTGAATTTGACAGAGATGATCTAGGGTATCTGGTGGAAAAAAATTCTAAGCAGCAAAGCATTCAAGAGGTTACTTGGGTGCTGTTAAAGGCATTCATTTTTATAAGGGAAGCAGAGCATAAAAGTTCAGAAAATTTCCAGCCTGACAATGTGATAGAAAAAATCCTGCTTTCTGAGGAGAATCCAAGCCAGCTGCAGAAATTCTATAAGTAATGGGAAGTCAAGTGTTAATCCCCAAGACAATGGGGAAAATGTTTCCAGCCATGTCAGGGGTCTTCATGGTAGCCCCTCCCATCACAGGCCCAGAGGCCCAGGAGGGAAAAATGGTTCCAGGGGCTGGGCTCTGGGTCCCTGTGCTGTATACAACCCAGAGACTTGGCTCTCTGCCTCCCAGCTACTCCACCTGTGGCTGAAAGGGGCCAATGTAGAGCTCAGGCTGTGGCTTTAGGAGATTCAAGCCTCAAGCCTTGGCAGCTTCCACGTGGTGTTGAGCCTGCCAGTGACCAGAAGTCAAGAACTGGGGTTTGGGAACCTCCACCTAGATTTCAGAGTATGTATGGAAATGCCTTGATGTCCTGGCAGAAGTTTGCTGTAGGGGCAGAGCTCTCATGGAGAACCTCTCCTAGGGCAGTGCAGAAGAGAAATATGGGGTCAGAGCCCCCACACAGAGTACCTACTGGAGCACTGCCTAGTGGAGTTGTGCGAAGAGGGCCACCATCCTCCTCCAGACCCCAGAATGGTAGATTCACTGGCAGCCTGCACTGTGTGCCTGGAAAAGCTGCAGAACTCAATGCTAGCCCATGCAAGCAGCTGGGTAGGAGGCTGTACCCTGCAAAGCCACAGGAGCAGAGCTGCCCAAGACCATGGGAACCCACCTCTTGCATCAGTGTGATCTGGACGTGAGACATGGAGTCAAGAGAGATCATTTTGGAACTTTAAGATTTGACCGCTCCACTGGATTTTAGACTTGTATGGGACCTGTAGCCCCTTTGTTTTGGCCAGTTTCTCCCATTGGAACAGTTGTACTTACCCAATACCTGTACCCCCACTGTATCTAGGAAGTAACTAACCTGCTTTTGATTTTACAGGCTCATAGGTGGAAGAGACTTGCCTTGTCTCGGATGAGACTTTGGACTGTGAACTTTTGAGTTAATGCTGAAATGAGTGAAGACTTTGGGGGACTGTTGGGAAGGCATAATTGGTTTTGAAAAGTGAGGTCATGAGATTCTGGAGAGGCCAGAGGTGGAATGATACAGTTTGGCTGTGTCCACACTGAGATCTCATCTTGAATTCCCACATGTTGTGGGAGGGTCCCGGTGGGAGATAACTGAATCATGAGGGCTGGTCTTTTCCATGCTGTTCTCAAGATAGTGAATAAGTCTCATGATATCTGATGGCTTTATAAGGCAGAGCTTCCCTGCACGAGCTCTCTCGTTGCCTGCTGCTATCCATGTAAGATGTGACTTGCTCCTCCTTGTCTTCTGTCATGACTGTAAGGTCATTCCAGCCACATTGAACTTTGAGTCCAATTAAACCTCTTTCTTTTGTAAATTGCTCAGTCTCGGGTATGTCTTTAACAGCAGCATGAAAGCAGGGTAATACAAGTAGTATTGACATTTCAGCTATATGAATTCTTACAATCCATTAAAATTTGAAATCTTTGCATTTATTTGTGTCCTCCTCAATTTTTAAATCAATGTTTATATTGATTTTTATTGTATATAAAGTTTTTATTTTATGGATGTTTCATCTCATTGGTTAAATTTATTCTTAAGTATTTTATTCCTTTTGATGCTGCTGGAAAGGGATTGCTTTCTTAATTTCTTTTACACATAGTTTGTTGTTAGTATATGAAAATGTAACTGATTTTTATATATTGATTTCGTATTCTTCAAGTTACTAAATTTGCTTATTAGTTCTAACAGTTTTTTGGTGGAGTTGAGAAATTTCTGCACATAAGACTATGTCATCTTTAAAAAGAGACCATTTTATTTCTTCCTTTCAGATTTGGATGAAATTTACCTATGTATTGTTACCTAACTGCACTGGCTAGAACTTTGAGTCACTCATTGAATAGAAGTGATAAGAATCAGCATCCTTGTGATATTCTTGATTTTAGAGGAAAGATTTTCAGCTTTTGACAATTGAGTATGATGTTAACTGTGGGCTTATGATAATTGGCCTTTATTGTGTTGAGGTGCATTTCCTTTATACCTAATTTATTGATAATTTTTATCATGAAAGATGTTGAATTTTTTAGCTACTTTTTCTGCATGTTTATATAATTTTTTGTTCTATTAATGTAGTGTATTACATTTATTTATTTGCATATATTAGACTATATTTTTATCCCAGGGATAACTCCCACTTGATTAGGGATAAGCTAAAATAATCTTTTATATCACTTATTTAGAAAACAATCATTTCATAAATAAAAAGATTGTGTTCCAATGCAGATGAAAAACACCCATATTACTTGTATGTTACCACATAACTAGTTAATACAAAATTTAGTGGCTTAAGACAAGAATGCCACATGGTCTTTGACAGTATTTCATAAGGAGGTTAATCAAATGGTTCTGGCTTTGGGTCTTTCATGAGGTTGCAGTCAAGCTTTTGGCTGGGCTTCATTTCTACAGCTTGGCTGAAGCAGCAGGAACTGTTTTAAGCTTACTCATGTGGCTACTTGTAGAAGATTTTAGTTCCTTTCCATGTATATCAAACCACAGGGCTTTCCCAAGATCAAGTGATCTAAGAGAGGCTTTTCCAAGAGTGAATGATTTAAGAGAAAGAGGAATCAAGCAGCAAGTTATAATCTCTTATAACCTAAGCTCAGAAGTGGCATACTTCCTTTCTGCCATATTTAATTGGTTGCACACATCAGCCCTAGTACAATTCACAATAAGGGTTGTAGGACATCCATTTAAATATGGATAACACAGAGCTTTTGACTTGACATTCAAAAACTTGAGTTAAAATCACTGGGTAGAAAAAAAAAAACTTACTTTTTTTACCTGCCCTTTCCAAAAGTACCATCTTTAGAAAAGATGATTCTATACATAAATTGTCTTTCCACTTTTGAGTTTTGGATATTTCCCTGATACTTTCTCATCGTTGGCAAACATAAACTAACAGTGTATTTGAGCAGTGAAGAGATAAACTGAATGTCCTCCTAAAATTCTGAATTCCCTTGCTTTTGTGTATCCTTCAGCTAATTCAGTGGATTTACTAGAAAAGCCTATTGTTAAGCAGAAGCTGAGGTAGTTTTCTTAGTACGAGGAGCTGAGCAGAATGGCAGAGTAGTTGTACCTACACCTTTAATGTGCCACAGTCTGCATTCTTTTCAGAGTTTATATTTATCCTATTGGAATTCATGAAATAGCTTAACTCTTCAAGGACTTAAGAATTCCTCTTTGATGTTTTCCTGAGAAGTTTACAATATGCTTCAAGACAGAGTATTACATTTAGTTAGTCCCAAGGCTAACTTATACACTAAGCTGACAATTCCCATACTATGCTTTAGTCAGTTTAAATTAGGCTAGTAGGAGTGATATAATCTGGAATGACAGTTATGTTTTTGGCTTGCTATTGTAAGGAGTGTTTTACATATTGCAGACCTCACTCTAAGTTTGCCTCTTTAAAAACATTTTAAAAAAAAGACACTTATTTTAAAATATATTTTTTGGTACAATGATTGTATAACATTTAGGATGGGCTCAAAATCAGTGAGCATTAGAACAATAGAGAAATACTTTTGTGCTGAGCTTTGTTGCTCAGAGTAACTACTTACATGGAAGAAATGTGGTACAAATATTAGCTGGTGTCTTCATTCATTTTAAGATAGGCCCTTTTTTCCCTTATTGACTTTTCTCTGCTCATTACAGATCATTTCATCTCCCTCTGATTTGTTTCTCTTACTGACTTGGCACATCTTGTAGGTGCTTCACTTCTTACTAATGGCAATTGCTAGCTATTGACCAAATATGACATGACTACTGAATCGAAACTTTTTACATCATTATAGCTCAATATTGGTAAGTGCAGTTTTATGTGCTCTAAATTAGCTCTGCAAATGCCATTTTAAATGTAGCAACCAGTAAGGACAAAATCATAATAGAAATGTCCAATAACACAATCACAGTTTACATGTCTCTTAATATTGTTGGGTAAAGTAATTTTACTGATTTAGAATTAAATGAAGAAGATAGTTCACAAATATTCCTGTACTTAATCGGTTTTTATGTTCCTTCATTGGTATTTTTATTTTACTTGGTAATAAAATTGCAAAAATAAATTTAATCCTATGTAGTAAATATTTGGCCAGTGAGTAAACAAGCCAAATAATACATTGATTTTATTTATATGTTTTTTTTTTATTTTTAGATGGTGCATTTTGCAAGCATGACTGTAAGGACAGTAATTGCTCTTTAGGCTGCTCTGTCAGTTGGCAGTGGCAGAAAACAGATAATATTGTGTGTTACATTCGCTGTTTTTTAATCTGCTTCTATGACCTAGAGCACTTATGGACTTAATTTTTTCTATAGGTTGCTTTTGTAATACAATAGTCCAAAAATATATGCACCTGTAGCCATAAATGAAATAGATTTGTGAAATGTGAATTATTTGGAAACATGGATAGTCAGATAGAAGATGGAGAGTCATAAGAAATGATATGAGAAAATAAACTTAAAGTTGAAAAATTCGGAATAATATCTTAACGGTTTTTTTCATGCTTGCCAAGGCCCCAAAAATGATGTACACATTTTATACAGGATACCCTAGTGGAAACCAGAGGAAACATAAGGTACAGAGCTCTATATTGAGAAATTATTCAAATTCTTATTTGGATATAGATCTATTTATTTTTTGGCTTGAGCATATAACTGCATAGTCATTTCTATGAATGAGGTAGGTCTGCCCTTTTTATTGACTTCCTTTGCCATTCTCCTCAGTGGTTGTATTATGTATTTACTACTCCCCTTGAATCCTTAGCCTGCCTCTTGACTGAAACCCTTGCTTTGACCTTTACATATGCTCAGTCATCTATACCAGAATGTGGACAGAAAGGTGATATATTTTAGCTGCTTCTTTCTCCTCTTCCAACACAGACTCTTAACAGTAATCTATACCCATTGTTTCAGTCTTTTGCCTTTCAGTGTGTATTTTCTTTCCTTTTAATAGACTTTATCTTTTAGAGCAGTTTTAGATTCACAGCAAAAACAACAACAACAAAAATAACGAGAAGGCAAATAAATTTCCCATATATGCTGTGCATACCATTACCAACATCCCCACCAGAGTAGTACATTTGTTAAAATTTATTAATCTACATTGACATATCATTATCACCCAAAGTCCGTAGTTCCCATTGAGGTTCACTTTTAGTATTGTACATTCTCTGGGTTTGGACAAATTTATATGACATGTATCCACCATTACAGTATCATACATAGTAGTTTTACTGCCCTAAAAATCCTCCATACTCTGCCTGTTCATCCCTCCCTTCCCCTAAATCCTGGCAACCATGGATCATTTTACTGTCTCCATAGTCTTGCCCTGTTTAGAATTTGACATAGTGGGAATCATATAGTATGTAGACTTCTCAGACTGGCTTCTTTCACTCAGTAATATGCATTTAAGTTTTCTCCATGGCTTGATAACTCATTTCTTTTTAGTGTTAAATGGTATTCCATTATTTCGATGTACCACAGTTTATTTATACACCTACTGAAGAACTTTTTTCTTTGCTTTCAAGTTTGCTTTCAAGTTTTGAGAATTATGAAGAAAACCTACTATAAACATGTTTTTGTTATAAAAACATTCAGAGTTTTGTGTAGACATAAGTTTTTAACTCCTTTGGATAAATACCAAGGAGCACAATGGCTGGATCCCATGATAAGAGTATATTTAGCTTTTAAATGATGAGTTAATGGGTGCGGCACACCAGCATGGCACATGTATACATATGTAACTAACCTGCACATTGTGCACATGTACCCTAAAACTTAAAGTATAATAATAATAAAATAAAAAAAGAAAAAAAGTATATTTAGCTTTATAAAAATCTGCCAAACTATCTTTCAAAGTAGCTGTAGCATTTTGCATTACTGTGAGCAATGAATGAAAGTTTCTGTTGTTCCACATCCTGACCAGCATTCAGTGTTATCAGTATTCTGGATTTTTGCATTCTAGTAGATTTGTAGTGGTATCTCATTGCTGTCTTGAACTCACTGAACTATGTTTTTCTTTCTGGTATTCGATTAAAACTGCTTGGAACTGACCTCTGGATTGTCAAATAGACTTAATTTTTAATCTGCCTTGATTTCTTTGTGATATCTGTCTTCCTAGAATTCTCTCCTTTATTGGCTTAACTGGCAATAATATTATGATTTTCCTTCTTATCACTTACTGTTATTTATCTGGCTGATTGAGCATTAGTTTTTTATCTGCTCTGTTACCCACAGATGACCATCTTTTTCCTTGTTATGATCTTTCTACAGTTCTTTCCATGATATAAATGTACAAAATTATTTCCCCACTATTAAATTTTCTTCTGAATGTAAGGGTAATTTTAATTCACCCATGAAACTCATTCATGTATTCTCCAATAGAAACCTCAAGTATATTATGCCCCCAAAATAGAAGTAGTATTAATAATAATGGCAATGATAGAAATGGTAAAATAGTTTACAGACATTATTTGTTTTAATCTGCATAAATACCCCTTGACAGGAAATTACTCCATGTCTTTTACTGTGGACAAAACTGAGAATCAAATTGTGATTAGACAATTTTTACTATGTGAAAATGATGTGTGTACTCCCCTTGAATCCTTAGTCTGCCTCTTGACTGAAACCCTTGCTTTGACCTTCACATATGCTCAGTTGTCTATACTCAGAATGTGGACACCCAAAGTCCATGTGTACTATGACCAAAAGTGAGAATCAGAATTGATTAAGTAATGTGCACAATGTCAACAAGCCAATAAGGGTAAATAGAGTTATTTGAATGCAAGTCTATCTGATTGCTAAACTCTACTGCTTCCTAAAGTAATTTTATATACCATAAAACCAGCATTTTTAGTTTGTTTAAAGCTCAGTTTAATAACTTTAGCATCCACCTGCCATTATACTTTAAATCTAAGATACATCTTTACCACTCCATCTCCAACACCATTCAGTTTGTTTCTGAGTTGTGATAAATGGGTGCCAAAAACTGTTAAAATAAATTTCCTGCTTCTATTTTTTTCTTCCACTATCCTTGTTCACAGACTTTCTGATCCATCCCTTATCTAAGTCTTCTTCCACACATTACTTGAAATATCAGACTGAAACTCAAGCTTTTTATTTCATTGCCTTGAATACAGTTTTTTAGTTATTCTAATTGCATACAAGTCCAAACTCCCAATCTTCTTGTTCACATATCTGATATAATGTCTAGTTATATCCCTTGCCACTCAGCCCCATGCTCTTTTGACTTTAGATTTACCCTGTCATTGGTGTGTGAACATACTAGTCAATTTTATACCTTCACTTATTCCTTTGCTCGTGATCTTCTTTCTGTCCTTATTTTCTTTCCTGACTGAAAATACACTCTATCTCTTTTCATCACTGATACATTTATATTCAGATAGGTTGCATATGGGTCTATCTCCAAATACACTGACAGGTTGTCTGGGCAAAAGTCAGGTCTTCATTTTCACAACCCCACTCTCTTTTCTGTAGAGGCCTTATTGTCTACAACTTTTTGCACACAAAGGCTCAGGTTGAAATCTTTGATTCATAGCCACAGTGAGAAAACAAGAGAAATGTTCAAAATCCATATATAAAGTTTTGAGATCCTAGAAAATGATATAAGTAAGAATAATCATAATAATTAGCTTTTTAATAAATTACAATGTGACAATGACACATGCAAAACTCCCACCACAGCATTACCTAGTAACATTTCAGAGCATTTAAAATACAGAATAGAGCATAAGAGATTCCAGAGATAGAAAAACTAATTTTATACAGTAGTTGGGAGATCAGAAAAGCATTACATTTCTCAACATTTATAGCTATAAATATAACTAGAAAAAAACAAATGTGACACAAAATATTCAAATCACCAAAGGAAATAGATGAAAGAAATACTCTTATTTTAGCAAAATTCATAAAAGCAAGAAAGGAAACCATAAGAAAGCTTAATAAACACGTAATGTATACTTGATTAGGATACATAAAACAAGTTTAAGAATAAGTGTAAATTAATGTTTAAAAACTTTATTAAAGAAAAATGAAAAGAAGCAAATCTGGGTATATATAGCTTATAACAACAAAAAAATGAAAGATAAGCAAATAAGTAAATAAATACACAAAACTAAAATAGACAAAGGCAAAAATATTTCATAGATGACAATTTTATGTTCGATGACACAAGACTCAAGAAAAAGTGCTTTAATGAAACAAATGTATATCTTTCATTTCAAAGCAACATAAATATAAATATTTATGCTCATAAATACAGTTTATTATATAGTAGCAAAATATATAAAGTAAGTATATCAGAAAAAAAGATTATCAGGCACTCCCACCAAAAATGATTCATTTTAGGAGATAATAATTAGTCTCAGAATTTGATAAACTACGGAGACGAAGAAAATGATACAAGATATTTGAATACTCCTATAATTTTATACCATGGTGTGAATATATATTCTTTTAAAATTTACAAATATCACTTATGAAATTACTTCTTTTGCCACCAAGAAAATCTCAGTAAGATTTTCAAATGGTAACTATAAAGGCAATATTCCATAACTTCAATGCAATAAAATATATTTTGACAATTCATAGAAGACATTTTGAAAATTAATTCTCTGGATTTTTGAGGAACCTCCAAAGTGTTCTCCATAGTGGCTGTACTAATTTGTATACCTACGTACAGTGTAAGGATTTCCTTTTCTCCACATCCTCACCAGTATTTGCTACTGCCTGTCTTTTGAATATAGGCCACTTTAACTGGGGTGAGATGATAACTCAAAAAAATAAAGAACATAGCAATTGTAATAAGGATATAATGACAGATGAAAATAAGACTACAGTTGTAAGGGAGAAAAATTATTTTAAATTAAATAAAATATATATTATTTATATTAATTATATTATGTTTACAAGATATGTAATAGCATATGCTACCAGAGATGATTTTAAAAATGTATGAAATCTAAATAAACCAATTTACTTTAAATAAATGGAAAAATTAGTCAATGATCTGCTTTGTTTTTTATGTCATTTCATCTAAATATTTAAAACCATATATTAAAATTGCTTTCAAATTAATTTTACAAATCTAACTAAACTCTGACATCAAAATTGAGTAATATGGCACAAAAATAGAGAATAATAGACTCCATTCATAAAGTTGCAGTGGATTTTCATTTTACAGGAGGACTACTTTCTAAAATCAGTCTCTAAGGTGAAAAATCTGTTTAATATTTGGAAATGCCCTTGAAAACCCCTTTAAATACTCATAACAACATAATATATTGTCTACAGTAACAGCAATAAAAATTATTTAAGCAGCATGCTGCTAAGATTGTTCTAATTACAGGCCAACTTATAGGAATCATGAGAAGAAGAAATGTCAACATTTATCCATCACCATAGCTGGAGATCTATCTTCCTAGTAATGATAGCAATTCATAGAGTAGGGAGGTAAAGTGGTTATGAAACTGCGCAACTTATTTCCTATCCTAATTTGACCAGAGTGAGGAGGAGAAACAAAGACTCTTCAATATTCCAAACTTGTCTTGGTTGCATGTCCTTAAATTAACTACTTGGAGTTCTGCATGATAAACCATCACTCCTGCCACAAGAAGAAAAAGCATACCTGCACCAGAAACGGACACCTGCACCAGAAACAGACACCTCCATTTTCTGCAGTGTCCTTTTAGCACCCTCTACTGTCAAGGGAGAAAGGTTTACAAGTTCTAGGATTATGACCAGGGCAATGGCGGGAATCTTTGGAAGTAAGAGGAACAGTTTCCAACTACCTTTGTTGACTTTTTCATTTTGTCTCTATAGGTCTTTCAAATGTTGCTTCATCTGAATATATGTAGGCTTTATTATTAAGAACATGTGTATTCAAAAATGTTACATCTTCTTGATCTATTTTTGCTTTAACAAGTATAATGTTCATATACAGATGTGGATACAGATATATAGATAGGTGTTTTCCACTTTGAGCTCTATATTGTCTGGCCTTAAAATTGTTACTCTGATTTCCTTTACTTCATATTAGTCTGACACTTTCCACTTTTTTTTGCTTTGAACTTTATATATCTTATTTTATGCATATCTCTCCTAAACAAAATAGTGTTGAGTCTTACTTGTGTTTTTCTTGATAACCAATTGATAATTTTTATATTTTAATTAGTGGGTTAAATCATATTTGAATTCTGCAATGACCACTGTAGTTTGACTTAATCTAACTCATTTTGTTTTATATTTTCAATTTAAATATTGTCTTTTATTTTTGTAATTTTTCTGTAATACATTGGATAGGTATATGAGAAGAAATGGAATAACTAATTTGTTCCATTAATGTCTACAGAGCAAGCATAAAAAAATTAGAAATGAAAAGACAACAGAAGAGAGGAAGGAGGGAGAGGAAGAAGGAGGTTTCTGGAACAACTCAGAACCAAAACTCTTATTAACAATAATGGTCCAGGGGAATAAAGGAGGCTGTAACAAAGGAGAATGGAAGGAGGCAAAAGTTATTTCTATGTTCAGTATCTCTGCTTTGTTCTTTTTTTTTTTTTTTTTAAGACAGAGTCTCGCTCTGTCGCCCAGGCTGGAGTGCAGTGGTGCGATCTCTGCTCACTGCAAGCTCCGCTTCCCGGGTTCACGCCATTCTCCTGCCTCAGCCTCCCGAGTAGCTGGGACTACAGGGACCCACCACCACGCCCGGCTAATTTTTTGTATTTTTAGTAGAGACAGGGTTTCACCGTGTTAGCCAGGATGGTCTGGATCTCCTGACCTCATGATCCGCCCGCCTTGGCCTCCCAAAGTGCTGGGATTACAGGCGTGAGCCACCGCGTCTGGCCCTCTGCTTTGTTCTTTATAACTTCTTGTTTCCCCTTCATGCTATCAATACTCTCTTCATTTTTGAACATATTTATTATGATTATGTTACATTATTGAACTAGCTTCTCTATTCTGGTTTATTTAGACTGCAGCGCATTGTCTTTCTGTTAGAACTGTGTCCCTCAGATGTCTGATAATTTTTTTCTTGTAAATTGTGGGAAATGGAGAAAAATCCAGGCATGCATTAACTTTGACAATTCCTGTTTATTTTAGAGATGTGGAATGCCCTAGGCAATGTCCTATAACTTCTCTGCCTTAAAACACCTTCATTCAATATCCCCTCAAAGGTGGCCCTAGTCCTTAGAGCCACCTTTTGAGGGGATATCAAATGAAGCCCTTTAAATCTGTTAGAGCTTTAAAGATACTCTCTTCCAAGAGCTCACTCTATAAATGCAGTGCTTCCCAAATTTGGCTGTACATTACAATAACCTGGGCTACTTTACAAAATATTTGATGTTCACTTCTCAAAGAGTCTCACATACTTGGTTAGAGTTGTGTTCCTGGCATCAGAATTTTTTAAAGCTACCCAGGTGACTCTACTGTGTAGTCAAGGTTGAAAGTGCTACTTCAACAGAAGACTTAGTTTACAGATAATAACTATTCTTATTTCTCCATTTCAATGTTTTTGCATTTGCAATACTCTAATTGTAGTGGTGCTTAAACGATAGCCTACTTCAATGAAAACACAGATTCCGAGGCCTACCTCCGAAAATTCTGATTCAGTAGTATAGGCTGGCATTTGATAATTTTCATTTTTAACAAGTCCGGAGGTAATGCTGTTGCTATGGGTCCTACTCTCTAAGAGAATGACTGTCCTACTGTTGATATTTATGCATATACAATACTTAATTTCTAAAAAGTACATTAACAGGTTGCTGGCAATTATTTTCTCAATATTTAGACAATTATTTAAGACAATATAGCATGAGCATTCATTAAAACAATTTTAACTTAAATTAATTAAAAGTTTTTTTTAAAGAAAATGGATTGAAATTTTTGAATGCTCATATAATTAAGTAGAAAAATTATAGAATGTTAAATAACTCATACTGGAAGTTACTATTCTGACTGGAAAGCTGGAAAATAACAAATTTATTAAAGTTGATAATGATCTTGAAGTTTTTCTACAAATATGATCTTAATTTTATTAGTACTTAAAGTATAAACATGAACAAATCATTTCCCAATATACCCTAGTGTAATATAATTTTAAAAATATTTTCATAATCATAAAGCTCAAGCTATTCTTTTTTGACTTAGTCTGAATTAAATAAACTGAGTAAAACTATCATTTTTGATAAATTGTTATTAAACCATCTTGTAGATGTAATATAATAGCTTTTTGTCCTATTAGAGTAGATCACATTATAAATTGAATCATACTAAATTATAAATTGATTTATATAATTGAAAAGTTCAGTTTCTATGATACAGATTTGTGTGATGCACTATAACATTGAATTTTTTAAAAATAGAGATAGGGTCTCCCTAAGTTTGCCAGGTTGGTCTTGAATTCCTGGCCTCAAGCAGTCCTCCCACCTGGGCCTTCCAAAGTGCTAGGATTACAGGTGTGAGCCAGCACGCCCAGCCGTATAATATTGCATAGTTTTCATAGTTAAAATTCAAGAATATGTCAATAATATTTAAAATTTTCAGATGTGACTATTATCACATAGCCTAATAACTCATTTTTTATGTTCCCTACATTAGTGTGACAGAAGCTTCAAAGCTTCCATTTTCCAAATATTGATTCTGCATGAAAGTTACTCTTGACATGGAATCCTAGCTTGTAGGTACATGACATTGCACTGCTGAGAATCATGACTTTCACAAGAGCCTTTTCAAAAAGGATCATGAAAACTTCCATCCTAGTGCAACCATTTTATTAAATCTAAACTTGGGCTAGAAACTTGAAATGTTTTATGTTTTTCCTAGTCGCTGCCTTCAACCATCTTGATCAAATCTCTTTCTCCACACTTAAGGGCATCTTTGGGTTCATAGTAGGACAGGAGTGATAGTTTCCTCAAATAATCCTGTAGGAGTGTTTGGCTTCATATATTCTCAGCTCTCTTCAGAAAACATGATACTTAAGTCTCCTCATCCTCAGTTCTGGTTCCTAGTTATCAATTCCAAGGCCACAAAAAGACCTACTCACCAGTCTGTACATTTGTTGCAGAAAAGTGATCATGTTAACCTCAGAGCACGAAATTCTAATGAAATTAATTTTTTTGTTTCTTTTTACTGAAAATCTGTCTTTTAGATTCAATTAAATAAAATGTTTTTCTTACATACATCTGTATAAAGTTTAAAGGCAGTTTCTCTTAAATATACAAACTGATTTATTTGCACAATTTAAAATATTATTTAGAAATACATTTGATTGGAGATGTTATAGAGCTATCTAATTTGTTTGATATTCCCCTACCTTCACCACCATCACCACCCACACCTAAAAAGAGAATAAAATAAATGTTAAAGAAAAGAAATAAGGAAATTTATCTTAAACTCTCTCACCAAACCTATGTTTTCCAGTAGAGCCATCTCAATGACAGAAACTTAAATAGTACATTTGACTTTAAACATCACATAGTGAATTTTTAGAAGGGGTGTAGGTGACCCGATACATGATGTAGGACACAAATAGTATATGCTCATATTTATAACTTGCAGAGTTAAATTGATAAAAGTTGAGCAAGAGACGTTAGTACACTAAAGATTAATTGAGGAAGATATTCTAGAGAAAGAATGTTTTAGGTTGAGTTCTGAGGAAATAAGAGGTCCGGGGGAAAAGTTAAAGATTATGTACTCTGGAGAGTAGGCAAAAGGAACAGTTACATCAGGACTGACACAATGAATATTGAGGTGGAGGAAGGGACTAAAAATACCACCTCTGATTCACTCAAATTAACCACTAACAATTTAAATTCCAACTGTCCCCTCCCAGCTTTCAATAATGTTACTTCTAAAATCCAATTCTTTTCTTTTCCTGAACGTGGTAGGGCGTAGAGAATGGGAGTTCCTGGAGTGTGACAGACTCACTGATTGAAAGGGTAGGTGGCTTGGGTCTCACTGGTTGTTCCTCAGCTTTTGAGCCCTCAGGAAGACTATTGTCCCAATGTCTGCTCTAGATTTCCTCTCTCCCTATTAATGTAAAACAAGCATTTTAAAATTATTCAGTAAACTAAATTTAATAAAAGCTATACGCCTAGTCTATTGAACAGAAGGTCAACCACAGATTAGAGAAAATCATCTCCTCAAACTAGTAAACCACAGAAGAAAGGGCATTCCTTTTCTGAGGGTAAATATTATTTATTTTAATATCTACTTTATGTACAAGAAACAATAATAGGAATTTTAGCACCTTCTTACGAAAAATTATCAAACTCAAAAGACAATATAGTAATTCTAAAGGACTAGAAGGAAAGGAGAACTGTCAGCCGAAAATTCTATACCCCAAAAATATTCCTTAAAAAATAAAGGAAGTATATTTTTAGACAAATATTGATCTTTTTTAAGCAGACTTGAACTGTAAGGAATGCTAAAAGAAGTTCTTCAAGCTTTGAAGAAATGATACTATGTGAAGATAAAAAGGAAAAGTACTTATATATTTGTAGGCAAATATTAAAAATTGAACAAATATATGTAAAGAACTACACTGTCATTAGGTTAAAGAATGGAAATCTAGTATATAATAATGAAAGAAAAAAATAATTTATTATCTATTTTTTTAAAAAAACTAGAAGAGTGGCATTGGAATGTGCCTAACACAAAGAAATGACAAATGCTTAAGGTGACAGATACCTTAATTACCCTGATTTGATCATTACACATTGGATACCTATACAAAAACATCATGTGTACCCCAGAAGCATATTAAAGTATTATTTGACCATAATTATTAAATTTTTTTTGAAATGGCATCTCACTCTTTTGCCCAGCCTGGAGTGCAGTGGTGCGATCTCGGCTCACTGCAACCTCCACTTGCTGAGGTCAAGCAATTCTCCCACCTCAGCGTCCCGAGTAGCTGGGATTATAGGTGCGCACCACCACACCCAGCTAATTTTTGTATTTTTAGTAGAGACGGGGTTCCACCATTTTGGCCAGGCTGGTCATGAACTCCCAACCTCCGGTGATCCACCCACCTCGGCCTCCCAAAGTGCTGGGATTATAGGCGTGAGCCACTGCGCCCGCCTACAATGTTTTTAAAGGTAAAATATTCTAATTCCTTCAAGGAAGTTTTCATTTCTAGAGGTTCTGTTTGGTTTTTTAAAATAATGTCTATCTCTTCTTTCAAATCCCAAATTAGTTTTTGGATTTATTTATGTTAGTTTTCAAATTTATAATGGATTTCATTGAGCTTCTTTAGAATCAATATTTTGAATTCTTTAGTATTTCAAAGTTTTCTTTTTGGTTAGGATTCATTGCTGGAGAGTTAGTGTGATCCTTTGGAGGTGTTATATTACTCTTTAAAAAAAATTACTTCCAGAATTGTTTTTCTGATTGCTTCTCATCTGGATAAGCTATCTCTCCTCAGTTTTGAATTCGCTTTAATTTGGATGGGATTTTCCCTCCCTAATAATGTGACTATAATGTGTGTTGTGTAGCATACTAGTATAAAAATAGACACAGAAAATTGGATAAAATGGAGAACAAAGAAATGGAGCCACATACTTTCAACCAACTGATATTTGATAAAGTTAACAAAAATATACCCTGGGCAAAGAACACCCTATTCAATAAATGGTGCTTGGAAAATTGGAGAGTAAAATGCAGAAGAATGAAACTGGAGCCCTGTTTCTCACTGTATACAAAAGTTAATTCAAGATAGATGAAAGATTTAAATGTGAGACCTGAAAATGTAAACACGCTGAAAGAAAACCTAAGAAAAATTATTTAGACATTACTCTAGGCACAAAAAAATTATGTCTAAGTTATCGAAAGGAAACACAACAAAAACAAAAATAGACAAACAGGACTTAATTAAACTAAAAAGCTTCTGCACTGAAAAAAAAAACAGAGTAAAGACACAGCCTATGGAATGAGAGAATATATTTACAAATTATTAATCCAACAATAAACTATTATCCAGAATCTACAAGAACTCAAACAACTCAACAAGAAAAAATACAAATTACCCCATTAGAAAGTGGGCAAAGTATAATGAACAGACCCTCCTCAAAAGAAGACATAAAAGTGGTCAATAAACATATGAAAAAATGTGCAACATCACTAATCACCGGAGAAATACAAATTAAAACCACAATGATATACCATCTATACCAGTCAGAATCGCTATTATTAAAAAGTTAAAAAAACACACGTTAGTGAGGATGTGAAGAAATGGGAATGTTTATACACTGTCAGTGGGAATGTAAATTAGTACAACCTATAGGCCAAAGAGTATGGAGGTTTCTGAAAGAAATAAATATAGAACTACCCTTAAGTCCAGTAACTGGATATCTACTGGGTATCTACCCAAAGGAAAAGAAATAATTATATCAGGAAAACAAAGTATATTCACAATAACAAAGTAATGGAATCAACCTAAATGTCCATGAATGAATGAATGATTAGATAAAGAAAATGTTATATATATGTATACACATATATATGCATATATATATATATACGCATATATATACACATACATATATATACACACACCCATACATATACACAAATATATATATGTGTATATATATTATATGCCATGAATACTACTGAGTCATAAAAAGAATAAAATCATGTCTTTTGCCATCAACATGGATGATGCTAGAGTCATTATACTTAGTGAAATCATTCAGAAACAGGAAGGGAAAAAATTGCATGTTTTCATTTACAAGGGGAAGTTAAACAATGGGTGCATACAGACATACAGAGTGGAATAGTAGACTTTGAAGACAGCAAAAGGTAGGAGTGTAGGAGTGTGGTGAAAATTAAAATACTAACTATTGGGTACGATATATACTATTTGGGTGATGGGTATACTAAAAGCCCAAACTTAGCCTCTACACAATATATCCATAGAACACAAGTGCACTTGTAACCCCTAAACCTATAAAAATAAAAAATTAAAATTAAAAAGTATTTTTAAAAAGTCAGAAAATGTGAAATTCACAGATTTATTTATAATAGTGGAATTTCTGAAGGAAAATGTATTTGAATATTTGGAGTCAGAGAAAAAGGAAAGCAAGACAACATAAAATAATATGAAGAAAATGATAGGAAAAATGAGGCTATCACGTAGGGCTAGGGGAGGGATAGCATTGGGAGGAATACCTAATGTAGATGATGGGTTGATGGGTGCGGCAAACCACCATGGCACATGTATACCTATGTAACAAACCTGCATATTCTGCACATGTACCTCAGAGCTTAAAGTATAATAATAATAAAAAAAGGAAATGTCATATGCATGATTATATTATTAATTTATTTCATTAGCAGAGTACAAGAAATGTAAACTTATGGTAATTGAAAAAGTAAGTTTATTAATTTATTTTGGTTAATTTTCTAAAATCTCTTGAAGTCAGGGCTTAACTGTGGCTTTGGAAAAATTTCTGTCCTCATTAATAAAGTAGTCTCCTGGTACATCTCAAAAGAGGCCCAAATGTTTAATACATAGAGGATGTAGGAAAAATGAATCTAATTGAGGCTTAATCATTGTGCTATTAGATTTATATCATAGAAACTTTCTGAACTGATCTAAATTATTTTTTTTCCTTTTTTTTTGAAACGAAGTCTCCATCTGTCACCCAGGCTGGAGCACAATGGCGCAGTCTCGGCCCAATGCAATGCAACCTCCGCCTGCTGGGTTCAAGTGATTTTCATACCTCAGTCTCCAGAGTAGCTGGAAATACAGGCGTCTGCCACCAAGGCCAGCTAGGTTTTTTTTTTTTTTTTTTTTTTGTAGAGATAGGGTTTCACTGTGTTGGCCAGGGTGGTCTCTAATTCATGTCCTCAGGTGATCTGCCTGCCTCCGCCTCCCAAAGTTCTGGGATTACAGGCGTGAACCACCACACCTGGCTGAACTGATGTAAAAATTTAAAAATACACTATATCATTCACAAAATGTAGAACCTCTCTAGAATTATATATTTTATTGAAAAAAGCATGTGACAGTGAATGTTAAGGTATTCATGAAAAAACAGTATTTTTTAAACTAGTATATAAAGTGTATGTACTGAATAAAAAACTTCTGGAAATTGCTCCTGATGACTCACATATGAATAATGTGCTAATTTCAAAAGTACTACTATGTTAATTTACATAGCACACATTTTAAAATGCTACCCAGGAGGCTGAGGCAGGAGAAGTGCTTGAGCCCCAGATGCAGAGGTTGCAGTGAGCCGAGATCGCACCACTGCACTCCAGCCTGGCCGACAGAGTGAGACTCCGTCTCCGAAATAATAATAATAATAATAATAATAATAATAATAATAGTAAAGTATACAATAAATTGTTGTTGATCATGTTACCCTGTTGTGCTATCAAATACTAGATCTTATTCATTCTAATTAACTATATTTCTGCACCAACTAACCATCTCCACTTTCCCCTTTCCGTGCTTTCCTTCCTATCCTCTGGTAACTATCATTCTGCTCTCTGTCTGGATGAATTCAATTGCTTTAATTTTTAGGTGCCTCATATGGTTGACAACATGCAAAATTTGTCTTTCTGTGCTTGGATTATTGCACTTAATATAATGTCCTGCAGTTCCATCCATGTTGCAAATGACTCAATCTTATTCTTTTTATGGCTGAATAATATTCCTCGTGTATATGAAACACTTTTTCTTTATCCATTCATCTGTTCTTGGACACTTAGGTTGATTCCAAATCTTGGCTGTTGTGAATAGTGCTACAGTAAACATGCAGGTATCTCTTTGATATACTGATGCCCTTTTAAAAATATATATATACCTAGTGGTGGGATTGTTTAATTGTGATGAAATATACATAACATAAAATTTATCATCTTAACCATTTTAAGTGTATGTTTTTGTGGCATTAAGTACACTCATTTTGTACAACCCACCATCCATTCATCTTCAGAACTCTTTTCATCTTGCAAAACTGAAACTCTAGTTAACTCTATTAAAAAATAACTTCCTATTCCCCACTTCCTCAACCCCTGCAATCACCACTCTACTTTCTGTCCTCATGATTTTCACTACTCTAGTTACCCCACATAAATGAAATCATACAGTATTTGGCTTTTTGTGACTGACTTACTTCACTTAGCATAATGGCTTCAAGGTTCATCTATGTTATAGCTTGTGTCAAAATCCCCTTCCTTTTTATAGTTGACTGATAAGGAAGAATTTACTTCTGTCATTTTGCTATTGGTTTTCTATGTACCTTATAGCTTTTTTGTTCGTCATTTTCTGCATTTTTATTTCCTTTTGTGTTTATTTTTGTAATACAAATCCTTACATTATTTTCTTATTTCCTTTTGTGAATATTTTATATCCATATTCACTATAGTTATCTTATAGATTATATATAATATCCTTAAGTTATATACTAACTTAGATTTACCAGCTTAATTTTAATGACACACAGAAACACTGATCCTTTAAATTCTTTGTTCCCATTCCTTTCACTTGTTGATGTCACAAAATTATATCTTTACATAATGTGTTTAAAAACATAAATTAATATTTTTTAAATGCATTAGCCTCTTACGTAGAAAACAAAATGTAGAATTACAAACAAAAGTTAAAATAACACCAGCTTTTAAACTAATAATTATTTTTTAAAAATAGATTAGTGACTTTCTGTTGAGTAGAGAACAAAAAGTGAAGTTACAGACTGTTGTTATGATAGTACTAGATTTTTAAAGTGTTTACGTATTTATCATGTATTTTCTTTACTCAGATCTTTATTTTGCATATGACTTCAAGTTACTGTCTGGGTTCACTTACTAGAATGAAACTAGACAGTACTATCTATTTACTGTCTATACATTTAAAAATATGTATCTATACCATATTTTTAAATCCAATCATCCGTTGTTGGACACATAGGTTGATTCCATGACTTTACTATTGTGAAGAGTGCTTAATGACTTATTTCCCTTTTGTTCCTCTGAAGATTCTTTTTTTTTTTGTCTTTTGAAAGTTTGATTATAACATATATTTATGTGTATATCTTTGAGTGCATCTTATTTGGAGTTTATTAAGCTTTTTGGATGTTTATGTTCATATCTTGTGTTAAATTTGGGAAATTTTCAACCATTATTTCTTCAAATATTCTCTCTTCCCACATTTCCTGTCTTTTGTACATTTTCTGTACCTGCAATACATATGTTGGTCAAGTTGATGGTGTCCTACAGGTTTTTTGGCTTTGCTCACTTTTCCTCTATTTTTTCTTCCTGTTCCTTAGACTTGATAATTACCATTGTTCTGTCTCCAAATTTGCTGCTTCTTTGTTCTGCCTGATTAAACAGTTTTAAGATACCTTTAATATTTTTTTCATTTGCATTATTATATGTTTCAGCTCCAGAATTCTTGTGTGTATCTTTATTGGTTTTCTATCTTTTTATTGACATCTCATTTTGCCCATACACTGTTTTCTTGACTCCTTCCATTTCTTTATTTAGGTCTTTGAATATCTTTAAGGTTTTTTAAAATCATTGTCTAGTAGATCTGCTATGAGGTCTTTCTTCAGAGATAGTTTTTGTTTTGTTTGTTTTGTTTTTTGTTTGAGTGGGCCATAATTTTTGTTTCTGTGTATGCTTTGTGACTTTTTTGTTTGAAATTGAAGATTTGAATTTACAATGTGTTTACCTCTTGAAATTAGATTACCCCCTTCAGGGTTTGCTCTTTATTATTATTTGTTACTGCTTTATGCTGGCTCTCTGTTGAGGTGTGTAAACTTAAAAGGGATATTTTGCCTATCCTTGCTCCTACAAACTACATGCAAGCTACTCCAGGAACAGGTATACAGCTGCCTGCCATGTGGCTGGAGGTGGAGGTAGTCACTATTGTGCTAAAAGCTGCGACTGACTGAAATTAAACCAAGCTTGCTGTCCAAGCCTCCCCCAGAAGTTGCAAGCCTCCAGTAAACTCCAGAGTTCCAAAATAGTACATCAGACAGATTCTACTAGTTCAATTGTTATCTAGGTGGGAAGACAGATTCCCTGTGTTTCCTGCTTGCCATTTTCCCAGAATTCTCCTTAAATAAAATATTTTTTTCTTTATATAACAACCTAGGAAAGACAGAACAAAAGTTCTAAGTTGTTAAGAATATCTAAAAGCAGTTATTTTTAAATAACATGTTACATTCATTATCAAAATAAAAGAAAACTTTGGGCTTAAAACATATTTAAATGTGACAGCTTCACTAAGCATTAAAATGGGTATTATCACAGGTACCCCCGAAATAGGTACATCTATTGTGTATCAATAAAAAATAATAACATAAATAAAATGGGTAACAGATACATTGAACTTTATTTTGTACTTGAAAATATAACATTTTTTATTAATTAGAATTGTATTTTGAGAAAAAAAGAGATAAATCACATAATGTTTTATATTTGGACAGAAATGACTTTAAAAAGTTTTTTTAAACAATATATCATACTTCCAGATGAATCTCTGCTGCTAATTTACCTCATGTTGTTTCCATCATGAAAATATTCTTCATCCATAAGCTTCAAAATATTCAGGTTAAATGGCTAATTTGTTGTTTTCTCAGAAGCCATGTAACAGTTTTTTGAATATATTCTTAAAGGTAGATACTGTTGTAAGTGCTAGAGATTAAGAAAAAAGATACATAAAACAATTTTTTTCTCAAAGAATATAGAGTCTCTGTGAGCACTGACAAATATAAAAACAAAGTCTACATAATGTATTAGATACAACGGACATTTATTTAAGATTTAAAAATTATAACATAATTTTGATGTAGAACACTAAACATTGTAATAAAATTTTGCACAAGATACAAACATAGAAATGTGGATGGTAAACACGTGTGGAAGACATGAGAAATGATTAAGTCATTGAGACCATTTAATATAATTGGAGGAAATATCTAGTCCATGTTTTTGAAGATGATAGGTACTCATACAGAGAATGATAAGGACATTTTAATACATAAATATGCATGGACAAATGAGACAAAATAGTGCATTCAACCAACTACTAGTAATTTTATATTGCTAGAATGTGATGTTCAAAGATTAGAAAACAACAAGAGATGAAGAAAGGAGACAATTTAAACAGCCAGTGCAGTGATCCAGGCAAAATGCAAAGAGAACCAGAACTAACTTAGTGGCAGAGACCTGAGAAGAAAAAGAAAAATAGCTTCAAGGAATAGTCAGGAAACAGGAACTTTGGGACTTGTTGATTATTCAAAAGAAGGGGATATTTTAATCACTTTATAGTTTCCAATGCCTTTTTGATCTTTAAATAAATATGAGAGCTGATATTATTAGAACAAAAAATATCTTTAGGTATTTATATATGGATCATTATATTTATATGCTTTTCCATTTAAATGTCCTATTCATTAAATTTTTCACTTATCATCTAGATATTTTATTGATGAATACACAGAGAGTAGTTAAAATTATTAATACAAAGTGAAATATTTTTAAAAATAATAACAATAAAAGATTAAATTTAATGAGTCCAGATTTATTTAAATCCCAAAGTCAGTTAACTGGCATAGAACAATATTTTTATGATATGCAAAACTTTCTAAATTCTCTTCTCTATTTTGAGAACATCCTTCAAAAATGCTCCACAAACCTCTTTGCTTTTGGTTAGTCAATATAAGAAATAAAGTAGAAACTCTTTTCCAGCAGAGTGCAGAAAGACATTTTAGCTCCTTTTCTCATTAAAAAAACCCAGCAACTTTTCTTTCTTTGATGTATGCAACTTTCAAAAATATCTCCATCTGTATTCCCTTCTACAATATAACTAATTGAATTTTTGTTTTCTTATAAACCGTAAATGCAGCTGTAATGTCCTGGTTACTAAAAGTGACTGAAGTAATGTAATTCTTCTTAGAATTCATTTGATTACAGACTTGTTCACTGTAATCAAGCAACAGCAGATACTTTTCTTGACAAAAAGAGGAAATAATTTATAAAAACCAATTTCAAAATTTTTTTTTGTTCAGGAATAGTCTTTGCTAGGCATACTCCTAACAGTGATTTTGCTGCTAAAAAAGAAAGAAAAAAAGGAAGTTACACTTTAGTCATACAGGGAGTGTTTATGAGGATATATCAACTTTCTTTAGCTTCCTTGTAATATACAATCAATATTCAGTAATATCTATGGACCTTGGATTTTATGCATATGCACATGTGTGTATGTATACATACACACACATATATGTACGCCTATACATATTAGATACAATAATCTGTAGGTATGTTTATTGGCCATCTTTTTCTGCTTAACAAACAACCACAAAACCTAATTGATTTAAACATGTTTTTCAGCTCATGATTCTGTGTATGATCAATTTTTGGTTGGGCTCAGCAGGAAGGTTCTCATGATTTAACCTGGATCTGCTCTTGCGTCTGCATTCAGCTACTGGTTAAGTAGGCAGATCTGCTTTTAAGGGATTGATTACTGGCTGGAACAATACGTGCAAGTGGGCTATGGGTCTCTTAATATCCAGTAGGCTGGTTCAGCCTTGTTAAAGTTGTTGTGACAAACTTCAAGATGGAGAGAAAGCAAGCGTCGATGCTTAATTGTCATTCAGGCCTCTGCAAGTGACATATTTGCTACTGTGCCATTGGTCAAAGAAAGCTGTATTTAATATGGCCAAGCACAAAATCCATGTAGGATGGTAATTTCCAAAAGGATAGGCATGCAGTGAGACATGAACAAATTAGCAGGAATTATTGCACTAGTCTACCACAACATGGCAGTCTGAAGGCAAGCTTGTCTATCTCTCTTCTTCTGTCTGTTTCTATCTAACTCTCTTATCTACAAATCAAGTGACTAAACAAATAAAATCAGCTCCTAAATTTAGCAGTACAACCTGTGACCCATGATTGGCCATTTCACGGAAGCCAGTGGCATGATTTGAAAGAGAAGTAGACAGAACAGCATTATATCATAGGACCTGTTTAGCTAGCACTTTTTATATTGTGAACACTTTCTTTCTAATTATTACTTTATCTACTTCTATTTATTCTGGAAATGTCTGTATTATTTTGCTAATTGCAGTGGGAGAGAAACCCTTGAGGTGACTCCCAAAATTTCCCACTTTCTGGCATTCATGCCTTTTATAATGTCCTCATCTGTGACACATGGATTATGGCAAATTGGATGTCATTCTCATGATTACATTACATTTTATAAGACTCTGTCTTGCTCCCTTCTTCTGCTGGCCTTAAATAAGTTAGTTGCCATGTTGTGAACTGCCTGTGAAAAGGGCCACATGACAAGGAACTGTGGGTGACTGCTAGGAGCTGACAGTGTACAGCAAGAATCCAGGGCCCTGAGTCATAGCTTGTAAGAGCATTCTTCTCCAGTTAAATCTCTAGACGAAAAAGTAGCTTTGGTCAGCATCTTGAACGCAGCCTTGTGAGACCCTATGCAGAGGATCCAGATAAGCTGTAGGGACACAGAAGCTCTGAAATCATAAAAGTATGTTGTTTTAAGCTTCAAATTTTTGATAATTTGTTATGCAGCAATAGAAAACTAGTACACTGGCAAATATGTACTTCAGTTAATATTCACATGGAAAAAGCTTAAATTTGTCCCTAGTTGTTTTTGTTTAAGGCTATTTTTATACAAAACCTATATTAAAAAAGGCTTGGATCCAGGAGCCAAGATGGCCGAATAGGAACAGCTCCGGTCTACAGCTCCCAGCTTGAGCGACACAGAAGACGGGTGATTTCTGCATTTCCATCTGAGGTACCGGGTTCATCTCACTAGGGAGTGCCAGACAGTGGGCACAGAACAGTGGGTGCAGCGTACCGTGTGTGAGCTGAAGCAGGGCAAAGCATTGCCTCACTCGGGAAGTGCAAGGGGTCAGGGAGTTCCCTTTCCTAGTTAAGGAAAGGGGTGACAGACGGCACCTGGAAAATCGGCTCACTCCCACCCTAATACTGCGCTTTTCCTACGGGCTTAAAAAACGGTGCACCAGGAGATTATATCCCGCACATGGCTCGGAGGGTCCTACGCCCACAGAGTCTCCCTGATGGCTAGTACAGCAGTCTGAGATCAAACTGCAAGGCGGCAGCGAGGCTGGGGGAGAGGCGCCCACCATTGCCCAGGCTTGCTTAGGTAAACAAAGCAGCCTGGGAAGCTCGAACTGGGTGGAGCAGACCACAGCTCAAGGAGGCCTGCCTGCCTCTGTAGGCTCCACCTCTGGGGGCAGGGCACAGACAAACAAAAAGACAGCAGTAACCTCTGCAGACTTAAATGTCCCTGTCTGACAGCTTTGAAGAGAGCAGTGGTTCTCCCAGCACGCAGCTGGAGATCTGAGAACAGGCAGACTGCCTCCTCAAGTGGGTCCCTGACCTCTGACCCCCAAGCAGCCTAACTTGGAGACACCCCCCAGTAGGGGCAGACTGACACCTCACACGGCCGGGTACTCCTCTTGAGACAAAACTTCCAGAGGAACGATCAGACAGCAGCATTCGCGGTTCACGAAAATCCACTGTTCTGCAGCCACCACTGCTGGTACCCAGGCAAACAGGGTCTGGAGTGGACCTCTAGTAAACTCCAACAGACCTGCAGCTGAGGGTCCTGTCTGTCAGAAGGAAAACTAACAAACAGAAAGGACATCCACACCAAAAACCCATCTGTACATCACCATCATCAAAGACCAAAAGTAGATAAAACCACAAAGATGGGGAAAAAACAGAGCAGAAAAACTGGAAACTCTACAAAGCAGAGCGCCTCTCCACCTCCAAAGGAACCCAGCTCCTCACCTGCAACAGAACAAAGCTGGACAGAGAATGACTTTGATGAGTTGAGAGAAGAAGGCTTCAGACGATCAAACTACTCCAAGCTACAGGAGGAAATTCAAACCAAAGGCAAAGAAGTTGAAAACTTTGAAAAAACTTTGGACGAATGTATAACTAGAATAAACAATACAGAGAAGTGCTTAAAGGAGCTGATGGAGCTGAAAGCCAAGGCTCGAGAACTACATGAAGAATGCAGAAATCTCAAGAGCCGATACGATCAACTGGAAGAAAGGGTATCAGTGATGGAAGATGAAATGAATGAAATGAAGCGAGAAGGGAAGTTTAGAGAAAAAAGAATAAAAAGAAACGAACAAAGCCTCCAAGAAATATGGAAGGCTTTCCTTCCATATTTCCAAGAAGTATGGAAGGTCTTTTCACTATGTGAAAAGACCAAATCTATGTCTGATTGGTGTGCCTGAAAGTGACGGGGAGAATGGAACCAAGTTGGAAAACACTCTGCAGCGTATTATCCAGGAGAACTTCCCCAATCTAGCAAGGCAGGCCAACATTCAGATTCAGGAAATACAGAGAACGCCACAAAGATACTCCTCGAGAAGAGCATCTCCAAGACACATAATTGTCAGATTCACCAAAGTTGAAATGAAGGAAAAAATGTTAAGGGCAGCCAGAGAGAAAGGTCGGGTTACCCACAAAGGGAAGCCCATCAGACTAACAGCGGATCTCTCGGCAGAAACTCTACAAGCCAGAAGATAGTGGGGGCCAATATTCAACATTCTTAAAGGAAAGAATTTTCAACCGCGAATTTCATATCCAGCCAAACTAAGCTTCATAAGTGAAGGAGAAATAAAATCCTTTACAGACAAGCAAATGCTGAGAGATTTTGTCACCACCAGGCCTGCCCTAAAAGAGCTCCTGAAGAAAGCACTAAATATGGAAAGGAACAACCGGTACCAGCCACTACAAAATCATGCCAAAATGTAAAGACCATCGAGGCTAGGAAGAAACTGCATCAACTAACGAGCAAAATAACCAGCTAAAATCATAATGACAGGATCAAATTCACACATAACAATATTAAACTTAAATGTAAATGGACTAAATGCTCCAATTAAAAGACACAGACTGGCAAATTGGATAAAGAGTCAAGACCCATCAGTGTGCTGTATTCAGGAAACCCATCTCATGTGCAGAGACACACATAGGCTCAAAATAAAAGGATGGAGGAAGATCTACCAAGCCAATGGAAAACAAAAAAAGGCAGGGGTTGCAATCCTAGTCTCTGATAAAACAGACTTTAAACCAACAAAGATCAAAAGAGACAAAGAAGGCCATTACATAATGGTAAAGGGATCCATTCAACAAGAAGAGCTAACTATCCTAAATATATATGCACCCAATACAGGACCACCCAGATTCATAAAGCAAGTCCTGAGTGACCTACAAAGAGAATTAGACTCCCACACAATAATAATGGGAGACTTTAACACCCCACTGTCAACATTAGACAGATCAACGAGACAGAAAGTTGACAAAGATACCCAGGAATTGAACTCAGCTCTGCACCAAGCGGACCTAATAGACATCTACAGAACTCTCCACCCCAAATCAACAGAATATACATTTTTTTCAGCACCACACCACACCTATTCCAAAATTGACCACATAGTTGGAAGTAAAGCTCTCCTCAACAAATGTAAAAGAACAGAAATTATAACAAACTGTCTCTCAGACCACAGTGCAATGAAACTAGACCTCAGGATTAAGAAACTCACTCAAAACCGCTCAACTACATGGAAACTGAACAACCTGCTCCTGAATGACTACTGGGTACATAACGAAATGAAGGCAGAAGTAAAGATGTTCTTTGAAACCAACAAGAACAAAGACACAACCTACCGGAATCTCTGGGACACATTCAAAACAATGTGTAGGGGGAAACTTATAGCACTAAATGCCCACAAGAGAAAGGAGGAAAGATCCAAAATTGACACCCTAACAGCACAATTAAAAGAACTAGAAAAGCAAGAGCAAACACATCCAAAAGCCAGCAGAAGGCAAGAAATAACTAAAATCAGAGCAGAACTGAAGGAAATAGAGACACAAAAAACCTTTCAAAAAATTAATGATCCAGGAGCTGGTTTTTTGAAGGGATCAACAGAATTGGTAGATCGCTAGCAAGACTAATAAAGAGGAAAAGAGAGAAGAATCAAATAGACGCAATAAAAAATGATAAAGGGGATATGACCACCAATCCCACAGAAATACAAACTACCATCAGAGAATACTACAAACACCTCTACACAAATAAACTAGAAAATCTAGAAGAAATGGATAAATTCCTGGACACATACACCCTCCCAAGACTAAACGAGGAAGAAGTTGAATCTCTGAATAGACCAATAACAGGCTCTGAAATTGTGGCAATAATCAATAGCTTACCAACCAAAAAGAGTTCAGGACCAGATGGATTCACAGCCAAATTCTACCAGAGGTACAAGGAGGAACTGGTACCATTCCTTCTGAAACTATTCCAATCAATAGAAAAAGAGGGAATCCTCCCTAACTCATCTGATGATGCCAGCATCATCCTGATATCAAAGCCTGGCAGAGACACAACCAAAAAAGAGAATTTCAGACCAGTATCCTTGATGAACATTGATGCAAAAATCCTCAACAAAATACTGGCAAACCGAATCCAGCAGCACATCAAAAAGCTTATCCACCACGATCAAGTGGGCTTCATCCCTGGGATGCAAGGCTGGTTCAATATACGCAAATGAATAAATGTAATCCAGCATATAAACAGAACCAAAGACAAAAACCACATGATTCTCTCAATAGATGCAGAAAAGGCCTTTGACAAAATTCAACAACCCTTCATGCTAAAAACTCTCAATAAATTAGGTATTCATGGGACATATCTCAAAATAATAAGAGCTATCTATGACAAACCCACAGCCAATATCATACTGAATGAGCAAAAACTGGAAGCATTCCCTTTGAAAACTGGCACAAGACAGGGATGCCCTCTCTCACCACTCCTATTCAACATAGTGTTGGAAGTTCTGGCCAGGGCAATTAGGCAGGAGAAGGAAATAAAGGGTATTCAATTCGGAAAAGAGGAAGTCAAATTGTCCCTGTTTGCAGATGACAAGATTGTATATCTAGAAAACCCCATCATCTCAGCCCAAAATCTCCTTAAGCTGATAAGCAACTTCAGCAAAGTCTCAGGATACAAAATCAATGTACAAAAATCACAAGCATTCTTATACACCAATAATAGACAAACAGAGAGCCAAATCATGAGTGAACTCCCATTCACAATTGCTTCAAAAAGAATAAAATACCTAGGAATCCAACTTACAAGGGACGTGAAGGACCTCTTCAAGGAGAACTACAAACCACTGCTCAATGAAATAAAAGAGGATACAAACAAATGGAAGAACATTCCATGCTCATGGGTAGGAAGAATCAATATTGTGAAAATGGCCATACTGCCCAAGGTAATTTATAGATTCAATGCCATCCCCATCAAGCTACCAATGACTTTCTTCACAGAATTGGAAAAAACTACTTTAAAGTTCATATGGCACCAAAAAAGAGCCCACGTCGCCAAGTCAATCCTAAGCCAAAAGAACAAAGCTGGAGGCATCACACTACCTGACTTCAAACTATACTACAAGGCTACAGTAACCAAAACAGCATGGTACTGGTACCAAAACAGAGATATAGATCAATGGAACAGAACAGAGCCCTCAGAAATAACGCCACATATCTAAAACTATCTGATCTTTGACAAACCTGAGAAAAACAAGCAATGGGGAAAGGATTCCCTATTTAATAAATGGTCCTGGGAAAACTGGCTAGCCATATGTAGAAAGCTGAAACTGGATCCCTTCCTTACACCTTATACAAAAATTAATTCAAGATGGATTAAAGACTTAAACATTAGACCTAAAACCATAAAAACCCTAGAAGAAAACCTAGGCAATACCATTCAGGACATAGGCATGGGCAAGTACTTCATGTCTAAAACACCAAAAGCAATGGAAGCCAGAATTGACAAATGGGATCTAATTAAACTAAAGAGCTTCTGCACAGCAGAAGAAACTACCATCAGAGTGAACAGGCAACCCACAACATGGGAGAAAATTTTCACAACCTACTCATCTGACAAAGGGCTAATATCCAGAATCTACAATGAACTCAAAGAAATTTACAAGAAAAAAACAAACAACCCCATCAAAAAGTGGGTGAAGGACATGAACAGACACTTCTCAAAAGAAGACATTTTTGCAGCCAAAAAACACATGAAAAAATGCTCACCATCACTGGCCATCAGAGAAATGCAAATCAAAACCACAATGAGATAGCATCTCACACCAGTTAGAATGGCAATCATTCAAAAGTCAGGAAACTACAGGTGCTGGAGAGGATGTGGAGAAATAGGAACACTTTTACACTGTTGGTGGGACTGTAAACTAGTTCAACCATTGTGGAAGTCAGTGTGGCGATTCCTCAGGGATCTAGAACTAGAAATACTATTTGACCCAGTCATCCCATTACTGAGTATATACCCAAAGGACTATAAATCATGCTGCTATAAAGACACATGCACACGTATGTTTATTGCGGCATTATTCACAATAGCAAAGACTTGGAACCAAGTCAAATGTCCAACAATGATAGACTGGATTAAGAAAATGTGGCACATATACTCCTTGGAATACTATGCAGCCATAAAAAATGATGAGTTCATGTCCTTTGTAGGGACATGGATGAAATTGGAAATCATCATTCTCAGTAAACTATTGCAAGAACAAAAAACCAAACACAGCATATTCTCACTCATAGGTGGTAATTGAATAATGAGAACACATGGACACAAGAAGGGGAACATCACACTCTGGGGACTGTTGTGGGGTTGGTTGGGGGGAGGGATAGCTTTAGCAGATATACCTAATGCTAAATGACGAGGTAGTGGGTGCAGCACACCAGCATGGCATATTTATACATATGTAACTAACCTGCACATTGTGCACATGTACCCTAAACTTAAAGTATAATAATAATAAGAAAGTAATGGCTTTATGCATTTTAAGCAAATGGAAATGTATAGATTTCTTTCATTACACATTTTTCACACTCTCCACATATTTTCATATATTATACTTCAGATCAAGGCAGAATTAGCTTTGGGTATAGAAGACTTAATGAAACAATTTAAAAATTGTATTTCCTCACTGTGTTTAGCATTTTGCCATGACATGGCGTATGTGTTTATAACCTTATTTCTTCCAAGACAGTAGGGAATAATCATTTTCATTGTATAAAGCACTGTGAATTTACAGTGGCTACTCTCTCCAAGTTATTATATATTTAACTGAAAAATTTTGAATGTGTGCAGAGTTCTTCACATTTTATGTTAAGGATATGTGTTCCTTTCTAGTATTCAAGGAGTAGTTGGGTGAAATAAAAGACTAGTATCTGTTTTTGCTACTTGTGGGCCATAGGAAAAAATTACTAAAAGTTCATATATTATATATTAAGATTGTTTATAGAATATTTATTTTAGCTTATCAAAATGTATTGGTTATAAGTTACTTGTATCTACAGGCACACAATTATTTTAAGAGAAAGCTGTTCTTAACATATTTTATTTATTTTCATCTTCTATTTATATGCCCATTTTAACGTTGTGTGAAATGAGAGTCAGCTGGTGAAGATCATTTTGATGTGATTTTGACATAAAAGCATTCTTTGCCCTAAAATAAATGCTATGATGATAATGTTAATGAGTTTGGAGTCCGATAGAATTGCAAGGAAAATATTAGAAAGAAAAAAACAACAGTATTATTACTATTAATTTTGTAATTACCTTCCAGTTATTTCACCATTAAAACATTTTTTACTTTCTTTTAAAAATTAGCATGTCTATTTGAAATGGAAATTTCAAAATCAAGTCCTATAATGCTATTGTGTTGTAATAGTAGAGGTAAGCAGAGCTTTAAAAGATGCATCTGTATTAAAAGAAAAAATATTTCTGTTGTTCTCCAAAGTTACTCTTAGAAGAAAGGAAGCATTGAGAGTAAGGAACAAATGCCAATGATGACAACCCAAACACTATGTGAGTAACATGCAAACTTTTATTTCTGGATGACAGTCACTCAGTGTTACAGGTAGCTGCAGCATTGGATACTTCCTTAGAATCATTTAAAGATACTATTTAAAGGTTATGTTGCAGAGGTAGAGAAAAACAGGGAGAATGGAAGAAAGCAGATTAGACTGAAACTGTGTGTTTTCTCAGAGGCCATCATGGTGTTAGTTAGAAGCTAAACCACCTACAAAATAAGACCAAAGAGGAATGACATCACAATGTTGTGGCAGGAGGGAGTCTTCATGGGTGTGAGCAAGAATCAAGTAGTGTCAGTTTTCATTTCCAAGGCCTGTAGAGCTAATTAGAGAGAGAAATTTGTGATTATGTTACATGTACCATTCCACATTTTCATGCATTTTTCTGGGTCATTTACTTGAGGAGAGATTTCAGCAAAAACCAATGTATCTTGTTTCATTTAGGATGCCAAGATAGTGTGACATTTTTGCAGTTGAGATAGTATTGGTAGACTAACAAATTCAATACTTGATAAATATCATTTTCTCAGCCAAACAGATTTAATAATTGAATATCGCAAAGTCCATTTCCAATAAAAAAGAGACAAAAAAGTACAACCATAGTGGATAGTGAGTATTCAAGTTTTAAGAAATGACAATCACTTAAGCCAATTAGAATTTCACAATATTCAATTAAAAAAAAGGACTGTCAAATAGATATACATTTCAGCAGAACAAACAATAGCATATTTTAAAATACAAGGTTTACATTCAAAACATTAAGTATCAATGATACTGTAATAATGTTATTCAAAACAATCTTTTTCAGATGACTGGAATACAACACATATATAAATTAAATATATTTAGATCTCATAGGATATATGGAAGAAAATAGAATTGGAAATAATCTAATATAGTTTTCTTATTGTCTCAATGAATAAACTGAAGCCAAAATTTGATAAGCATGTTTTATAAAGCCTCATTCAAATTATTCAGAAAAAAAAATGAGTAAGAGTGTAATGGATGAAGATTTATACAATTAGAATCATTTTTTTTCTCAGAGTTATTAGTCAAGAAATTATGGCTATCATTGCATAATGAGTTACTATTATTAAATAATATTAAATAATTAAATAATTAATTTTGGCAGAGTCAGAACAAAGATTCTAGACATCTGACCTTAACACTTTGCTCTTTATATATTATGCTGCAGCAATTATTTAATGTTTCTTTCAACATGAGAAAATTGAATATGTTATAGCTCTCAATTTAATACTTACATGTCAAGATAAACATAACATTTTGTGAGTATATTGAAGATAACCTATTTATCACTATATATCTGTATATGTTTACTATAAAAACAGACGTGTGTGTACAAACATTGTAAAAACTATGGATCTCTTTATTATAACAACTATTCTTTAAGGTTGCTAGTTTTGATATGTAAACAAATATTTATTCAATAGGTAAATGTCACTGTGTGACTTTTTCTATTCATTTCACAAATCACCTTATGATATTTTTCTATTAGGAAGATAATATTTGAATGTGATGAATGTTAGTGCAACTAGGTGGATTAATAACTCATTATGCAATGATAGATATAATTTCTTGACTAATATTCTTGCTGAGGAAAAATGATTCTAATTGTATAAATCTTCATCCATTATACTCTTACTCATTTTTTTCTGGTTAATTTGAATGAGGATTTATAAAACATGCTTATCAAATTTTGTTAGAATATATTTCAAGATGATAGTCCTTTTTAAATATCAGAAACAGAATCGAGAAATACCATAGAGAAAGAATAAAATAGATTTGATAAGATAAATTTTAACATACATAAAAGTAAGACTTTCTGCCTAGAAAAAATCAAACTGAATAAATATCAGTACCAGAATTTATACAGGAATTCTCATATTTTAGTCCATCATTAATTATATCAATATGGGGCATGTAAGTGACTTACTATAATGTCAGGGCAATTTCCAGGTTTTTGCTAAGTAATTAATTCACAGATCAGTAGAAGGAAGTTGCAGAACACTAAGTGATATGTACCAATAAAAATAGTTTTTCAACATTGGCATTGAAATTCAATTTAATATTATATAATAAAATATTATTCACAATTTCCATCAGCTTTTTGCTGATCAATATCTTTGTACCATCTTATATATAAATTTCCAAGCAATGGATTTTGTCTTCTCCTATCCACCATCTTTAAGAGATGTAGAGAAAACTAGTTAATCACAAAAACTTTCTCCAGCTTCCCCCAAATCCCTTATCAGTTGTTTGCCTTCCTGAGAGAGGAAACAGAGATGACCTTCAATTACAACTTTCCTTTCACATTTGAGAAGTGGGTATCATCTGTCATTTACAGAGATTTTATAAAGTAGCACACATGCAAAGCCCTCATGCCATATAACGATTTATAAAGACAAAGAGTCTCTCACATTTTTGTTCCATTACTATACAAATTACCTAATTGCAAGTGGAGAGCCCAAGGCTTATTTTGCTGTATTCTCCCTGTAATGTAAATTGAGATAAATTATACTTATCCTGGTTCTTTTTTAATGAACTCACTGTATTATGGTTAGCTCCTGGCACCAAATTAAAAAAAAAAAACCTCAATAAATAAAAGAACACATAGAAGTGATTATGATGAGATAGAGCATATGTCAAAATAATGTGACCTTGAAAAAAACATATAGGAAAGTTTTATCTAAGTTTGTTATGGTAGCTGCCTTCAAATGTGTTTTTGTACAACTTTAAAAGTGGAATTAGTAAAATTAGGATATATAGTTATAAAGTTAGGTGGAATAAAACAGAGCTCCCTAAAATGGAAGGCTGTGTAACAGTGTATGTTGTAGACGACATAGGTATTGTCAGGATTTGAAAAATTCTGCATAAAAAAGGGTTTATGCAGACATTTGATAGTCATTTGTAAGATGATGATTCTTTAGGAATTAATGTGCCTTAGCTTTAAGCCTAAAGTTTCTACAATTCTACAAGTGGCTTCCTTATTACTGCTTTTCACTCAGCATCATAGGGTGCTGAATGGGATGGATAGATATTTATTTAATGCAAAATTATAATTCTTATATCTATTAAGAGATAAATATAGCCATCTGTGAAAGCAGAAATGATTATAACATGAAAATTGTAAATGAAAAATCCTACGCTGTTCTGTTCCAGTTACAAATGAGTCCCTCTTATATGTTTCTTATTATCACGTGTATGTATTGATATTAGTGTGTGCATACATGCAGCAGGGAAGGGGTGCGCAAAATATTGCCTTATGAGTCGTAAAACCACCACTCTGGAATCCATTCTATACGTGAAGATTTTTTTCTTTATGATATTCTGCCTTTTCATTTAAACTCAACCCATGTGTTCATTCTATACTTTAGAAATTCCCTCTTTGAAATGTTCAATAATTTCTTGTCCTACCTATTCTTACACTGTCCATATATTTGTAGGCTTTTATCGTCTTACCTTTTAGTTATCTTTTTGGACAGTTATAGAGACTTCTTTTATTAAAATCTTTTTTTCACAAGTCAAAACCTATATTCTCCTAATCATTTCGGTTATACTTCTCTAAACTTCTTTTACAACTTTCTTATGTACAGTGTTTTAGTTCTGAGATGTTTAAAACCAAGCCTTTGGTAATAGTATAAAAGAGTGTGTCACAAATGTGGTTTTGAGACTCTCTACATTGAGAAATGAAGAGTTCCAGTTTTTCTCTGCTATACTGCTATATGGAGCATGAAAGACCTCAGTTTCTTAAAAAAAACCCTTGTTTAGAGGGAGAATTTACAATAAGGTATATATTGATATATCTATAGATTATATCTATATATATAATATATCTTACTGTATAAAGTCATTTTGCTATAGATAGATAGATTAGATAGAGAGAGTGAAATGACTTTCTGGCACTCAGCTGGTTATTTTGAAAAGGTATCTGGGTTTTCTTTAGGCTCATCCGCATGATTACTTGTAAAATTCTGCAGTAAATTCCTATAATTTTATATTACCTTAGCATCTATTTTCAATACTTTATTTTTAATTGGAACATAATAATTTTACATATTTATGGAGTACGTCGTGGTGTTTTGGTACATATATAGTGATCAGATCAGGATAATCAGCGTATCTATTATCTCAAACATTTATAATTCATGTTGGGAACATTCAATGTACTTCTTCTGGATATTTGAAACTATGTATTATTGGTAACTGTAGTCATCTTACAGTGTTATAGAACACTAGAATTTATTCCTCCTGTCTAGTTGTAATTTTGTATCCTTTAGCAAATCTCTCCCTTTCTTCTTCTTCCTACCCTTTTTAGCCTCTGGTAGCCTCTGCTCTAGTTTTTATTTCCATGAGATAAGCTTATTTTTAATCTGGCTTCAAAATTCAGTGAGAACGTGTTGTGTTCAACTTTCTGTTCCTAGCTTATTTTACTTAGTATAATGTTAACCAGTTCCATCTATCTAGGAATGATAAGATTTCATCCTTTTCATAGCTGAATAGCAGTTCATTGTTTGTGTGTGTGTGTCTGTGTGTGTGTGTGTGTGTGTGTATGTATATGCATGCCAGATTTTCTCTATTCATTTATCTGTTATTGGACACTTAGGTTGATTTATATCTTAGCTATTGTGAATAATTCTGCAATAAACATGGGGGTGCAGATGTCTCTTCAATATACTGATTTCTTTTCATTTGGATAAATGCCCAAGAGTAACACTGCTGGGTCATATGTTAGTTCTATTTGCAGTTTTCTGAGGGAACTCATATTCATAGTGGCTGTACTAGTTTACATTTCCACCAGCAGTGTAAAAGAGTTACTTTTTCTCTGCATCCTCAGAAGCATTTATTTTTTTTTTGTCTTATCTATACCAGTCATCTTAATTTGTGTGAGAAGATATGTCATTGTGGTCTTGATTTGCATTCCATGATAATTAGTGAGGTTAAGCATTTTAAAATTCATTTATTGGTCATTTGTATGTCCTTCTTTGAGAAATGTCTGTTCGGATCATTTGCCCATTTTTTAAATTCGATTTTTTTTTTTTTTTTTTTTTTTGCTGTTGAGATGTTTGAGTTTTTATATATTCTGGATGCTAATCCCCTATAGCATGAACAGTTTGTAAATATTTTCTGCCATTCTGGTGGTTGCTTTTCACTCTGTTAATTGTTTCTTTTGCTGTGCAAAAGCTTTTTAGTTTGATATAATCCCAATTGTTTATTTTTGCTTTTGTTGACTATGCTTTTGGGGTCTTATTTATAAAATCTTTCCCCAAGTGAGTGTCCTGAAGCATTTTCCCTATGTTTTCTTTTAGTTGTTTTATAGTTTCAGGTCTTACATTAGGTCATTAATTCATTTTGAGTTTTTTTTTTCTTTTCTATGAGGTGAGAGATGGGTATTTAGTTTTATTCTTCTGTGTATGGATATTCAGTTTTCCCAGCAAAATTTATTGAAGAGACTGTCATTCCCCTGATGAATGCTCTTAGCACCTTTGTCAAAAATGCATTGCCTGTAGAGGCATGAATTAATTTCTGAGTTCTTTATTCTGTTCCATTGGTCTATGTGTCTATTTTCATGCCAGTACCATGCTGTTTTGGTTACTATCGCTTTGTAATATCTTTTGAAATGTGGTAGTGTGATGCCTCCAGCTTTGTTTTTTTTTAAATTAGGATTGCTTTCCCCATATGGGTTTTTTCATGGTTCCTACAAATTTCAGAATATTTCTTCAATTTCATTAAAGAATGTTATTGGTATGTTGATAGAAATTGCATTGAATCCATAGATTTCTTTGGGCAGTATGCTCATCTTCTTAATTCTTCTGATTCATGAGCATGGGGTATGTTTCCATTTGTTTGTATCCCCTTCAATTGTTATTTTGCAGTTTTTCTTGTAGGGGTCTTTCATCTATTTGGTTAAATTTATTCCTAACTATTTTTCATAGGTATTGTAAATGAAGTGGACTTCGTGGTTTCTTTATCCACCAATAAATTAAAAGAAAACTTACAGGAAATGGACACAGCCCTGGATAAATGCAACTACTAAGATTCAACCAAGAAGTAAAAATCCTGAACACACCAATACAACTAATGGATTTAATCAGTAATAAAAAGTCTCTCACCAAGAAACAGCCCAGGACTAAATAGTTTCACTGCTGAATTCTACTTAACTCTTAAAGAAGAATTAATATTACCTCTTCTAAAACTATTCCAAAACACTGAAGCAGAGAGAATTCTTTCTAACTCATTCTGTGAGGTCAACATAACCATGATTCCAAAACTAGATAAAAACACCACCAAAAAAGGAAAACTACAGGCCAACATCCCTAATAAACATACAGGCAAAAATTCTCAACAAAATATTACCAAACTGAATCCAACAGCATATCAAAAAGATAATACATCATGATTAAGTGGGATTTATCCCAGGGTTGTAAGGATGTTTCAACATATGCAAATAAGTAAATGTGATACATCACATCAACCAGATGAAGGACAAAAAGTATATGATCATTTCAACAGGTGTGGAAAAACAATTGATACAATTTAACAATGATATATGATAAAAGCTCTAAATAAATTGGGTTTAGAAGGAAAGTAGCTCAGGGCTATGAATGTCACATATGACAAACCCACAGCTAACCTAGCAAACGGGGGAAAGCTGAAAGCTTTTCCTATGAGAACTGGAAGAAGATAAGAATCCCCACTGTCACCACTTCTATTCAACATAGTACTGGCAGTCCTACCCAGAGAAAGAAATAAAGGGAATCCGTGCTAGAAAGAAAGAAGTCAATTTATCTCTGTTTGCAGATGATATAAACTTGTGTATACAAAAACCTAAAGACTCTATCAAAAACTCTTAGACCTGACAAGAAATTCAGCAAAGTTTAAGGATACAAAATCAACATATGATAATTGGTACTATTTCTATACATGAACAACAAGCTAGCTGAAAAAGAATTATTTTTTCTGAATCTGGTTCCTGCTGTTGCATTTCTTGTTAAAGTATTATTCATGCTCTCTTATTCTACTTAGATGATCATTGTTTACATTTATTCAATTTATCATTTCCTTTCTGTTATTTAGCACTGCTTATTTAAAATTATAAATTTGAGTCAACTATTTCACAAGATAATATTCAACTATATTTATTACAGTGCAGAACATGGAAAGGTTCAGAATTTTAAAAGGCATATGTCTTAAAGGAGCAAAATTTAATTATACTCTGAATATTAAGTACATTTGAGAGATGTATCTTCAAGTTTAAAGTTCTTTTTCTGGATTCTACATCTGGAAGAAATAAAATGCAGAGTTTTAAAAAATTTCTTTTAAACTAGCTTCTGAATATCATCTCTGATTTTTATAATTTTCGTCAGGTCACATATCCTAGAGCCATTATTTCATTTAATTAGGGGCTTATTCTTCTCTGCCCCATGAGGAAATAATTTCTACACTTTGATTCTAGATCTCAGACAGACAGCAGTGTTTTTGCTTGAGACTTGATCTGTTCTAACATTGACAGTTCTCACTTTTTTGACATTGTCATCTTCTAATTTCTCAGTCAAAGGAAAAAGTTCCCAAACCTTGAATTCGTTGGAGAACTGAAAAGTTAGTTCTTCTTTAAGTAATACCTTAGAAATATAATAATTTGAATTTGTATAGCTGTCCCTTAGGATTATGACTTGTCAATCATTTTTTGCTGTGCAACTCTAAAGCACATAATTTCTGCAGTGATAGGATTAATTTGCAATATCCTGAAAAATGAAGGTAGTCAGCATGTGCATAAATCACCTTGTTAGTATTTCAAATGATCAAATTTATTTTACACAGTGATGTTAATCATTAGCTGAAAAAGAGCTTTTACATTTTTTTTCTAACATAGAGGGAATGAGACCACCAGTTTAAATAATTTGAGGCCTTCAAGACCAATGAAACACAGTTGTTATTTACGCAATTCAAGTTACCTGGGTGAAGATACAAGGTGTTTTGAAAAGGTAGACCCAGATTCATTTTTGAAATTATAGTCTATACCTTGTAATTCACAATACTTTACAGATCATGTGTTAAATACACACACACACAAACACACATACACGCACAAGGTTAAACAAAATTCAAAGCAGGCAGTGCATCAGGTAATTAGACTAATATGTTGTTTGGAATTAAAGTCAAATTCTTTTAATTGGCACATCTCAGTGGGAATAGAAATACAAACTTGTAATTAAGTGATTGGCCTGATTATCAAAGCCTCATTGGCATGGATTGTGCACAGAGAGTCACTTTTTTTTTTTTTGGCTTGAGTTTCTCAAACTACTATAGCATGCTATGAGAGATGCATAGAATAGCATAGATAGCCATAATAGGAATTTGATGTTGACTAAAATGAATAAATGTATATAGAGTGAATAATCTAGGCCATTCAAAGCTATTTGACAACCGTATGTAAGTAAGAAATAGTGTTTTTAGAAAAAAAGTCTGTTATTTTAGTAAAATAATCTATTTCCTATTTATAATCAGTTAAATATACTAAACTAAAGCCTCTGCCAATTAAGCAGGCTTGCGTAATGTTTGTCATTATTAGACACACAACAGTTTCAGCTCAGATTTATACTCTGGAGTCCAGCCACATTACTCTGGGGTGTGTGAATGGAAGTCAGTAAACAAGAATGAGAATTTTTCTTCCTTTTAATCAAATGTAAAATCCTACGTATGTGGGGGGGGGGGGTGTTCAAAATTTAAAGGGCTGTAAACAATCAACAAATCACTATAGATGTTTTTAAGGAATGATTTATGTAGTTATTTAACAACATGTAATTGCCATTTTCTTTCCCTCACCTCTTTCTCTGTGTCCAGATAGTGGAAACTGGGACTTCAACAATAAACAAACTGCGGCATAACAACCACAAACAATTCAATGAAGGTCATTCAAGCACTCTTAAGTAGGAATTTGTAGTAAAACAGAAAGAGTCAGAGCAGAAGCTTAAAATGAATTGTTAATAACAATGGGTTCTCATAAAATCTTAAAGAATATGCTGAAATATTTAAGATAATAAACTATGTCAAATACTTTAGAAAACTTATTTGCATTTAATTCCATTGCTATTTAGGAATTATTTTTAACTGTTCCTAATATGTTGTTTGGATATCCTATTTTATGTATATATATATATATATATATATATATAGAGAGAGAGAGAGAGAGAGAGAGAGAGAGAGAGAGCTGAGCCTGAGTGTTACGTGAGTGCGCACACTTGTGTGTATATTAACTCTAACATTTCCTACCAATAAGAAAAGCTCTATGACCTATAAAGAAATTAGATTAAATGAAAACACGAAGGACAAAAATAAAATATGTGAGTTACAAGTTGTTTTCCTTGTCAAATATACTGAATGGTAGTGTTATCATTTTCAAGAAATCACTAAGGGCTTAATTTTAAAAAATAGAAAACAAAGGGAAATAAAGTCTTACATATTGTATTTATACTGCATGGACAGGTGTCCTGGGTGAGATAAATGCTAGCTCACCCACAATCATTCACATTAGCTTTCCTTGCAGTCAAAGACGATTTATACTGTGAAGATTGTTGTTATTTTATAATGAAAATTCAGCCCAATAATGCTTTGTGTAATATGCTCTATTACATGAACATAATGTTAATAGACGTGCTAGTAAAATATAGAGATGAACTTGGACTGTAGTTTGGGTTAAAAGGTCACATCAGTAAAAGATAATCATTTTCCATTAAGGTTGAAATCACTATGCACTTCACTGAACTATATGGAAGGACACAGTGTCTTATTAGAAGATTAGTTTATATTATGGGCTGACAGGAATGGCTTGTAAAGTGTGATTCATGCTCTGAAATAGCACATTAAAGATCATTGTTCCTCTGTCTTGTCTATAATAGCGAAAATAACTAAGAAACTACATCCTAGACTTTACAGGTCTATAAACATATAAGGGAATCAGGTCACCCTATGCCAACACTGTCACTCCTCATTCATATGTACTGTGGTTGTTATTATCCAGGTCCACACTTGCATAGAAGTGGAAATAGAATCTGTTGTTCAGTTTGCAGGAATTCTTTCTCATTTCCAGAATGAACAAGATATGGAACACCAAATGATAAGAAGAGAAACTCAATTAAATATGCTCTGTGAATTTATAATTTATCTGTTGATATATTCACAGTAAGAATAATTTTGCCCAATTCATGTAGTTACTCATGGCCAAATAATTCAAAGATATTAAAATATTTAGAGAACTCTCAAAATAGTTTAAAATAATAGAAACAACCCATGATCCTTGGTATCAGGAAAGGTATAGTACAGAAGGATATCTAGTGGTGTATTATTTATTATTATAATTTTCATACTTAACCATTTTATAGATTATATAAAATTCTGGAGGAGAAAATTTGCAGCAATCCTCTTCAATATAAAAAAATTCCATGTTGTAAGAAAGATATAATAATTATGAATTATCAGCTCTATATTTATAAAACTACATCGTTACTATGGAGTTACAGTATTAGTCAATGGGTGGAAATTTAGTAACCTTTTTAAAGTATATTGTTATCTAACAGGATACATCTTAACTGATAGAGGTAATATTGTTTGCTAGATTATTTGCTATTATTTGTTACTTAGACAAAATCTTCAATTGATGGTTTCCTATTATATAAAATACAATATCCCTTTACACTTCATTAATTGTATTTTTTAAAAAAACTTATTCTTCAAACCCCAGTTTAGATGCCATTTTATTAATAAAAATTTCACTGACCCATTCTCAGAAACAATTACTCTGTTTCTTGTGCATTTCCCACTATAATTCAATTATCTATTTACATATAGCCTCTCTAGCTCTTGAATTTATGAAAATTATTCATCCAGCACAATGATACTACAATAATGTGTGTGTATGTGTATTTAATACACAAAGATTCTATTGGTTATATGGAACAAGACTTTTTAAAAGAAAACTGTAATACAGCCAAGTCCCAGAGAAGAGGGTACATTGGGAAAAATTAATCACCAGCATCAGAGATAAAAGTTGAGGTAAATTGCTGCATTTTTAGCTTTTTATAAGGAGCTGCAGATATTGACATGTGCCTTACTGGATCTATTCAAATTTGACTTTTTCCTCGAAAAGATATAAGAAATACAAATTGCTTAAAAAATTAGAATAGATTAAATGATTGTAATTGTCTATTGAATAACCATACATTAATTGATACAAAAAGAAACTTCAACTAAGAAACTCTGCCAGATGTGTGACCTTTCGCCATCTGGAAAATGTATAATTCAATTGTCAATATATTGAACTCAGTTAAACACATATCAAAAGCCTGGACTAATTATAGTTTCTTGATTTCATACCAAAGAAATAAAACAATGAGTTTGCATATTCTTCTAGAAAAATAGAGTTGGTAAGGAGTCCAGCTCCTAGTTAAAACCTGTGTGTTATTTTTCAGGCCTGGCCATAGGTGATTTCAAAAGCTTTACCTGGCAGATCACACAGGGAAGCTACCCTGTCTACACAGAGCGGGTGCACAGCTGGTTCCTGGCAGCCTCTGAGAAGAGTTGCCCTCAAGATCCCAGCCCTCCCTTGCCCGTTCTGTTCTTCCCATATTTACATTCCTTGCCTGGTAAGAACTTGCACTCCTAGGTCTCTTTTTCCGAGGCCTTGGGCAGGGGTCTTCAGATGCCTTTGTCTAGGCCTCATCATGGAGGGAGACGGGAGAAACATCAAGACACTTTTCTCTACTCTGACTTAACCTTCAACCTCACCCGCTTTCCCACATCCTGCCTCCCAGATTCCATAATTACTGTCACAGTCTTTTGTTCTGGGCTTCCTCAAAAATGAGATGGCCCCCAAGTCTGTGCTGTTTCATGAGGGAAAATGAAACAGGGTGAGTCAGTGTTTTCTCTGGTTTTAGACTCTTGCTTATACCATAGCAGGAGGTGACTAAAGGCTGAACTCTTTTATTTCTGTCTTGCTGCTTTAAATGGCTACTCTGACAGCTGATGCCTGCTCAGCTGAGTTATCCAGGTGGGATAACTCTTAAAACAAACAAAAATCGGCCGGGCGCGGTGGCTCACGCCTGTAATCCCAACACTTTGGGAGGCCGAGGCGGGCGGATCACGAGGTCAGGAGATCGAGACCATCCTGGCTAAAACGGGGAAACCCCGTCTCTACTAAAAATACAAAAAATTAGCCGGGCGTAGTGGCGGGCGCCTGTAGTCCCAGCTACTTGGGAGGCTGAGGCAGGAGAATGGCGTGAACCCGGGAGGCGGAGCTTGCAGTGAGCCGAGATCCCGCCACTGCACTCCAGCCTGGGCGACAGAGCGAGACTCCGTCTCAAAAAAAAAAAAAAAAAAATCCACAAGATGTAACAATATGCAGAAATTAATTAACATTTTGAAATGTCATGAAAAGATAGTGGTAACTGGCAGGGATATTTAAGTCAGAGGTTGATATATCATCCCCTCTTTATATGTAGGCCAAGGGCCGCATAGTAAGTATTCTCCAAGAGTAATGGCATTTTTTGTTCTTTCTTTAACCTTTAGCTATATTGAAATGAATTCTTTAGAACGCAGGATGTTCCCTCTTGACTTGATGAGGGATGCCTACCTTGCACTTGATGAAAAGGAAAACTACAAGGAGGCTAACATGGTAACAGGGCCTAGGATATGGGTATTCCTATCCATATTTGCAAAGCTTCTTAATTAGGCATTTACCTAAAGGTAAGTTAATTGATTATTAAAAAGTTTCTGCACTATATTTTGCAAATAACTCAAAGTAACTTTAAAAAGTCTTGAGGTTCTAAAATTATGAATAATTATATGGCAATATTCCAATATATATTTCATATATATTTTATGTATATAATAATATAATAGTATAATTATATATTATATAATATAATATTCCTATATATTAAGCATAGTCCAATATGCTTAACGTATATTTTTTGAAACATATATTTTATTCTTTTTATTTCAGTCTACATTTTTGTAGGATTGTGAGTTGTGGAAGTTTGTAGTTAAATTTTGGTCAATTGGAGGCAAGTCACAAGACGACAAAGACATACCAGAGAAAATGGGGCAATAATTATTGTTTGTAGGGGAATTTGTTTTTCTATTTAAAGGCTCGACTATAGCTTTTTTACTGATTTTACTCATACGTTAAGTGACATGAAATATATATAATATATAATAAATATAATATATAAGTATATATTTATAACAATAGATAATAAATATAATAGTAAATATAAAAATAATAAATAATATATTAAAATATATGAATATACATAAAAGTTCTGTTGCATCTCCATTATCTTCCCAAAGGATGAAGTGAACTTCCTAGCATGGCATTTGTAGCCCTTGAGCAGCTCCAAACTTCTTTCCATTCTCTTCTGCAAAACTGCCATAGATCAGTTTTTGCTAAAAGAATAAAGCGGTTATAAAATGAGGTTAAGTACTTTATTGTTACTAAGTCTTATTTTCATATCTCATTCATTCTTTTAGTAATCAATATCTGCTAATAATTTCTCCGACCTAGCTAAATACTATGTTGTAAATTACTAGGATGTCATTTTGATTTATGCAGTCATTCATTCAATTATTAATTCAGCAAGCATTTCTTAAACATGATTATTTACTAGGGACTCTGCCAGACATTGGATATATAAGGTAAACTAGAAAACTGATGTGATCCTTGTCTTTATGGGCAGGAGCATGTGTATTTGACCATGTATTTTCCCTACTTCTACCTACTACAGTTCCCTGCTCAAATATTTTATCTTCTATGAAACCATAACACTTTGCCAAATTCAGTGTGGTTCAGTTCTCTGTGTCTCATAGACTTGCTTCTGTCCTCTATTAAAACAAATCAAAACTCTATTTGTATCTGGTGTGGACATATACAATTGATATTTGTTTTTAAATGTTACTAGTAATAAAGCAATATAATGAGTATGGATACCAAATTAGTACCTATAATTTTTTTCTAATTTGATGCACAAAAAACAGTATAAAATAGGTTACATTTCAGTATTCATCTTGACACTTATATTTGATATTTAAGAACCTCTAATTATAAAAAGTTGTCTTTTTCCTATTTATTTAGACCCTAGATCTAGTGCTCAAAATAGATACATTTGCTTAGCCCTCTAGTTTTCTTTTTTCTCCCTTTCTCTTTTCCTTTTCTTTTTCTTTCTTTTTTTTTTTTCTGAGATAGAGTCTTACTTTGTCACCTAGGCTGGAGTGCAGTGGTGTGATCTCGGCTGACCGCAACCTCTGCATCCTAGGTCCAAGTGATTCTCTTGACTCAGCCTTCTGAGTAACTGGGATTATAGGCGTGTGCCACCATGCCCAGCTAATTTTTGTATTTTTAGTAGAGACTGGGTTTCACTATGTTGGACAGGCTGGTCTTCAACTCCTGACCTCAAGTGATCTGCCCACCTTGGCCTCCCAAAGTGCTGGAATTACAGGCATTAGCCACCGCGCCTAGCCTCACTTTCTTTTTTCTGTTTAAGTGTCCAGCCAATGAGTATCAGACAGCTATCTGCACACCTTTAATTTTCTCAGTCATGTCTGAATGTAGTGGATACTATGAAGGTAACTGAGTAGGACTGACATTTTGCCTTTCTCTCTGAGAATTTTGAAGGACAAATGTCAGTAGTCATTGCTTAGTTTTACTAGGGGTAATCAGGACCAAATAAATTATTAAGTCTGTGGTACATACTTAGGTATTGCTTCATATGACTAGCACAGATTCAGGAAACTGCATATTTATATTTAAAAGTTTTATTGTACATATAAGAATGCACAAAATTTTCATGAGCAAGGGATAAACACAATTATATCACACATGTTCTACAGGGATCAGTCTCTCTTTTTTATCCTTTATTGTTTTGTTCTTCTCCTTCCAACCAATATCTTTTCCAGTCTCCTTTAGTTAACCAGTTAAATCAAGTTGCCAACTTAGAAAACATCCTTTCTTATTCTTCTTTAGAGCCACCAAATACACACCCTCAGAATCTTGCTTTTCTCACTCAATAATACTTTGTGAAATATTTTCAAGTCAGCTGGGATATTTCTCAAAAATTTTTGTTAATGGTTGGTGACATTTTATGGCAAGAATATAATGTAACAATGTTAAACAATTACTCTACTAACAGGCATTCCATATTTCTTTTGCTGTTTGTTTTTCATCACTGGAAGCAATACTATAATAAGCAACTTTTTAATGTACAACCTTACCTACTCATAGCTTTACTTTAGCAGATAGGTTTACTGCATTGAGAAATACATATATGCCTATATACACACATATACACACAGTAATATATGTGCATTTGTGTGTACATATATATATTGCCCCATATTGCTTTCATAAAAGGTCAAAACAGTTCACATTTCCATCAGCAGTGCATGTGAACGATTTTCCAAAAACATTTCTTTAAGGAATATGTATACCAAGTTACCACATAGACAAAATTTGAAAATTTCTTTATAACAGCATTATTTTAAATGTAGTGATTATCTTCAGTGTTGCAGATGCTTAGGTGTAACACTTAACAAGACCGTCATGATCCCTGCATTTATAGAGCTTACAGGTAAATGGCGGAGAGCAACAATTAACGGTATGATACACTAATGATAAGGAAAGTACAGTATCATTAGAAAAAAATGCAGGAGTGATGTCTACCATGGACTTCAGAATCAAGGAACATATGAAAGTGACATGTATCTCAAGGTCTGAAAGATGAGTAATAATTACAGAGGCAAGGTATGGGGACAAGTATCCCAAGGAGAGAAATAGGGACAGTCTTAATTTATGTGTTGCTATAAACTAATAACTCAGGCTGGGTAATTTATAAAGAAAAGCGGTTTATTTGACTTACAGTTTTGCAGGCTGTACAAGAAGCCTGACACCAACATCTGCTTCTGGCAGGGGCCTCAGGAACATTACGGTCATGGTGGAAGGTGTAGCCCACTATATGGGGAGCCCACTATATGGTGATGGCAGAAAGCAAGCTAGAAAGGTCCAGGTACCAGACTCTTTTCAATAACCAGTTCCCCTGGGAACTAAAAGTGAAAACTTACTAACTCCACTGGGAATGTCATTAAGCCGTTCATGAGAGATCCATCTCCATGATACAAGCACTCCCACCAAGCCCTGCACCCAACATTGGGGATCAGATTTCAACATGAGACTGGGCTGTGTAAAACAAACATATCCAAACCATAACAGTAACCTAGAGAACCGAAAAAGCAAAACGGAGCAACTTCAGGTATCATAAAAAAGCTCAGTGCAGAATCTTAGAATTAGAAAGTGGAAAGTGGAAACAAATGAGACTGGATAGCAAGAAAAGCATGAGATAATGAAGAATATTGCAGTATTAGACATGCTAAGAACATCCTGTGACAGCAAAAGGCTAATAATGGTTTAATATATGTATTAATATAATTGAATATTGTATTTTTAAGCAGTCACCCTATTAGACCCTGATCTTTGTACTGGACATTTGGAATTCATCTGATATTTAATGCTCAATATTTAAATTTTATATTTTTCCTGGGCTCCTATTTGGGTGTCAGGAATACTCTTCTGTTTAGATCCAAGCTATTTAAAATTTTGGTAATACATCTTTCCTAGTTTTGATTGATCTTTGTAAAATGTTCGTAATATCATTAAATATTTTATGTAATTCCATGTTATTTTATTTATTATTTGTATCATTATGTCATTGGAAAAAAATTGCACCAGTGTTAGAGGTCATAAAGATACCAATTAATTCAAACTCATGGAGTTTCTACTACAAAGCTGTCTCCTTTCCATCAAAGGACCAAGAAGAAATTCAGTGGGAAGACATATATTTAGGACCTTCTACTGTGATGCAAGTTAAAGGTTAGCATAATAGTACTTTTTGAAGTCAGGTAGCGTGATGCCTTCAGCTTTGTTCTTTTGGCTTAGGATTGACTTGGCGATGCGGGCTCTTTTTTGGTGCCATATGAACTTTAAAGTAGTTTTTTCCAATTCTGTGAAGAAAGTCATTGGTAGCTTGATGAAGATGGCATTGAATCTATAAATTACCTTGGGCAGTATGGCCATTTTCACGATATTGATTCTTCCTACCCATGAGCATGGAATGTTCTTCCATTTGTTTGTATCCTCTTTTATTTCATTGAGCAGTGGTTTGTAGTTCTCCTTGAAGAGGTCCTTCACGTCCCTTGTAAGTTGGATTCCTAGGTATTTTATTCTCTTTGAAGCAATTGTGAATGGGAGTTCACTCATGATTTGGCTCTCTGTTTGTCTATTATTGGTGTATAAGAATGCTTGTGATTTTTGTACATTGATTTTGTATCCTGAGACTTTACTGAAGTTGCTTATCAGCTTAAGGAGATTTTGGGCTGAGACAATGGGGTTTTCTAGATATACAATCATGTCATCTGCAAACAGGGACAATTTGACTTCCTCTTTTCCGAATTGAATACCCTTTATTTCCTTCTCTTGCCTAATTGCCCTGGCCAGAACTTCCAACACTATGTTGAATAGGAGTGGTGAGAGAGGGCATCCCTGTCAAACTATACTAGAAGGCTACAGTAACCAAAACAGCATGGTACTGGTACCAAAACAGAGATATAGATCAATGGAACAGAACAGAGCCCTCAGAAATAACGCCGCATATCTACAGCTATCTGATCTTTGACAAACCTGAGAAAAACAAGCAATGGGGAAAGGATTCCCTATTTAATAAATAGTGCTGGGAAAACTGGCTAGCAATATGTAGAAAGCTGAAACTGGATCCCTTCCTTACACCTTATACAAAAATCAATTCAAGATGGATTAAAGACTTAAACATTAGACCTAAAACCATAAAAACCCTAGAAGAAAACCTAGGCATTACCATTCAGGACATAGGCATGGGCAAGGACTTCATGTCTAAAACACCAAAAGCAATGGCAACAAAAGCCAAAATTGACTAATGGGATCTAATTAAAGTAAAGAGCTTCTGCACAGCAAAAGAAACTACCATCAGAGTGAACAGGCAACCCACAAAATGGGAGAAAATTTTCCAACCTACTCATCTGACAAAGGGCTAATATCCAGAATCTACAATGAACTCAAAGAAATTTACAAGAAAAAAGCAAACAACCCCATCAAAAAGTGGGCAAAGGATATGAACAGACACTTCTCAAAAGAAGACATTTATGCAGTCAAAAAACACTTGCAAAAATGCTCACCATCACTGGCTATCAGAGAAATGCAAATCAAAACCACAATGAGATAGCATCTCACACCAGTTAGAATGGCAATCATTCAAAAGTCAGGAAACAACAGGTGCTAGAGAGGATGTGGAGAAATAGGAACACTTTTACACTGTTGGTGGGACTGTAAACTAGTTCAACCATTGTGGAAGTCAGTGTGGCGATTCCTTAGGGATCTAGAACTAGACATACCATTTGACCCAGCCATCCCATTACTGGGTATATACCCAAAGGACTATAAATCATGCTGCTATAAAGACACATGCACACGTATGTTTATTGCGGCACTATTCACAATAGCAAAGACTTGGAACCAAGCCAAATGTCCAACAATTATAGACTGGATTAAGAAAATGTGGCACATATACACCATGGAATACTATGCAGCCATAAAAAATGATGAGTTCATATCCTTTGTAGGGACATGTATGAAATTGGAAATCATCATTCTCAGTAAACTATCACAAGAACAAAAACCCAAACACCGCATGTTCTCACTCATAGGTGGGAATTGAACAATGAGAACACATGAACACAGGAAGGGGAACATCACACTCTGGGGACTGTTGTGGGGTGGGGGGAGGGGGGAGGGATAGCTTTAGGAGATATACCTAATGCTAAATGACGAGTTAATGGGTGCAGCACACCAGCATGGCACATGTATACATATGTAACTAACCTGCACATTGTGCACATGTACCCTAAAACTTAAAGTATAATAATAATAAAATAAAAAAATAGTACTTTTTGAAAAGTACTTTTAAAATGTTGTTAATCATTATTATTATAATGCTTGTTATATCAGACTATCTTTAAAATGTAGTTGACAAAATTAATTGAAATGCCATTGAGGCATGTTTTTAAGATACTTAACCTTTTCTTCAGACATAAACTAATTCCTTGTTTTTATTGAGAAAGCCAAGTCTATGTTGGCTGTCTCACCAGCAGCAGATCTTGGGGAAACAGAATAGATATACCACTGCTTTAAAAGCAATAGAGAGATAATTTAATACCACAGTACAGTTAGAATCTAAAGCCCCAAAATATTATGTGTATGCAAAATAGGAGAAATTTCTATAATTTTTATTTGGTTTTTACACAAATAATGGCACACTCTCTATGTTTTTTGTGTGTCTTTCACTTTATAGCATACCTTAGAAATCCTTTCATAATAATACATAAAGAGCTACCTTTTCCCCACTTTTAGCAGATATATTATTTTTCATCATGCAAGAGTCTCACAATTTAATTTTTTACCTCTTATTGATAGATTCAGTTTCTTTTAAATTCTTTGCTAATATAGACAGTGCCTTGATGAGAAACCTTTTACATTTTGCACACATTTTGCACATATGTAAGCATATGTGTAGGCTGATTTTCTAAACTACAATTGCTGGTATATTTATAAATACTGTCTAATTACTCTCCATCGATAGTCTACTTTTAGATTTTTATCATTTTGCTATCTGAGAAATGGTACCTCTGGGCAAAATTAATTTGCATTTCACTTATAATGACTGATCTCCTGCCCTGCATTTTCTATGACTTTTCTTATATTCTTCACCTATTTTCTATTGGCTGTCAGTCTTCTTTTTACCATTTTTCAGGAACTATTAATTTATTATAGACTTTAGCCGTTTGCTTTTAGAATTATTTTTCCCTCCTTTTGTTATTAGTTTCTACATCTTGTATATGATGGCATGTGGTCAGGCAGAAATTCTATTTATTTTTAATTTTGATGAAGCCATAGTTAGATGAACACAATTATTTGATGTATTATTTTCGTACAAGTCACAATTCTGCTGTTAAAATTTTCAGAGTTAAGTGAAATGAAAGATGAACCCAATAAAATGATATAACAATGTGGTATATGATAAGGTAGAGGGGAGTAAAAAGTGTTATACAAGTGTAGCTCTGCCCCAGCTATGAAATCTGATATAATCATTAATATTTTACCCAACATACCTATAAAATAATATTATTGTACACTTTACACTAAAGTTTTACCTAGCTAATAAAAATATTCTCAGGTTGATTTTTTCTTCCTTATATAATTGCAGTCGCCTCAAGAATAAGCATGCACTGTTTTACTTTAATGCCCTCAGAGAGTGAATGTCATATTTAACTTTAAACAAATGTATTGACTGAATTTATGTCATCTTTGAAAATTTGTTTCCATTCTAAGACTTGGGATTTTCTATTCGATACCTACCAAATAAATAAGTCAGATAGAAGGAACTTAGATCCCTTGAATCAGAGATCTATGTAGTAGAAGAATTTATGGTAGCATTAGTCCAATTGTTATGACAAAGAAATGTGTGCCAAAGGGAAGATGATAGCCATGTAAAGTCTATCTCTGTTGATTCAGTACAAGCTTCTGAATTTGCCCAATAGTATCATGCATTAGTGAGTATTCTCCAGAGAAACACAATCAATAGAATATACGTAGATCTACTAGAAGAGATTTATGTTGGAAATTGGCTCATGAAATCATGGCAATTGAGATTCCCCAGGATCTTCTGTCTGTAAGCTGGAGAACCAGAGAAACTGGTTATGTAATTCAGTCACAGTCTGAAGGACTGAGAACCAGAGGAGACAATTGTTAAACTCCCAGACTAAGGCTGAATGCCTGATAACTTGGGGTACTGGTAGTGTTAAGTCCTGGAATCCAGCAGTCTTAGAATCAGGAGGTCTGATGTCCAAGGACAGAAGATGGATGTACTAGCTCAAGAAGAGAAAGGGGGAATTTGCTTTGCCTCAATCTTTTTGTTCTATTTAAGTGGGCCCTCAATGGATTGGATGATACCCATCCACATGGGGGAAGGTGATCTTTACTCAGTCTAGTGATTCAAAGATTAATCTCTTCCAAAAACACCTCACAGACACACTCAGAAATAATGTTTTAGAGATATCTGGGTATCTTTTAACCCAGTGAATGTGACACATAAAATTAATCATCACAAATGGCAACAGTGCCATCTGTATTTTTGGCATATATATAGCATTGAATTCTTCAACCACCAACATATCCTATGTACACTTCTGAATTTGTCCATTCAAGCAGATGCTGCCTCTGTTTCAGACTGAGATATATCAGTCTGTAGAGTAAATTGCTGCATTAAGGATAACCATTGCAAAGAAAAATAGTGACAAATTTAAAGAGATTACCATTCAGTAAGAATAAACCATGTCCCACATTATTTATTCTATTTCTACTTTTACAATGATCTTAAAAGTTCGTCAAATAAAACTGAGTCATAAATAGTAGATACCAGGCTTAATTTAACTTAGTCTGTAATAGAGCTGGAATTCACGTCTATGTCGTTCTGGTTTTAAAACCATTTTTTCATCACACCATGAATTCACCAGGACTTTTTCACTGAGTTAGGATTTAACAGTGTTCATTCAAGTTTTCTAGATTAAATTTCAAAATGATGTGATTGGACCCAATTCTACATTTTCAAACAATAGTAACAGAAGACATTATTAATTATATTTTTTGCTTCTATTTGTATAATTAAAAAATACATAATTTCCTCAATGTATGCATTCCTCTAAAAATGTCCTTCTTGAAGTTTTGAATCAAGCAGGATTTTACATAAAATATAACCCATTCAGATGATTTAAATAAAGGTAATTTAAAGATCGGACTGGGTAAAGATGTAGCAGTATTAAAAAAAGAAGGAGACATTACACCACTTTTTGAGAATCAGAGTGAAAATGAGGAAATGGTGAGAGCTGGAGCCAAGGGCGAGAGGCTACTAGGAAGTAAACTCACGGCACAGTGTACTCCAGCCAGAGAAATAACTCTAAATAGAGATGGGGCTGGGAAGAAATGTTATCAAATCTCACCTTTCTTATTTCACTGACTCTCAGTAGCCAACCCTAACTATGAACTAGCTGGTCAGGGAGCTCATATGAAGCAGTCTGTTGGTTTCGACCTCCTAATGTATAGAGCAGGACAAAGATGGGTGGAGACCAGACAGGAGAGAATGTGCAGAAAGAGGAGGAATCAAATTAAAAAAAAAACCATTTCAATCTTTAACACTGATGACAAAGATATGTGTAAAAATACTCCTTGTCTGCATTGGATAGTAAAAAACTTACAAATAAAAATTCTTTACCTAACTGTAATAATTTAAATTATCTCAGCTATTCTCTAACATACATTCTTCTGCATTTCTTAATTTTGCTTTTTTCTTCTAAGTAACAATTTTGTGATGCATTGAATTTAGAAAATTTTGTGACACTAAAAATGCAAGATATAAAGAAAAACTAATAATATAAAATTAAAAAGATAATATAAATGATATACATAATATAAAGCTAATAGTATAAATTGCACAACAAAACAAATATTAAATATTTTTCACAGATAATACAAAATACAAATATAATTAATATTAAAAATACACATTTTGTGTATATTAGAAAATTATAAAAGTAAATGTATGATCCTCATAACTGGTAAAATAGTAATCACTGTCTTTCTTTTTCTACTTCACAAACTGAATATTTTTAGCAAATGTTGCTGAAATAAAACCACTAGATGACAACACATTAACTTGAACATATTTAATGACCTCTAAGAGATGCAAAAGGCAACCATAGACTGCTAAAGATGAAGGCACAAATCCAGTTGTTTTTACTGATGAGGAAATTGAGGTCCAAACATTTTATATAACTCGTCCAAGTGTCAGATTAAGATTAGAACCTAGATCTTTTGGTTGTTCTGTTCTTTGCCTTAAGCCCAGGAGACTTCTCATGTGCAAAGTGCATTTTCAAATTCTGGCTTTACATAAAGAACTTTAACAAGGACCCACAGCATCAGGGCACATCTTAGATTAGTGTACTGTCTGTAGTTTATTATGACAGAGACTTACAACAATTGTGGAAAGGTTTCAAAACACAAGACTACAACAGGCCTTCTTAAGCCATAGTGAAGTGTTTGGTCTTATCTTAAAGGCAATGAATAGTCTTTGATGGGTTCCAAATAGTGTAATAATATGACCATTTCTGCATTTTAGAATGCACATTTTAATGCTTCTGTATGAAGAAATATTGTGAAGGGATAAGGCTGGAGGTGGGGATTCAGATGAAAGAAAATAAATGCTTAATGGGGTAAAAAAAAAGTCATATTTGAGAATAATTAAATGCACAGAATTGACATGACTTGTTAATTGATTGGGTGGGAGAACTAAAAGAAAAGGGATAAAGTATACCTCCATATTTATGGATTAAAAAACTGGGTGGGTAGTGGTTATCATTGACTGAAATTGGAAATGAACTAGTATATGTAAGTGTGAGCAGAAGACAATTCGATTCTAGATATGTCAAAGTGTAGTGGCTGCAGGTTATCTACGTAGGCATTAGGTTTGGGATAAAAATGTAGAATTTTCAGTCATTTGCATATACCTCTGAAGCCTTTAAACCAATAAATGATTTTAGAAAACTCCTGAAAAACCTGAAATGGTAAACAATAGGTAATGTATGTGTTTATGCACCTCTCTAGAAGAAAGTTGGTAATTTTTATTAGATTATAAAAAGATTCTCTTCTGCATATGGCTAGCCAGTTATGCAAGCACCAGTCACCTGTACAAACAAACCCCCATAACACAAGATAACCTATATAACAAACCTGTCCATATACCCCTGAACTTAAAATAAAACTTAAAAAAAATAGCTAGTAGTAGCAATGAGAAAAGGAAAATGTCCATAGTCATGGAAGATATTAAAATAATTATAAGAAAAAAAAAAGATTCTCTAGCACACTAGTGCTTTCCGAAGTCTTGCCAAAGAATGAAATCATTATAATCTAGGGAAAGTTAACACATGAAAAAGGAGTGACTATATTACATTTCTTGGACTAAGTTTTTTTCTTCATATTGAATGGTATATTCTAAAGCCACTGAATTGCTGAGTAATAGCAATTTTCCTCAGCAGGAACATTAATATGCTTTTGATTCTATCCAGATTTAGATATTTTTAAAATTTGTGGTCCACAAAATGCCAGAGACAATGTTATAAAGTGTTCTCTACTTTATATAATTCAGAACGCTTCTCAACCAAGACACTGGAAAAAAGTAACTCCCTCATGACATAAGTGTAATGTTTTTAGAGTATGTTTTAAAAATATTATAACTGAACTTTTCCAAAAGTAGCTCACTGATATGTCAATGTACTACTTGTATGGGTGTGAGTACAACAGAGAGATGTCTTATGGAAGAAAAGCCCTAAATTATGTACATAGAAATCCCATATTTATTTAGACTTCTATCAATTACTCTTATCAGAGAAATGAATCATCATCCTATTTCCCATGATAGTAAATTAGAAAAAATAGAAAGAGAACATTTAAATTTAAGTATATACTGTTGCTCACCTGCAACATTGAAGTCAATTCCAATTCTCCACTCCCCCAAGGTAGTGGAAAACATACTCCAGTTTTCAGTTTCACAAACTAATTTTTGAAATGTTCTTTATATAAGATATCTTTGATGCTTTTTCAAATGACACATAGGCTAAAATATTTCAATTCAATATTGATATTTTAAACCTTGAAAATAGTTTGCATAGCTCCTATAGTTCCCATCACAGGAAGGTATTTTCTGGATTGTGTGTGTATTTAGTAAGTGAAAAAGAAGTGCGATATTAAAAAATTGTACATTAAAATATTTCAATCCAAATATCTTAAATTTATTGATAAAGAAAGATATCATCTCTGACATACTGGAAATGAAATAATTTTAAGAATAAGAATGGTGGCTGGAAGAATAGCATTTTACTTCACTCTATTACTTAGTCTTTGTTAACCTGTTAATAAAATACCAATGCAGGCACAAATAAATGATGAAAATAACTAATATTAAGGTTTACACTCAAACAATTGTCAGAATTAAGGAAGAATTTCCCTTGACTACAAGAGATAAAGAACTATAATAACTGGCTGTTGTTAGCATATTGTCTGCTGTTTGAGAGTAAACTGCTTTTTCTGATGATAAAGCAGTATCTCCTTCCTTCCCAATTATCTATACTCTTACTTAAAGAGTAACCATCCAAAAAATTGAGGTGCTGACCCTGTACAATGGGAGCTTATTCTAGTACTGCCTTTACTATTTTTCTTTCTGTATATATAAAGTAGAAATAAAATGTACATTGAGATTATCCTGTGTTCTAGACAGTGTGTTCCTCACTAGCAATGGCGAACACAACATAGGTTCTGGTTTCATAGACATGATAGCTTAAAGCTTGATACAGACAAGTAAACAAGTAATTGTAATGTTATTTTGAATGTTATGGTATCAGTAAGTTGGTAAGTGTTGTGGGAGTATTCATTCAGGAAGCATATAACCCACTCTTTGGGACTTCTCAGAGAAACGACTGTCTAAATCTCAACTTTATCTTATGTAATTGGGTAACCATTGAATGGTTTTAGGCAGAGCAGAAATATAATCAAACGTGTTCTTACAAAAGATCTTACAAAAGTTCTTACAAAAGTGTGTTACCAATTCATGCAATACCAGTACCTCTGTCTACAGTCATATGGAGTTCAATTCTCAATATTGCAACCTGACTAGCAACAGAAAAAGATAAGGCAGCAATTCTTAGATTCCAGGTATGTGGGGTCAATGCCAGGAAGAATTTTGGTTCTAACTATTAAGAAAATAACATTGCTACCTAGAATTTCAGTTAGGATTATATTTAATCTCATATCTAGGATAACCATATGTTCTGGTTTGTCTAGGACAGCTGGTTGCTGTCAGTTGTCCTTTAGACCCCAAATCTGTGGTCATGTTTATAAAACTGAAATAATTATGGAGTAAAGTAAATACATGCTCCATTCTGAGTCAATTCAGAAATCAGAAATGAAATCAGACATTTTAACATGAGACAATTTACTACAAAACTGTTTTAACCATGGTATCACAAAGATAATAATTGTAGGTGACAACTGAAATCCTTAGGACTGGATAATCAAAGGGAACAGACTGAAATGATTGAAATTTAGTAACTTGGAGAAGGCTCCCCGTGAAGATGAATACCAGATTTCTGAGGAGTGGGTGCTGAGCAGTAGGTGCTAGTGTTTCTGAGGACCTGTGATGGAACTGATTCTACAAATGTTGGGAAAAATGCAAATTCGGTTCAATTGCTGAAGCTATTAGAGCAAAATTTTTCCCAAATATTAAAAAGCTGGGCCTGGGTGAAGCTGACAGGAGCAGAAAGTAGGCAGAAAGCTCCAGGGAAATTCTCTAGCCCTGCAGTCGTCCTCTAGCTCCACCTATTGGCAGAGCCTAACTGGCAATGCGGATGGGCAAGTGAGAAATGTGGTTTGCACCTGGAGCCCCAAAACTGCATGCTCATTTACTGCTCATTTATTGGTACACTGGAAAATGCTTATAAAGAAAAATGAAGACTATTTTTAAGTTGATTTTTAAATTTTGGCCTATGTAGGTAAAGATATCAGAATATCAGAAAAATTAACTTTGTTTTTCTTCAAAGTCTGTCTTAATGTACATTATTTTAAAAGGAATATAGAGTAAATTAAATATTAGATTGGATATTACTACACAAATAAATATCTTTTATATGATACCTGAAGGCATTTACTTTCACTAATATACTTAGTCTATTTCTTCATATGTGAAATAAGTTGGCTTAAGTGTAATAGATAGATCCACATAAACATTCTGTTTTTGCAAAATTAAAGTTTGCTGTGCTGTTTTTACTGCACACAGACACACATAGATATGCATTTAGGTATACCGTTAGTAAAGATGATTGAATTTTCACCTTATTTGCAAGCATGGCCATGTTTCTTACTTTGCATGTCCTTCAGGCCTCATCGGAGCACAAAGTTCCAAGTGACTTCAAAGGGTTTTCTGTACTTGGAGCAGCTCTATGGGACATGGAAGATGAGAAATGAACCGACACCAGAGGTGCAATGAAAGGTAAAACTCATAGCATCACCACAGCTCTTAGGTAAGTGGCAGCCTAAATTACTGCATCTGGATATATGAATCTTATGGGTTCATGATGGAAAAGATGACAAGCATTAAGGCCAAAAATAAATCTGAGTTTGTTCACTGGATGCAGGAAAAGTTTTCCTAACCAAATAATGTGGGTAACATTTCATTATTAGCATGGAAATATGTCCACTTTCATGTTTAGAGAAGGAAATAGTAAATGAATGATCAAACATAAAAGCAAAATACAGCATTCACAGTAGGTATCCAATGTAACATGCTATTTAGATAAAAACAGTCCCTTCAAAGTCCAGTATGTTTTTAAAAGCCTGATATTTACAGTTGTATGATTTCTAGGGAAATTGAGAAATTAAATATATATCCAGCAACATACAGAAGAAACTCTGTATATCCATTTGTACCAGCCTCTCTTCTCTCTAAAAGATTGGCCTTCGGAAAGTGAAGGAAGATTGGATTCAGACACTATGTCCTCTTACACAAATTGTTGCAATAACTTGTCATAAACAGGAAAATATAAAATTAAATGCAATGTTTATATACATATAAATGTTAAAAAGAGCACAATATTACAAAATTAGGTGGTTTATATTTTAGGTAGATTGTATGTGTACTTGATAAAATATTATAAAATTTGCATTTTTGTTAACTTAATTCTTTGAATAATTGTGATTTGATATTAATCAATCTGAAATTTTTTCTCCAGGATTTAAGATGTTTATTCTCTCTTAATTTAAGTATCAATTTAAGTATTTGCACTTGTGGACTTTATTTCTTTTTATTTTCATGAAGATTCCCACCTTACAAATATCACTTTCAGGGTTCTTAGGGATCATATTATTATTTTACAATTTATTGAAAATGGCATGAGGTTAGATATCATCAGATTCTTTTGGAAAGTTATTATAAACAAGAACATGTTTCCCTTTTTAGCTGAATGACAGTATATCTGTTTAGCATGAATACTTAAAAGCAGCTTGAATTTCATTGTTCATGCTCATCATTTACAGTTTTCTATAGCAATATTATTTTTTCTGGAATGTGCCTTAGAATGCAGACAATAAAGGCTGAATGAGAGAAATGTTAGGCTAGGCTTAACAAAACACATTGCAATTATTGTTTCTTCAATTATGTCTAAAATGATTGCTTATAAAACAAAATTACATGATAATATTATCTTAAAACCAGCTATATTCAATAATTGTCTTCTCACTATCTTTCTAATGTGTTAGCACTCATTCTATACAGTTTGTATTAATATATCTTATACTCTACCTCTATCCCTCTTATCAGGCTTCACTTTAACTAGATATTTAGGATATTATCTTTACCTGGGAATGAAATTATGTGATTGGAGGAAGAGATTCCCTATAATTGGCAATAGGTTTCCTCCTCTAAAATGTTAGGTCTTTTTGTTTTCTTCTTCTTCTTTATTCTGGGATGTGGATGTGACCTCTTGGTACTGATTGAAATTTATAGTGTTGTATACCACTGTCAACTTTCCCAATGTCTGACAGCTTAACAGGGCCCCAATTGCAGCCACTGCTGCCCACCTTGTTCTTCAGCTTCACTTCTTGAAACAACCTTCTCCACGGTTTCATGAGAGCATCTGCTTTTCACTGCATGGTATTTGACTCCAAGATTCACACCTGCAGTTCTGATATCTTTTATTTATGCTCTATTATTTCTGCTTGAATAACCTACTTTTACTAGAAATTTAGCCTATGAAACTTTGAAGATACAGGGCTAAAATCCACCTATGTGGCCCAAGTACCACATGTCTTGATAAGAGAAAGATTGTTTTAGATTCAAAACACTAAGATTGTTTTCAGTCTAGTATTTATGAATTTGTTTTTCATATTAAAAATTAAAAAATCAAATGAAAAAATAAATGAGGAAAGGATAAAAAAAGAAAAAAGAAGAAAGCACAAGGAAGGAAGGGAGGAAGGGAGGGAGGGAGGGAGGGAGGGAGGAAGGAAGTACTAACTGAGGAGCCCACTGTGAGGACAAAGCATCAGCAGTGTCATTGCCAGCAACCTTGGCAGCAGCAGGAGTCAGGGATATTCCAATAGGCATCCATTTTTCAAGCATTGTTACCAGTCTTGGCACAGTCATTGACAACATTAGAGGTGTCATCAATACTTTCAAAACCTCTTTGTAGGAACAGCCCCTTCAGCAGACACTGTTGGAAATTTCAATGATTCCCTTCAGAGGACTTGGTAATTTAAAAAGTTCAAAGTAACTAAAGAAAACGATAGATGTCATATGAATTATTCCTAAAAGTAGGTTTTGGATCACATACAAAACATCCTCTAGGAACTTGCAAAACTGAAAGAAATTGATAAGCATGGTTGGAGATTCTGTAAAATGTGTAGGAATGGTGTAAAAATAATGCTATGTTGTAACATTTATTGTGGCTCCTTATTTACTTCTTATCCAGTGCACCTTACGATATGCAAGCCACCTGAAATTCTGACACTTAAATAGTCTGTTGTTCTTTATTTTCTTGCTGTGATGGTAAATGGATACTCAGCAGGATTTGGGATTTAATTTCTCTGGGAAGATGCGAACAAGTGTTTCAAGTTGTTAAATTATTCATCCAAATTCCTCACAGTAGGTAATCTTTGCTTCATGCTGTAATGTTTAATATTAGCTATTTTTTCATAGTGTTAATGTAAAATTGCTTTCATTAATACAAATATTCCTTCATAATTTCCCCAAATCTATATGGCACTGTCATTCTTTTAGTATTCCAGGTTACAAATTTTAAAGTCATTTTATTTTTATTTATTTATTTATTGAGACAAAATCTCACCCTGTAGCCCAGGCTGGAGTGCAGTGGCGCTATCTCGGCTCACTGCAACCTCCGCCTGCTGGGTTCAACCGATACTCCTGCCTCAGCTTCCTGAGTAGCTGGGATTACAGGCCCCTGCCACCATGCCCAGCTAATTTTTGTATTCTTAGTAGAGATGGGGTTTCACTACATTGGCCAGGCTGGTCTTGAATTCCTGACCTTGTAATCTGCCTGCCTCGGCCTCCCAAAGTGCTGGTATTACAGGCGTGAGCCACCGTGCCCAGCCTTAAAGTCATTTTTGACTACATATTATTGTCACTCTACATCCCACATGCATGAAAGTCAGTAATTAAAACATCTCAAATCACTAACATACAATTTTCCATCTAACTCTCACAAGTAGAACATGAATTGAGATGATTAATTATTTCCATTTCTGGATCATAATAATAGCTTCTTAAGAGTCTCTCTAACTCAATTTTTCCCCTTTTTAATTATCTGCCCATATTACTGCTAGATTGATCTTCTCAAAACTAATTTTGTCTTGACATATAATAGGAGAAAAATAATTTCTCTGTTCAAAAGCTTATAATATCTTTATGTTGCCTATCATATTAAATTTAAATTCATGTCTGATTTGTGTAATTTTTTAAATAATCTGGTTCTAGATTATTTTTCTCAATTTAGTCCATCATTTAATCAGGAAGTCTTTCAGTGATTTAGTAAGTATAAACTATTAATTTGGTAAGTTCTACCTTTCCAACGAGAATGTGACCTTATTGATGGCAAGGATAATGTCTAATTTTTTCACAGAACTTATAGTAATTTCAAAAATGTAGTTTTTAAAATGATCACAGATTTATAAATGAACTTTGAAAAAATAAAGTCATTTCCAATGTTGCTGAAATATTTATTTCAAATAAACTAAAGTAATGTGAAATAAAGATGAAAGCAAAATATTCGTATGGTTCAAGAATTGGTATTATGTCATTCATATTTTAATGTTCTTTGTTCATAGATGAAAAATTAGCTCACCATGTTTCCTAAAAGACAAAATGCTTTTCTATCATAAGTTGTTTACAGGCTTGATTTCAAACCTCTGTCCATTGTCTTTATATGAAAACTGCTTTGTATATTTCAGAATAGTTGTGGAAATTCCAATGCACAGCTTACACCTTCTTTGATAATTGCCTACTGCATTGTCATGCATGTCTGGAATTGGTTCCTACTGGTGAGTTTGTGGTTTTGCTATTTCAAGAATGAAGCCGCAGACCTTCGCGGTAAGAGTTACAGCTCTTAAAGATAGCGAGGACCCAAAAAGTGAGCGGTAGCAAGGTTTATTGTGAAGAGCAAAAGGACAAAGCTTCTACAGTGTGGAAGGGGACCTGAGTGGGTTTCCACTGCTGGCTGGGGTGGCCAGATTTTATTCCCTTATTGTCCCCTCTCATGTTCTGCTTCTGTCCTATCAGAGTGCCCATTTTTCAATTTTCCCCACGATCGGCTACTTTTAGAATCCTGCTGATTGGTGCATTTTACAGAGTGCTGATTGGTGCATTTTACAATCCTCTTGTAAGACAGGAAAGTTCCCCAAGTCCCCACTCGACCCAGGAAGTCCAGCTTGCCTCACCTCTCAATTGCATATGTTAAGCTCCCTTAAAAGGGGAATCCATTTAGAATTTAATTGAACTTAAATAGTGTTAGTATTGTTTTGTTTATTTATAACACATCTTCTTCAATCTACTTTTCAAAATACATTTTTTATAATGAAAAAACCAACTTCTGCTCACTTAAAAATAACTTTATGTTTCATTTCTCACTGTCACAGCTTTTGAAGTATGCTCTCAGATGTTTAGTTTATGTTTTGTATTGTGTAGGGAAATGCATTTATTCAGACAGACATTAAAAACTTTAAACTTAATCCTATTAATCACTCACTGTGAAGGTCTGCAGCTTCATTCATGAAGTCAGCTAGACCACGAACCCACCAGCAGTAACCAATTCTGGACACATCTTGGGGGCTCATCCGGGATATCGCTACGGAGTGAGTGCCATCAGACCCCTTTCACTTGCTCTTCTGTCCTGTTTTTCCTAACAAGTCCTATTAAGATTTAATCACCTCTATATAGGCCTTATATGTTATTAAATCCATTGCTTTTAACCTATTGAGACTATTTGTTTCTTTTCTCCATTGTGCACTCAAGTAAATGCTATTTTGTTGACATTTTATACTTAACATGTTGGAGATCAGGTTTATTACTTTTACCCAGCAAATTTTTCATTTCTCCAACACCTGGAAGTTCTCAGTCATACTGAAGCAGCCTTGTTGTCTGGGGTAAATACCAGGGTTCTTGGTCTCATGGCCAAGGAAATCAAGGTCATGGACACACACACACACGTAGAGTGAGATTGGAGCAGGAGCTTAATAGGCAAAAGGAAAGAACAGCTCTCTGTCACAGGGAGGGGTCCTGAGTGGGTTTCCAAGTTGTAGTAAAAAGTCAGGGATTTTATAAATGGGCTAGTGAGGAGGGGTGTCTTATCTTCCTAAGGCCTGAAGATTTAGTTGGAATCAGGTGTGCTATGTGCATAGCACAGAGTTTTCTATCAGCTCTCACCCAATTCCTTGATTACATAGGTAGACTCTTAGTTTCTGCTGCTCTATTTTGCTTATCTGGGAGGGAGAGTTTCTGTGTCTGTTCCAGACATCTTCTCATCTTCTTGCACAGCTGCAGGGATCCTCCCCTGCCCCCCTGCTTTTAGCTTCCTTATCTTAGTGTGCTTAAAGGGAAAGGAATGTGGTTATTAAGGCCCATTGTTTTTACTAGGGCCCATTTTATGAATGTGAAGTTTGGTGATTACCGAGGAGACTCCCCCACCTCTTTCTGTGCCCAAGTTGTTTATCTGTGTTTTTTTTTTTTTTTTTTTTTTTTTTTGAGGCGGAGTTTCGCTCTGTCGCCCAGGCTGGAGTGCAGTGGCGCGATCTCGACTCACTGCAAGCTCCGCCTCCCGGGTTCACGCCATTCTCCTGCCTCAGCCTCCCGTGTAGCTGGGACTACAGGCGCGCGCCACCATGCCCGGCTAATTTTTGTATTTTTAGTAGAGACGGGGTTTCACCGTGTTAGCCAGGATGGTCTCGATCTCCTGACCTCGTGATCCGCCCGTCTCGGCCTCCCAAAGTGCTGGGATTACAGGCGTGAGCCACCGCGCCCGGCCGTTTATCTGTGTTTTTACAGCCTTTCAGGTTGTTCTTTGTTAGAAGAGAAATGATTTCTTTGAACTTCACAAGGTTAGAAAGGGAGCCATTTCTGAGCTGCTTTTTGTTAGAAGGAAAGTATTCTGCCGGGGACTCTCTTTACTCTGTCTACCCAAATAATTTATTTTTATCTCCTATAACAAACACCCCCCTCAGGAATGAAATTCCTAACTGCTGTTACGGGGAATTGGGCGTCGACTTACTCTGGCTACTTCCTGCTGGAGAGGGGCGTGGCATGGGAATAGCAGCTAGGGCTCCTCCTGGGTCAATTTAAGGGTATGCAGTAGAAGGTCAGTTTAATTTTCAGCTCCTTTTGCCACACCATTTAAAGCTTGATGGTTTCTAGGTGAGAAGAAGTAAACTTTACAAGGAGGTTTAGAATATAGGGTTAAAATATGAGTATTAAGACTACCATTATTAGTGGGGGCACTATAGGCCATAACCATGACAACAGAGTTTATTTGATACCTGTAAGCCATTTAGATGGGTTGTGCTGTTTTAAGTGAGTGTATGGGGCTAGGCTTTTTTAAACTTTCTTGATCTTACTTTCCCAAAAAAAGAAAACCTTGGGGTTATAGGCTACCTAGCAAGATTTATAGGATAATTGCCCAGCCAGAACATTGTTCGAGATTTTTACATTACCTATCACTTTCTGTTTTGTTTGAGCCACAGCTGGAGATGTGGTTGGATTACAAGAATTAGCATGGTTAGTTTAAAATGTAGACAAGAATTTAAAAATGACTAATGAGACTTGAATCCAATGACAGATGTATGATAAATTTTGAAACATAATTTCTGTCTCTCTAGTCCTCATTTTGTTAAAAAACAACTTATGATAGGACTTAGCTGTTTGCAAAGTAAACTTTAGTTGTATACTTGGCCTGATTATTTGCATAAAATGAAGCAAGAATAATCACCTCTATATAGGCCTTTTTGATTGGCTTTGATGGAACTCTCTGTTCCACAAGGAATTTCAGATCGGACTTTTTAAAACCAAGCCCAGCCATGGGTTTGTATCTACAAATAACTGTGAGTTGGATAAACTTTTTTCTTCCTGAGATTTTAGAAGCATGGAGTTCCTAGGTCTGTTAGAAAGTGACATTTTTTTGCTCACCACAGGTCAGTAATCTTGTACAGAGACTGTGTAGACAGGTAGGAGGCCAGTTTTCTTAAGGGGGTTTTATTGGCTTTGCAAATCAAGCTTGATTCCTTAAAGGGAAGCACACCCTTCCACTCAAAGCCTCCACAGAACAGTTTCTCCAGTTGTATCTTGTTGCAAAAGAAAATGGATACTTGTTGTACTGATGCAAACACCTATATTGTTGTAATTCAAGAATACTTACAACTAGTTTCCAAATTCTAGAGGAACTAGGCACAGAGAAACAAACACGTTTTAAATATCGTTCACAGGAGTATAACTTGTTTAGTTGTTAAAAGCCTTTAAGAAAGTTTCCTTGACTTTGAAAAACAAAATAATAATCAGCAGTGTTCCAAGCATAAATTAAGAATATTGCTTTAATTTTCTATTAGTTCATTCCATTCTGTTAACTCTTGTTCTGCTTGATATTCCTAAACATTTTAGCTTTTTATGAGTCCTGTACATTTTTCTGTTATCAGAAACCTGCATTGAAGAGCACCTGTTAAAGTTCCACAGCTTGATTATAAACCATCTTTTGAAGACAATTAAAACAAGACAAATGTCTATAAATGACAAAATGTTCAGGGTGGTTACAGTCAAGAACATGATTGACAAATTTGGTTATTTCCATGGCTTACAATAACCCAACATAATAACCTTAATTGTGATTAATAGCACATATTCAGACAATAGAACCTTAGACAGCCCAGACCATTTTGGAACATATGTTGATATTATTCCCTAGAATATAACCTGAAGAGTATTAAACATCATTTTGGCAATTCCATGTGCCTAAACATGTTAAATAATCCTGTTTACCTCTTTTCCAGATGCTCCAGGGGTGCTCTGCAGCACCCAAAAGCTAGGGGTCAGGAAAGACAACCCTGAGACTAAAGTTTGATTTTAGGAAGCCTGTTAAATATGTTCAGAATTTAAAACACTTGATATTATGAAGTAGAATTTTAGATTACCATAAGTTATTTGTTTTGCCAAAATGATGAGACAAAAATCTGAAAAAGCAAAAACCATTCATCAGCATTTTTAATTACATGAAAATCCCATTCAAGAGAGAAAGTTAAATTTTACCCATGCATTAGTTTGCTATTAAAATTAACTCTAATTTTTAATGAAACCTTGTAGACAATCCTACATAATCTTAACCAGTTTGACTATGAAGTGAGATTTTCACAAACCTTTTATTAACCTCTACAAATTTTGCTAAAGAGTGGATTGGCATCTTAAGAAAACCTTGTTCTGCTTTTATTATAGTGTTTACAGAAAAAAAAGTATAATACCCTTTTGTATTTAGTTAATATGTTCACACACAGAGTTTCCTTTGAAAGATTAATTTTTACAGTCTTTTCACAATTTGCTTAAACTTTCTACTTTAAAAAGACAATCCTTTATTTCTAGATAAAATGTATATTTCCATGCTTTCTTATAATCTTTAAATAAAAACACATTTTACTGTTTTTTATACACCTTGCAGGTAGATTTCTTTTTAGTAATTTCAATTACATGTCATAATGGTAACTCTTAGAAATTTTCAACTTTACTGTGAAATCTGATAGGTTGTTTTAATTATGTGCTAGATGCAGATAAAGTTTGACTCCTTTTAGGATAGTTACGGGCATGGTAACTTCCCTATGTTCCCAGGCCTTACCAATTGTGAGGCAGGTGAGTTGACAGTTTTTAAAGGCCAAAGAAGAGTTTACAACCTTAAAACATTTAGCAAACCTAGTATCTGGCCTGCATAATTTAGACCACATTTTTACACCTTGAAGACATTTGTATTTTACCAATAATTTCTAGGACTTTTTATTTGTAAAGATTAAAGTCATGTGAACTGAAAAGTAACACAGCTTTTACTTTTCCCTTAAAAATATTTTATTTAAGTGCTTACTGTTCTTAGGCCAATTAATTAGAGCCCTTTTTAATAGATATTACACACATAACACATATGTAACCACACAGATAAACAGAAGAAGATCCAGTAGTTATGAGATTTTTCATTGGCTAGTTTCCTAATTGGATTATTACGCCTCCTAGTGAGACACTCTAAGAACAGGGCTAGGACTACAAATTCCAGGGCCTCATAAAAAGCATAGCCAGAAGACAAAGACAGATTTTGAGAGGTACTTACACACCTCTAATTCCAGGGGTTCCATGAGTAAAACAGATTGTTCCCAAAATGGGATTTGTGGCCCCTTTTCTGTTTTCCCAAGGAGTCCCAGGCCACCAGAAGTCATATTAGGGTCTTTGATGCATGCACGAAGAGTGGCAAGACACAGTGAAAAAAGTAATTCAGTCGACTGAGGTAAAATCCTTTTCCAGGAAAACAAGATCTGTGAAGAGAAAAACATAAAGGCCTTTTAAATATACTCATAACTTGGATATCTACTTTCACTTAAGCTGAGCACCCTTTAAGACAATCATTTTTCATTAATTAAATCTTTACAGAGAATGCGAACAGTGATTCTTATTATTTCTTTTACCAGTTTGCTCCACTGCCTGTTCACAGTCATGTTCAGGTTCTCCAGTTTTCTCTGGGAGAAAGTGGCTGGGCTCAGGCAAGGACAGGTTTTCGAGTGGACTGCAAATCCCTTTAGCAGAAAAGTTTGGTATTTGAGGAGGCGATTTTACAGTAGCCAGAGCCTTTCCTTAAAGGACAGCAGTCCTGCTATACTGTGTGGGGTGCACACAGTTGTTATTCCCCATGGTTAAGTCAGTAGCCTCTGGTACCAGAAAAGCCACCACTGTAACTGCTTGGAGGCAGGCTGACCATCCTTTAGACACCAGTTATGTTCCTTGCTCAAGCAACCTACTGGCTGTTGAGTTGGACCTCAAGCCTTAGCTTAAACTTCCAGGGCTATTTCCTTCCTTTCCGATACATAGAGACTGAAAGTTTTCCCTATGGGATGACTGAGGGCTGGTGTTTTAAGTAAGGTACACTTTAGCTGGTTAAAGGCTTTTTGAGCCTTAGGTTCCCCCAAAAGGGGGTGGGGGTGAGTTTTAACTGTTTGACTTTCTCTTATGAGGTGGTACAAAGGGTAAGCCATTTTCCTGTACCCAGGTACTCACAGTCTGCAATATCTTGTAATATCCCCAGAATCCTCTTAGTCCTCTTTTAGCTTCCATATCTTAGTGTGCCTGTAGGGAAAGAAATGTGCTTATTAAGTCCCAGTGTTTTTACTGGGGCCCATTTTATGAGTATGTAGTTTCGTGATTAACTGGGAGACTCCCCCACCTCCTTCTGTGCCCCAGTTGTTTATCTGTGTTTTTACAGCCTGATCTTTCAGGTTGCTCTTTGTTAGAAGAGAAGTGATTTCTTTGAACTGCATGAGGTTAGAAAGAAAGCTACTTCAGAGCTGCTTTTAGTTTGAAGGAAAGTTTTCTGCCAAGGACTCCCTTTGCCCTGTCTACCCAAATAATTTCTTTCTATCTCCTGTAACAATATATTTCCCTCTTTCTACTCCAGATAATTTGATAGATAATTGTCTTCTTTAAAGGTCATAAAATTGAGTGAAAAATATACCTAAAATTTATAGTAAGTAGACGTGAGAAAATTCCAGCTGTTCCTATTGAATATTAGTTGATATCTGGTCATTAAATGGACATAATAATATGTTCCCTTCTGTAGAAGTCTGGAAACCTGAGATCTCCAACTCTATCAAGAGGTGACTAAAAGTTAATAGTTCCATCTCTTTTGTTCTCCATTCCCTCATTTGTATAATTCAGTTATTGCAGTATCTCTTGGAAGTCCTTTTAACACTGACACTGGGCATAATTCAGTGGTTGGTGGGGATTCTGTGAGTGCATCTCTGTATCTGAACAATCATGGATAATCAGTATTTGAAATTCTTCTAACAATACTACCTACAAATGCAAGTTTGCCTCAGGTAATTACTTGCCACCTTGCATATATATTTTATATTGATAAATCAAAAGTATTATGACTTTTATCATAGTACACTGAGATATACATTTATTATATAAATATGGATTATTATAATTAGCATTTCTCCTTAAATTCATTTAATTTTTCTTGATTCCAATTTTTTTTTTACTAGTGTGAAATAGGAGATTCATTTTGTCCTCTGAAAATAGAAATCATTTAGAAATCGGGAAAGAAACTATGTTCCCTTGGCAAAATCCCCTGGGCTAAGATGCCAGACTCATTTTTCTTCATTGTTCAGTGTTAATTTGGTTCAGCTTTGTTTGCTGCCAGTGCAGTGTCATTTGAAATCCAGAAAACAAGAAAAGAACTTCCATCCTAGTAAATCAATATATTTGGCCCATGGGGAGTTCTTGACTGCTGAATGTTTGATAATCTATGTATTTACTTCTATTTATGATATAATCATTGGAAAAGTGGCATTTTTAATATAAAGTATATTGAACATATCTCTGTGCAATTTCCTATATAATGTTCAACGTCATACCTCCCTGATCAAGTCAGTTGGCTCAGAAATTTACAGTTATCATTTTTTAATCTCATGAGGAATTTAAAAAATATGAAAAATAAATCAAATCTATGCTTAAAAGAAGAAATGATTCTATTTTCATAACTTCCTATTGAAATCGATGTGTCTAAATACATAATTATTTTGGCCTGGATTCTACAATAGATTTTTATGGAGTACATTCAAAAGGAGATACTATTAGTCAAATTATATTCTGCACATAACTATTTGGCACATGAAAAGAAAAAAAATATTATAGTGGTGTTACCCCTAATGATCTGTTTGGTTTAACTATCATATAAGAATAGTCATCTGTTCTTGGCTTTTATTTCAGTTGCATGAAATTTCCTTTAGAATTGGGTATGTCTAAAAAAGGCTTTTGGAAGAATAAATATTTCTGAAGAAACAGTATATTTAAATACATTTTTAAAGAAGCAAGTTTACAAGAATAAAAAATGATGGCAGCTTCAAAACTTACTGCCCTGCTGTCATTATCCTAATTGCCACTAAGCTACTTTATCTCTCACTTGCCACAGAGCTGCTGAGGCTTAGGGTCTGGTAGCAAGGCCTCAGATTTAAGTGCAGTCTCAAAGAGAGGGTTGGTGTATTAATTTTCCCCACTGGGCTTTATGTCACTTTGGAACAAGTGGAGGGAAGTTTATGATGAAGATGTAAAGAAATCAGATGGACTCCAAAGAGAACCCAGCCTGTGGATATCCTGGATCCCATCCCTCATATTGGGAGAGACTGCATCTTTTTTTTGAGTGTTTCATGGAGGACTAGCTGGTCCTCTGCACCAGAGGAGGTGTGGGACAAAACACTGGCATGTATGTTGAGCTCTCTGTACCCTAAAAATTAGAGTAACATGAAACTGAAAACTTGACTGTTGTCTCTTCTTAGGCAAGGAATACATTGTTTTGCACCTCTCTCCACATCACTGCCATGTCACTCCAGTATTAGGAATGAGCTTTAATGAGAAAACAAGAGAAGGCAACCCATCAGACAGAAAAAGCAAAAGAAGGAGAACAGACACAAATAAGACTGCTGTTAGGAGAAGAATATTTTCAATAGAAGTAACAGTTTCAATTTAACTTCAAAAATTGTATTTTTTTTTTTTTTTTTTTTTTTTTTTTTTTTTTTGAGACGGAGTCTCGCCCTGTCGCCCAGGCCGGACTGCGGACTGCAGTGGCGCAATCTCGGCTCACTGCAAGCTCCGCCTCCCGGGTTCAGGCCATTCTCCTGCCTCAGCCTCCCGAGTAGCTGGGACTACAGGCGCCCGCCACCGCGCCCGGCTAATTTTTTGTATTTTTAGTAGAGACGGGGTTTCACCTTGTTAGCCAGGATGGTCTCGATCTCCTGACCTCATGATCCACCCGCCTCGGCCTCCCAAAGTGCTGGGATTACAGGCGTGAGCCACCGCGCCCGGCCTCAAAAATTGTATTTTAAACAAAAGCAATAAACATTTTACATCTGTGGCTTGATGATCACATTTGAGAAGTTCACAACCAATATTTCTTCAGTTACCATTCTTTCCTATTACTTCTCTTCTCTCTATTGCAAATTCACTTAGACGAATGACAGACCATTAGCTCTTTTGTTCTTTTCTTTATTTTCCTGGATGTTTCTCTACTATCTTCTACCTTGCTTGTCTTCTGTTTATTATGCTACTTTTAATTTACTCACTACATGTTTAATTTCAGTTAGCTGTGTTTCTCAGACTTAGCATTTCCAAGATTTTCTATTTTTAGGGATTCCGGTTTTCTGGTATGAATCTTCAGTTTTTCCATTTTCTCTGGAATATATTAACACAGTAATTTTAAAATTTGTGTCTAGAATTCTTATACGTTCATCATCTCTGCCTTTGTTTCTTTTGTCTGATTTTTTTTCTTTTTAATTTCTATCATTTCTATTCTACCTTCTGGTATTCCTGGAAATATATTTTACATTTTGAAGAAAGATAAACTTTTCCTGGTCTAAATAGGGATAGAATATTTCAGTCTTTGTGAAGGTTAGCCAATTTCCTATTGGCTTTTTGTTAGGCAGTCCTACGGTACGCCTCTTTTCCTAACACACTTGCTAAGAAACTCCTTTCTGCAATCAAAATGTTGGGTTGAAACAGGAGTCAGCACACTTTTCCTTTGAATGGCCAAATGATTAATATTTTAGGCTTTGTAGGTCAGACAGCACATATATAAATGGCTGTGTCTTTGTTCCAATAAAACTTTATTTACAAAAACAGGTGTTGGGATGAATTTAATTTGGGTATCCTAAATTGCTGATACCTAATTGAGATCCTGAATATGTGTTCCCTCAATTTCTTAGCCTTTTCCCTATGACTGTATGAAATTGCTAATGCCTCAAGGATAAAAACAGCACAGAAAGGCAAGCTCATTTTTCCGCAGTTCCCTCTTCCACAGGATCTTTCTCTTCTAGTATTAACACAGTTTGTAGGCTTGCATTGAAATTTTTTAGCCCCCTAACCCCACGAGACCACCATAAATTCTGAACCACAGTTTCTGCCTGTTTGCTAAGTTTTCTATTGTTATTAATCAACAAATATTTGGAAGGAAAAGTGGCAGAGAATGTCTGGCTCATGTCAATACTTTTCTCTCCATGATCTTGGCCCTATAAAATTCAGGCTTTCTTAACTGCACTCTATCACATTTAATGAGCAGTCTTTGGCATTTCTTACAGTGGTTTTATTTCTTCTTGAAAGGATAAGTTGGTCTAATACAAGTAATCTGTCATAAATAGAAGCAGAAGTACCCAAAGGGAAAATTAAAATGCAATTTGTAGCATCTTGAGTAAGTCAACAAAATATAGAAGTGAAAAACTATAATAACAATGAAATATATAAAAGCAAGCACTGCATAAGAAAATAGATCAAGTCTATCTAGTGTTATGCTATATTTTGAAAACTGCTTAATCTTAATGCAAAAGAAAATATGAATAATAGAATGACATGCTGTGCTTTTGATAGGAAGATTAATACAATAAAATTGTCAGTTCTTTCTGAATTATATTATACATTTAATGTAATTTCCATTGGAATCACATGTGTTATTTCTTTGGTTAGGTAAAAAGATCTCAAATTCCATTTGAAAAATAAATGCCTGAGAATACCCAGGTCACTTATAACAAAGTAGAATAGTTACAGAATAATAGACTTATAGTAAAACAATGCAAAACCACCAGAATTTTAAATTGCCTTTGCTATAAGAATAAAGTAATCCAAGAGTGAAACAAATGGATTCTAGTGCATGCATCGTTAAAAATTTTATGTTTGACAGTGGTGTATTTTAATTTTGTGGAAACATGACTGATTTAACAAATATGTTGACCAAAATACCATTCCAAGTGGGAGAAAATACAGATGATTAAGCCATGCTACTTATACAAACACATTTTACATAAATGTAAATTAAGGGTAAAAACTAAGTATGTTAAAATAAGATGTAAGAGATTAAACAAACATACTATTAGTTGGAAAAAGCTTATAACCATGTCAACAAACCTAGAAACTATGAAAAACATAAAGGTAGACATATTTAACTATATAAAGTTTTATTTTGTATAGATGGCTTCATGCTATGTTGCCTTGGCTGCTCTCAAACTCCTGGGCTCAAGCAATCCTCCAGACTTAGCCTCCCAAAGTGCTAGGTTTACAGGTGTGAGCCACCACAGCCTGACCTAAAGTTTTAAACATATGCTGATTCACAAAATACAGTATAAACAAAGTTAATATACCTATTATTGATTAGAATTAATATTTGCAACTAAGTTAATAACTGTAAGACTGCAAGGCCATACATTCTGAAAACTTAAAGCAAAAAATAGTTTATTGTTATTACATTTCAATAAACAATATGTTCAATATGTTTTTCTCTCAGCAACAACTAATGTTGACAGAACAAAAAAAGACATTACAATATATTGCTAGTGGAAATGTACATTTTACAGTACTTGGAAATCTCTTAGGTGAAATGCATTGAAATGTAAATGTGTATATTTAACGTGTCTTCTGTGAATATATCCTATGGAAATACAAGCCTCAATCATATAGCTACAAGGATGTTAATTGCAACTGGATTGTGGAAAACATAAAATAAGGTAAATATTAATCTATAAGAAAATGATTAAATAAAATATGGAATATTTAACTATGGAAAATATGAAGATATTAAAGAGAATCCTCACTCAGAAGTTTTCTCTTTTTGATCTATTAAGTAAAAACCATAAGATACTGAGCAGAGAGTATGTATAATATGATCACATTTTTAAAAAGCAAATAAATATATTAAAAATATACTTACATCTCTAAATATACTATTTTATATAATTTTCTTAGTGTGGAAAAACAATGGGGGTGAATATATATTAGTTTTTTTGCATGCAGTTGGGACAAGGAGACATGGCCCAGATAGGGGAAATGCTTAATTTACTTAGCCCTTGCAGACAAAGCTCACCAATAAAGTCCAAGTTTTAAGAGATTTTAGAAAGTAAAATTCTAAATAGCTTGAAAGAAGATAGGTGAGAAATCTTCACACACTTGTAGGTACAAGTTTATCTGGACACACAAAAGAAGATCTTCAGTGGTAGCAGAATTAGTCCCTTAACCACACTTCTTTTAAACACTTCTTTACAGCCTTGCTTTTCAAAGTGTGACTTCTGTACTAGCAGCATTGACATCACCTGGGAACGTGTTAGAGAGTCATATGTCTGGCACATCCCAGAATTATTGTTCAGAATCTCCATTTTTACCAAGCTCCCCAAATAATTGGTATGTACATTAACGTCTGAGGAGCAATGCCTTAGTGGATGACAGATGGACTAAAGTGAGAAGAATGTATTTTTCCTATTTAAGTATCTATAAGCATGCATAGAAATGTGTGACAAGTTCTTATTTTTAAAAATTTTTATAATAGACAAAGTTCATTTTAATGAAGACAATACAATGAATAAAGCAAAAATAACTCTTGAGATTTTGGTGAGAAACTCACAAATAATTCATTGTTAGATTACTTATCATTGAAGCTATTGGAGTCTTAGTTATCTCAACTACAGATTGGAATCTTAATGAAGTAAACCTGTTTCATTAGACTGTCCTCATAACAAAAAGTGTATGCAAAATAATTGAAATATTGAAAAGCATTACATAAATATAAATGAATTGTTTTCATTGGGGTTCTTATTAAATGCACAGAAATCTTTTCCTTTTTCTTTCAGTGATTTTTCAAATTGAAATTTCAAAGAAGGTCATGGAAAAATTTTAGTCAATCAGGAAAACTAAAGGCATAAAATTATGTACCTACTTATTGACACATATTTAACGAATTCTTAAAATTTTGCCTTCAATTCTGTTTCTCTGTTTGCCCTCAAATCTAGTTTTTATGATTTGCACTAACCTAAATCTCTGTTTTATAAACATTTTATAATCTAAAAAATGCATGAATACTAAATGAAATATAACATTATAAACTGAGTTATTTCAACAGAAATAATATATCTAAAAGATAAAATAATATGATCTATGATCACAAGAATTTGTAAACTGCAGTTAGAAATTTAAACCTTTCTACCAGTTTTCATCAAGAGATTCCACCTTCAAATCTAGAGAAATATTTAGAAGGTTGCTGAAGACTCAGGTATTTTATTTTTTTAATGAAAAAGAAGAGCATTTTCTTCTTTTTGGGAAGAGAAAGGAAGTACATACAGTGTCTTATAGGAAATATGCAAAAACACTCAAAAATATACTATTTTCATTAAAACAAACTACTTCCAATATCGTATTACTAAAAACATCTACTCACTAAAATACAAGCCCCATGAAAACAAGTGTTCTCAGTTTTGTTTACTGCTAGAACCCTAATCTTAGAACATTGCCTGCCATAAAGCATAGAAATTTATGCTTTGGCAATTAAATATTTTCCAAATATTGACTTTTTCAAATAATTTTAGCACAATGATTTTTCAACTCATATTTCAGAAAGTAGAGATTTACCTCTCCTTGTGTAAGTTCTCATATTTTTAAGCTACATGTAATTAAATCATATTAAAATTGAGACAGTGCAATATTTCCAAGCTATATCTTACAGGAACTAATATCCAGAATGTGCAAGGAACTTAACGAAATAAGAAAACAAACAAAAAATGAATAATCCCATTAAAAAGTGGACTAAGGACATAAATAGACACTTTTCAAAAGAAGACAAAAAATGGACAAGCATATTAAAAAATGCTCATCGCTAATCATCAGATAAATGCAAATTAAAACCATAATGAGATATCATCTCAGTCAGAATGGCTATTATTAAAAGGACAAAAATAACATGTTGGTTAACATGTGGAGAAAAGAGAATGCTTATACTATTTGGGAATGTAAATTTGTGCAACCTTTGTGGAAAATAGTATGGAGATTTCTCAAAGAACTAAAAGGAGAATTATCATTTGACCCAGCAAATACTCAAATGAAAAGAAGTAATTATATCAAAAGATATCTGAACTCGTATGTTTATCATAGCAATATTCACAATAGCAAAGGTATGGAATCAATCTAAGTGTCCATCAATGGCAGATTGGATAAAGAAACTGTCATAAATATATATGTGTTTATATATATGCGTATGTATACACAGGATTACACACACACGCACGCACACACACACACACTGGACACTATTCAGCCATAAAAAGAAGGAAATCATGTCTTTTGCAGCAACATGAATGGAACTGGAGGCCATTATCTTAAGTGAAACAACTCAGAAACAGAAAGACAATACCATATTATCTCATTTATAAGTGGGAGATAAATAATGTGAACAGAGGCCTGGCATGTTGGCTCACTCCTGTAAGCCCAGCACTTTGGGAGGCCAAGGCGGGTGGATCACGAGGTCAAGAGATTAAGACCATTCTGGCCAAAATGGTGAAACTACATCTCTACTAAAATTACAAAAAATTAGCCAGACGTGGTGGCGGGCGCCTGTAGTCCCAGCTATTTGGGAGGCTGAGGCAGGAGAATCACTTGAACCCAGGAGGCAGAGGTGGCAGTGAGCCGAGATTGCGCCACTGCACTCCAGCCTGGCGACAGAGTAAGACCCCATCTCTAAATAAATAAATAAACAAATAAATAAATAACGTGAACATAGATTGTGGAATGAGAGGCAGCAGATGCTGGGAAGTGGGGAAGGGTTGAGGAACGGGTAGGGGGTGGATGACAGAGAATTTCTTAAAGAGTACAAAGTAAGTTATGTGGGTGATATAGACACTAAAAGCCCTGACTTCCCCACTATGCAATATATTCATATAATGTAGCAAAATTACACTTATACCCCTTAAATGAATACAAATAAAAATCAAAAATAAATTTAAAAATTTGAGAGTGCACTTCTTAAAAATATGCACCAATAGTTTCTGTAAGTTAAGAATATTTTGTGAAGGCCAGGCGTGGTGGCTCACACCTGTAATTCCACCACTTTGGGAGGCTGAAACGGGCAGATCACGAGGTCAGGAGTTTGAGACCAGCCTGGCCAATATGGTGAAACCCTGTCTCTATTAAAATTACAAAAATTAGCTGCGGGTGGTGGTGTGTGCCTGTAATCCCAGCTACACAGGAGGCTGAGGCAGGAGAATCACTTGAACCCGGGTGGCGGAGGTTACAGTGAGCCGAGAACGTGCCACTGCACTCCAGCCTGGGTGACAGAGCGAGACTCCATCTCAAAAAAAAAAAAATTGTGAAGCAAATAATTCAATTTGCTTTTGCATTTTTACTGAACATTTGGATTTTATTTTAGTCTCTAAAATTTATCTTTTCATTTTTTTTTTTTTCCTCTCTGAAGACCAGTGTTTCTTCCATGGTTAACTGAGCAGAAATTTTAAAACTTTATCAGAAAGCAACTACTAAATGAAGGCTTTTCGGGGAAACTGGGCTGTGTTTCTTCTTTGGGGTCAGCCAGGATTAGTTAGCACTAAGGAGATGAGACAATATTTTTGTTGTTCACACACCCCTTTTGTCATGAGCAGTAAAACTTCACATTGGCTACAATAGCAATTGGCCTGACATTTTCAGCCCCGATATTCTCAGCTGTGTGGTACAGCCCCCTGCAAAATGATGGTAAAGCAGTTATTGTTGTTTCTTGCCAGGATTAGAATTGTGAAGTGTAACCAGGAAGTATTTTTCCCCATTTATATGCATATTGATAATTAGGCTCAAGGAAATGAAGTGCATAGAATGGGAATTGAGATTTTGTTTTTTAATGTGAACTTGTTTGATATCAGCGTCCACTGTTCTCTGACAGATGGATTCTTTTTGGCAGATGATTATGCAAACTGTTCCTTTCGTGCCTGTCTGTATGAAATGTATTCTATAAACACATTGAAGCATCATGCTCCTTTGAGTCCTCAGTGCTTGGGAATGTATTAGCACCAGGATGATTTGGATGACAGGATTCAAAAGCATCTGAGAGTGGAAACTGGGGGAATACTAGTGTGATGGCTTTCGTTCTCTCAAGGGCCCTGGGAGATAATAATGTGTGGTTCCCCTGAAATTTGACATAGGACATTTTTATGTCAATGAAAAAGAAAAAAAAAAACCTCATAGATAACAGGAAATTTCAAACAAGCAAACTCTAAATAAGTTTTAATAAGTGTTTTAACAGATACTGGAAAACTGAACCATTTGGAAAATAGTACTTAGGAAATTTTAAATTCATGAGAAGCATGTAAGGAATAATTCTCTTTCAAGATCTAATTGTCAGGGTCAATTTTCCTCATGATTTAACAGTTTTATAATGATTGCTCTAATATGTTGATAACAAAGACTTTGCCTTTTATATTTCTACAATCAAGGGTATAACAGCTGACTCAGTTGTACTTTTACAATGCAAATTTTAATGGGAATTTTCTTGAGGAACTATCCCCCCTGGCAAAAATAAATAAATAAAAAGATCTGTATTTTAGGAGAGAAAACTAGATTGCTTCAACTGAGCCACAGGTAATGTTAGTTAAGCACATTTAGCCATTCTCTTGGGCAGTATAAATGTGCTACATTATACACTTATTAGGAAAATATAATGCTACCTTACACATCTGTCCAGTCAGCCACTTACCTAAAATTCTGAAAGCTAGTCTCCCTGAGGGGATTCCTGGAGCCTTAAGACTTCCTTCTTATTCATTGATATTGTTGGGAACTTTGTAGAATACAAAGGGGAAGGAGATGACAATTAAAGACTTTCTGAAATCCATTCAGTAAGGTTTTGGTAAAGGCACATAGGGTACTAGCAGAACTAAAAACAAAGGAGTATGTCTTCTAGATCCCACAGGCATGACATTTTCTCTCTAAAAGTTAGATTTAAAAAAAAACTATGATCTTTTATTTTCCAATAACTAAATCCACACATTGCAAAAGGATAACACACAGTTATAGGTGCTTCTGCACAAATGTGGTGACAGCAAGAGTGCTCTGAATTAGGTAAAAAGAAGTGGAGTAAAGCATTTGTGTTTTTGAGAATGTGCGTGCATGTGTGTGTATGTGCACATGTGTGTATAAAACTATCATCTAACTCAAAATATGTGAGATCAGAGAGGCAGGCCCGGCATGGTCACTCATGCCTGTTATCCTAGCATTTTGGGAGGCTGAAGCAAGAGGATCATTTGAGCTCAGGAGTTCAAGACCAGCCTGGGCAACATAGTGAGACCTTATCTCTACATAAAAACAAAGCAAAACAAACAAAAAACAATTATCCAGGCATGGTGGCACACATCTGTAGTTTGTAAGTACTTGGTAGGCTGAGTTGGGAGAGTCTCTTGAGCCTGGGATGCCAAGGTTGCAGTCAGCCATGATGGTGCCACTGCAATCCATGAAAAATACTCTAACTGCAGCCACAGATTGGATTTTTTTTGGTTGTGTGATTGAACAGCAGATTTTGATGTTGATTTTTCTAATTTATCGTAACACATTTATCCAGGTCAAATCAAATTACATTGGTTTGTGATCAACCAGCCAACATTACAACTATCTGGATATTTGGGTTGTAGGTGTAAGATATCATTATCATTGGTCAGTTACGAAGATTTGAGTCATTTATAATCCAGTTTCTTAATTGATAACTCAATATTTGAGAAATAATGAGAAAGGATTTGGTAATACAGAAGATGGACCGATAAGCTTCTAATATTCTCTGTCTCTATTACCACATAATCAGATCCTCTTTTATAGTAAAGTTAGTAGAACAGAATTAGTAATTTATTTATTCAATAAATATACAATAAGTGCATGTATATTGAGGTATTACTTTAAGTGAAAGTGATATAGCAAATAACAAGTCAAACAAATTCCTTTAATTTATGGAACTTGTGTTCTAATTATGGCAGGAGTAGGTATTTACAGATAAACACTTAACAAAACAAATACAAAAAAGATAATGTGATTGACTTGAGAGTATAAAGATACCTAAGACTGAGTATACGTTCTTATGATATTTCATTTAAGTGAGTACTAAGTACTGAACGAAACTAGCTCTGAAAAGATTTGTGTGACGATAATTCCACGTAGAGCAGAAACATTCTACTGTGAAAATACTCTAGGATTTGAATTATCTATTTCTGGTTAATAATGCCAAAACATATTGGCTTGAAATAGAAATTTTATATTGCTCCTGACTTTGTGGATGAAGAATCTAGGATGGACTCTATGGTGTGCAAGTCTTTGCTGTATGTGCTATCAGTTGTGGTGACTCAACCATGGCTGGAGCAGCTACTCACATAACGGATGAACTGGTACTGGTTGAGAGCTTGGATCTTAGCTGCAGCTGTTGGCTTGGGACCTCAATTCTTCCTCATGTGGGCTTACTTCAGCTCCCTCACAGTATGGTGGCTGGCACCTAAGAGTGAGTATTTCAAGAGAGAGGAATTGAAAGTTTTCAGTCTCGTAATCTGTCACTTATACTATACGCAAGTAGCTATAGAGTCCACAGATTCAAGGAAAGTGGGTATGGACTCCAACTTTCAGTGAGAGAAATGTAAGGAATATATGATCATTTTTGACCTGTCACAGTAAACCTCTGGCCAAAAACTCTTTACAATATTCTCACATGAAAAATACACTCACCCCATTTCAAGACCCCAGAAATTTCAGTTCAATATAGAATTAGTTTCAAGATCAGGATTCATAATGTAAATCAGGTTTAGGTGTTGAGGAGGCTCCTCTCATGGAAAACAAAGTCGATGTTGGCTGCTCAGCCAGGCTAGTCCTCTCCATGAGGCAGCTTTGGCTTTCTAACAGCATGATGGCTGATTTCCAAGAGTGAGTGTTCCAATAAACATGAAGTGGAAGCTGCCAGTCTCTAAAGGTCTGGAGGCAGAAACAGATGCATACACACGCACACACACACACACAGACACACACACACACAAAAGAAAGAAACCCTCCAATACATTTCATTAGAGCTGTCACAGAGCCCACCCACTTGATGGGAAGAGTATCAATGAATTTGTGATTTTCTTTAATTCTCACATCTGGTATATCCAAAGACCAGAAAGATGAATGCTTAGACAGTATCCCTTACTGCCCTTTGTATACTTCTAATTTAAAATCAAATTCTTTAAAGAAATCAGAAATGTAGATAATGCTCTAAATGGTATCTTTGAGTACAAGATATCTATAGAAGTTATAAAATTACTTAACTATGATAAGTCCATTTGGAGTATCAGTCAAGTCAATGGGCACAGAAGTCTTACTTTTAGAGTGCAACGAGAGAAGAATTACAGTGGCCCAAAGTAGTCAGGAGCAGGAGGAGCAAGAGAGTGATTAAGAGCTCAGTACTGAACTGCAGCTGAAGTTAGAGGCATCCAATGTAAAAGTCCATTGGTGGAGGATGACAAGAGGACCACAAATTGAGCAAAACAATACAATTTGGAGGTTAAGTTCAACTGAAACACAACAGGAAGTGAGAACAAGGGGAACAGGAAAGTAAGGGAATTTAAATTTATTGTCATAAGCAGGACTTAGTATTAGCTCCCTAATACTGCCTCCTAGTGCTACTATGAATGGTGAGTTAGGTTTAAAAGTACATAGGTAGGAAAAATAAATAAATTAATGATTTTCTTCCTCTGGAAATAAAAAAATAGATAATTACATATTGCTTAGAGTGAGATATTAAATGGCATATGGAAAATATGGATTACCAAGCTCTAAAATATTTACAAGTTTTTTCTGGGATCCAATGGAGACCTGATTTGGTATTTTGGAGGATACTCTTAAGTTTATGGGATTTTTCTGATGATTCCTTTTTTAATGCTTAAGTTAACACTGGAAGAAATCCCACAAGCACCAATCACAGTAAACAGAACAATCTATTTTTGAAAGTAGGCATGGTCAAGATGATTTTAATTGGTTATTGTTTTTTTTTTTTCTGCAAGTGAACAAAGAATCAACTTGGCTCTAACTCCTAGTCCTACTTCAAGACAACTTGTTTTTCTTTCCTTTAGAAACTTTCCTTTATGTTTCTCCATTTCTTCTAAGGTGAGTTAGAGCATCTTCAATGTTCCTTTAGTCACATTACATCTAATATTATGACTTTTGAATTGTGCTTAAGAATTCTACTTAATTGTTTTCTCCCATTATTGTGAAAATGAGAACACAGTAACTGTTTCTAACTGCCATAGATCTGTTCTGTTTAATGTGGTAGCCATTAGATACACAAAGATGTTACTTAAATTTAAATGCAGAGTATTATTTAAACTTACATTAAATTAAAATTAATTTCCTCAGTTGCACCAGCCACATCTCTGGTGCACAATAGCCATGTGTGGCTAGTGGCTGCCACTTTGGAAGGCATAGATATAAAGCGCAGCCATCATTGCAACAAATCTATTGGACTGTGCTGCATAAAATTTTTCATAATTTTTATAGAATGAAAGAAAAACATCTATGAGTCAACATTGTTACAAGAATTTGACTTCATGTAGGAAATTGTGGAAATATGCATAAACATATACATATATATACACACACACACGCATACTGAATTTCAGTTTTCTTGGCATGGTACTGTACTTAAATATAAATAAAATTTGAAATATAAACATATTCAACATAAATTAATTCATGAAATATAAATTAGAACCTGGGCATGTTAAATAAAAGCATTCCATTTCACAGAAATGATTAATGACCACAGGTTGTTTGGACAGTCTAGCTTGGTTATTCACTAAGATTAGCTGTTGTACTCTTTAGTTGTTCATATCGAGGATCCATACTGGAGGAAATGGAATGACTAAGAGAGTGAATCTATATAAATCTGTACCATGCCAAACATGGTGTGAATTTCTGTCACACTAAAAGGTGCCTTAACCCTTACTTAAATCTATTTTTTAAAACAGCTTAAGCTATAGAATCCCTTAAAGAGGCAATCTGAGAGACAATGATGTAATGAAAACTGGTCAGAGTTACAAAAGTGCTTTTCACACACAAGTTATATGAAACAGAGAGCTAGAAATCAGCCAGTAAAGGGAAATAATTTTCTGATGGTCTTATTTTTAGCTCTTTGGAAAATTACAGAGATGATCTGATAATTTGATTTTTTATTCCTTAACTCACATAAATAAGACAGGAATGACAAAACAGTTGAAAGAATGTGCTCTTTGGTCCTTAGTGGAATGTGTGCTCCTGCTACTGATCAGAGACTCTCCAGATTTATGCATTTTGCTTCCTTAGCTGGAAATAATCGCAGACCTTCAATTCTACATGAAGAGGGGACAGGAAACCCCTATACTTTGGAAAATATGAGACAATGAAAATTAAATATTGACTGAAGAGGAAAATTTCTAATTGGATGGGAAAAGTTAATACATCGTGGAATAGAAAATGAGACCATACCTCAAAACAGTCTCAGATACATGAACATTTACTAGTTGTATTTTTCCATATAGATACAAAACAGTCTCAGATACATGAACATTTACTAGTTGTATTTTTCCATATAGATCGCCATGTATGGCAGGATGAATTTTTCATTTTCCCCATATGGATGTTCCTACATTGAATGTTTTCTAATCTCTGCTATTCTTTTATAAATATTCTGAAGACATCATACTTCTTATTAAATAAATACAAACAACTCTCTCCATTGCAATAATTATGCAAACAGAGATTATTGCTTTTGCTTGCACCTGATGGAAATCTGTATATTCAAATATTTATTTTACTTCATATATTCTCCATGCTTATTGCCTTTTTTTAGATTTTTATTGACATAGCTGTACACATTTTGGGGGGATATGTGATATTTTGATACCTATATACAATGTGTAATGATAAAATCAAGGTAAGTAGGATATCAGTCACCTCAAATATCGATCTTTTCTTTCTATTGGGACCATTATAATTATTTTCTTCCAGCTATTTAAAAATATACAATAAGTTATTACTAACCGTAATTTCCCTTTATTCCATCTATACAATTTTATTTGTATGCCTTTAACCAATTTCTCTGTAACCCTTTTGTTTTTTAATTCTACATCCCATGACCTGTCTCCTTTCCCAATGTTCTTTTCTATCTATTCTTATAAACACTAGGCCTTCCCTTCTGAACTACAGTGTGGTCTTTGTTGAAGTCTTTAAATTTCTTTCTAAGATAATCTGATGGGAGTTTTGGGGTGATGGAATAATGGCTCCCAGTATAAAAGAAATCCATGTGTTATAGCTTATCCTAACATAAAATAGAAGGTCTATACTTTGGGAACAACAATATTCATAATGAAAGTAGACACAAGCTTTTTTTATGCTTTGTAGTGTGATTATTATATGTTAAAACTTTATCTTGTTAAAAATTTTAATCTGCCAAAGTATTATTACAATCTTTAGTTTGGTCATGACTTTTGGTCAATTTTGTATCATTATTTGTAAAATACTCCATTATATTTGTCCAGAGTTTTGGAATTTGACCCACTTTTGTTCCTGCCCACTTACTGCTATATAGACAGAATCAGAATCTGCATATGTAATTGATATCATCGTAAATTTTAATTGGTCTTGGCCATCAAATCTGATTTTGGACACGGATGGAATGACTCCAGTATAAAACCTTCTTGGCTGTAATAGTAATTTTTCTTTGCATGCTGGCTTCATCAAAAAATTTTTAATGTCATTTTCTATTATAGCAGTTTTGGAAGCATAGGTAACTGGACATTTCAGAAATGTCAGTGACTTATCTTTCAGAAATACAGGAGATCTTATTATGGGAGAAGGATCCTGTGAAATTGTCGATATTTGAAGACAGCAGAGGAGCTCTTTGACTCTATTTTCTGCTTTTTTGTTTTGTTTTGTTTTTTTTGTTTTTTTTGAGACGGAGTCTTGCTCTGTCACCCAGGCTGGAGTGCACTGGAGTGCCATCTTGGCTCACTGCAAGCTCCGCCTCCCGGGTTCACGCCATTCTCCTGCCTCAGCCTCCGCAGCAGCTGGGACTACAGGCACACACCGCCACGCCCGGCTAATTTTTTTTTTGTATTTTTAGTAGAGATGGGGTTTCACCGTGTTAGCCAGGATGGTCTCCCATCTCCTGACCTCGTGATCCGCCCGCCTCAGCCTCCCAAAGTGCTGGGATTACAGTCGTGAGCCACCACGCCCGGCCTTTGACTCTATTTTCAAACAGCTGTTCCAATGATATTTCCGTAGTGCAAGTACAATATGAGCATATCACCACTACTCTACTTTAATATTTCCATGTCCTCGCACCCCTGGCATAAATTTCACATTCCACAGCGTGGTTTACAAGTTTTGAATATGTTCCCTAATATTTTTCCAACCTTATCTCCATCCATTTCCTGCCTCTCATATGCTGCTCCTAATAAGCAGTCTGTCTTTGTATCATAAGCAGGCTGCTGTCCTAATCATCACATTCTCATTCTTAGGCCTTCACATGTACACTTTCACCACTGCCTTGATATCTTACGATATCCCTTCTACATCCCAGACAGTTACTTAGCTTCTGTTCTTTCGTTTGACTCTCAATATCTGCTCAGCCCTTTTTTTTTTTCCTGTGAAGTTTTTGACTATTCTTTGCTCTATACACAGCCAAATAACTAGAATCCCTCCTTCGTGAACTTGGAATGGATAGAGAAAGGAGGAAAATTTTGAATTTTTTCATGAAGATAGAAAATAAAAATCTATTAATTATTGCATCTGGATAATGTGTGATTCCCACTAAGTATTTTGATCATGGGATATCTATGGGGGCCTCTTTTTAAAATCTCTACAAATGCCTTGTTTCCCTCTAGGGAAACAGTCATCACATTATATATTTTTTGTAGATATAGAGACACATTTTGCATGTCCCTTCAAAGAATAACTTACTGTCAAGCTTCAGGGAATGTGTGAGTATGCAGCCTTTATTTGTGAGCTTCTTCAGGATCTGCCTTAGCTGTAGAAATTCACTTTGCCTGAGGTCATAACTTTTCCCTGGGCAGTTTGTCTGTTGACTCTCTGTGGTAGGGCTTAGAAGCCTAGCTATTTACTTAAAAAAAAAAACAAAACAAACAAATAAGGAAAAATTGCACTAAAGGAAAAGAGATAACCGGATTAGAAGATTAAGGACAAAAAGGTCTGGAGTTAGAGGCATATATCAATGGATATATGGGAGCAGCTGCAATGTGAGAAGATCTTTGTGTTCCATATTAGTGTCCACCAGAAAGCATATACTACAGAAGAGGATTTGCACAGCCAAGTAGATAAAATAGACCCATCAGATGACATCAGCTTGTGTGTGTCATAGAGTCTTCTAGTACCAACACAATGAACATATGCATGATGTTGACAGAGTGGTTGTTATGCAGGCTGCACATAAACATAAACCAAATAACACATACTCCATTAAGTTTGATTTACAAGGAGCCACCATCAGATACCAGTGCTGATCTTAGGAAGTTTGAGGGAGCTGGGGCTGAGAGTAATCCTTATATGTGTGTTGGGGAGTCTCTCCTCTATGTGATGGATGCTATAGTTTTGTTGTTGTAAACTGTGCAACAGAGTGAGACAGAGTCTCACTCTGTTGCCCAGGCTGGGGTGCAGTGGCGCCATGTCTGCTCACTGCAAGCTCTGCCTCCTGGGTTCACGCCATTCTCCTGCCTCAGCCACCCGAGGAGCTGGGATTACAGGTGCCCGCCACCACACCTGGCTAATTTTTTGTATTTTTAGTAGAGACGGGGTTTCACGGTGTTAGCCAGGATGGTCTTGATCTTCTGACCTCATGATCTGCCCGCCTCAGCCTCCCAAAGTGCTGGGATTACAGGCGTGAGCCACTGCTCCCGGCCCGTATGCTGTAGTTTTAGGAAAGATAGTAGGTTTTTGACTATATGTCTTTGTTTTATTAACCCTATATTATCTCTTCCACATTGTTTTTTGTGCCTGCTGCCTAATTTTTGTGACAACTGCTTCCATAAGGGCATCCTTGCTGCTTTGAGAACGAACCGCCCATGGACTTCATGGTTTCTGGGTAGTTTCATATGAGGCTGTTGCACTCTTTCTGGGAGGTGCTTTCCTAATCATTCTGATCTTTTCCTACTAGAAATTTCTGGATAATTTCCAGTTTTCAGTAGTACTTTCATTTATCCTGATTTTATATTTTTCTAGGTTATTTCTTTTGGCATTTGGAGTAGGGAAGTCTGATGAAGTCCTCAGCTCTTTTTCCTTAGACGCCTTCTATATTTCCTATTTCCAAATTCTTAAGGATTCCTTATTTCTATTCTTTTTTTGCACCCTCTGCAGAATCAACCTTATATTGACAAAATATATTTTTACATTTTTGGGTGACATTTACAAGTCCTTAATTAATTAATTAATTTTTTGAGATGGAGTCTCGTTCATTCACCCAGGCTGTAGTGCGGTGGTGTAATCTTGGCTCACTGCAAGCTCCGCCTCCCAGATTCATGCCATTCTCCTGGCTCAGCCTCCTGAGTAGCTGGGACTACAGGCACCTGCCATGATGCCTGGCTAATTTTTTGTATTTTCAGTAGAGACGGGGTTTCACCGTGTTAGCCAGAATGGTCTCGATCGCCTGACCTCGTGATCCGCCCGCCTCGGCCTCCCAAAGTGTTAGGATTACAGGCGTGAGCCACCGCGCCCGGCCCAAGTCCTTAATTTGTAAGTCTTGAGTATTTTGGTTAGCAATAATTAAGACATGTACTAAACACATACTAACTTGTAGTGTATTTGAAATAACATTGCACTTGGCTACCAAGATTTTATACCCCTCAAATAATCTTAGCATTGGAAATAAAGTAGTAATAATAATAATTACTTGTTTCAGTTACTGTACTAGGTGTCTTTATGTATATTATTTTTAATCCTCACCCAATTTTATAAAAAGTATTATTTCTCATGTTTTTTTCAGTGGAGGAAACCAGGACTCAGCAAAGTTATATTAACTAGTACATGAACTCCGTGGGTTCAGGAGCATCTCTGTATAGTGCTGCCATCTAGTCTTGTCTCCTCATTTTCCATGAAATAAGGAGACTGAGGCCGGGCGTGGTGGCTCATGCCTGTAATCCCAGCACTTTGGGAGGCGAAGGTGGGCAGAACACGAGGTCAGGAGTTTGAGACCAGCCTGACCAACATGGCAAAACTCCGTCTCTACTAAAAATACAAAAATTAGCCCAGCGTGGTGGCGCGCGCCTGTAATCCCAGCTACTTAGGAGGCTGAAGCAGGAGAATTGCTTGAACCCAGGAGGTGGTGGTTGCAATGAGCTGAGATCGTGCCACTGCACTCCAGCCTGGGTGACAGAGCGAGACTCTGTATCGAAAAAAAAAAAAAGAGACTGAGTCTAGTGAAGCCAGTGGACTTGCTCATCATCACGCAGCTAGTTAGCAGCAGAATGAGGACTTGGATCCCTGAACTCCTGACTCACATTCCGGTGCACTTTTCACTACAGCAGGACACCTTGGCTCCTGAGCCCCAAGTGACAGCCCCAAACAGCTGTGTTTATCTGTCTTGCATGTCCCAGCTTGTTTTGCTAGCTGAGCAAAAACTACTTAAAAGGATCCTCAATCTTCACCTTCCCACTCCCTTCCACTTCTACTCATATACTCCCACTTGCCCCATGAATGACTTCACAGAAACAATTGTGCAATGTCACTAAGCCTTCCTCTGGTGTCAGAGTTACTCCCTGAGAGAGCATTCACTTCCTCATGACTCCGGTTTACTGGTTAGATTGGCTTTCCCTCTCTTCTCTTTGATCGGAATCTTCGTTGTTTAGGCAGGAATTTGAGGAGCAGATGTTATGCCTCTTGAACAGGCCCTTTAATTCTCCTTAATACTGTGTCTAATGACTCTTAATCCTGTCCTTTTAACTCTGTGGCTAGCAGATTTCGGAGTGAAGTGAGACAGGAATGATGAGCTTGATGCTGAACATTTCATTTTAATGTTGGCAAAGTAGTCTACAGAGAGTACATGACAAACAGTGAGACAGAGGGAACATGTTAAAAGTGTTCCTATATAGCAGAAAAACAATGTGAACATTAGTGTGGGATCACTGAAATTTTGGGTTTCCCGTCAAATGTAGATAGAACAGTTTGGTTGATTAGTTTGCCAGAGAAATGGAGCCATTGACTGTTTCTACTTTGTCTTCTTAAACTTTTATATTTTTCAGATTTTCATTTCCCTTTTAAAATAAAAATAAATCATCAGAAGAAACAAAGTGATCTCTTATTTTTCATGGTTACTGGAGAAAATTATACTTCCCCCAAATGGGAGTAGCATTAACAAGCATATATCCTGTGAACTGATTCCTTCCATTCTTTAGAGACTTTGGTTTAGCGCTCTGAACTTTCTGATTATCAGATCTTATGTGTTTGCTAATATATAAAATAACAAATTAGACATAATGCCCTATAATTTTCTCAATTTGATTAATTGCCTGAAATTTGATCTATCAGTCAGTGTTTGATTAGAATAGAGAAATCACATGTAATTTGAACAAGGAAAGATTAATACGAAGAACTGCTAGCTATAACAGGGTTTTGGAGCAATGAGGATTGGCTAGTAAAAAGTAAAGAGAACTCTAAGGAATATAAGAATAACAGATAAAAGGAGCATCAACCCCTGGGGTTAAGATAGAACATCCAGGGCCTCTGGGATTAAGATCCAGACCCTGTTTGAGGGGGCATGGCTGTGGCTCACTGAATGAAGAGAAGTTGCTGTGGTAGAAATCTGTCTCATCCGAATCACTCTGCTATAATACTGCCTTGTGGAGGTACTGGTGGAAGATACTGGGTGCTGCTGACTGCTGTGCACTTCAGGAGCCTGACAATGGAGCAAACTGCACGGGTTCTGGATCTGGACACTGGAGAAGCTGTGTTGCAGTACAGAAGCCTGCCAAGAGGAGCACACAAGACTCTTGGAAAGAAGAGGAAAATCTCCTCTTACAATGTCGATCTAACATCATGCCAACTAGCAAAGGAAAAATGTTTAAAGGGTCCAAGTTCATTTCTGCAGAGCAGACAGGAAAGGATGAATTCAGAGCTGAGAGAAAATAAGTGGACAACTGGCACATTTGGTCAAACTTGTAATTTTATATCTTAGATGGACAAATTTAAACCCAAGTCCATAGGTGTTTTCCTTACAAGCTTACATTTAAATTTGCGATCCTGGTCAGAATTTTGCTAAGGACTTCATTCTTTCCCAGTGTTTCAGGAAGGCTACCATGGGGCCAGAGCCACTTTTCTTTATTGTAAGGTCCTGGGCTGTGGCCCCTTTTGCTTTTCTGGGCTCCTTTCTCATGGGCATCTGTTTTGGGAGCTTCATTTCCTCATCTGCTTTGACACTTTAATCTTGGACGTTGTAGTGAAATGCTTCACATTGTCACACATTCTAATCTCAGAGACCACTCCAAATCTTTTTGAATTTTCTTGGCCATTGGAATTAGTACTCTGGAATCAGTACATTAAGAATGGTTTTTTAAAAACTATGAGCTAGAATTTCAACATTTTAGAAGAAATGGTCAGTATAAATTTGGAGAAGCAGTTTCTAGCTAGTAGTAGCTGTGCAGAAAAACAGTTTTATTGATAAGTATCTGATTTGGATTTAGGAACCAGCTAGGATGAAAAATTCAATTGAGGTCTGGCCAGTTAGACATAAATTTTATTTTTCCTTTATATTCTGTGTCCAAAAGACAAATTGTCATGAGTTATTTTTTTTTTTTTTCTGAAGTATCCGTTTGTTTCTCAGCTTTGGAATTAGAGGTGTAGAAAATAAACGGGACTCAACAGCCTAAGATTTTGTTTAAAAAGATGTTCTTATTTATTTATGTTAAAAAAATTTCTAAACTTTTTTTTTTTGCAAGAAACTGTATGTCAGCATTTTCACTTTTGATAGATAAATTTTATATTTGGGATTTTGATTATGAAGTTCTTTCTGCACCAGAATTCCTTATGGATTTTTGTAATAATCTGTATTTAGTGTGTTTAATTATTTGCTTTCCATTTATATTTATTTTGGGATTTCTTTTTTAAGAGAATGGCACCTGTGACAGCATACTGTTAATATTACCCTTGTATCGTACTTTACCATGCCATCTCTGAAGAATGTTACAGACCATTTTGGAGCATGGTGAATAACAAATTTTTACCTTAGGAGTTCACTTGAATAGTCGTTTTTATATTTGTGACTGCAAGTCACTTTTAGGGGCTGTACTTCCTTAGTACTGGTAGCATTATTATCCAATGGACTTTTATAGCTTTCATTAGGTTTTCTTTTGTTTTTGTTCTTTAAAGAACATTTTACTTATCTTAGTATTTCATTTTTCATCTATATTATGAGGCAGTAAGAGTCTTCTGTTTTTCCAAAGTGGAGACTGCTTTATATTTATTTCATATTGTCTACAGCTGTAGTGTTCAATACAGTAGCCACTGGCCACATGGGGTTATTTAAATAAGATGAAATAAAAATTGGCCGGGCGCGGTGGCTCACGCCTGTAATCCCAGCACTTTGGGAGGCCGAGGCGGGCAGATCATGAGGTCAGGAGGTCGAGACCATCCTTAATAAGACGGTGAAACCCCATCTCTATTAAAAATACCAAAAATTAGCTGGGCGTGGTGGCGGGCACCTGCAGTCCCAGCTACTCAGGAGGCTGAGGCAGGAGAATGGCTTGAACCTGGGAGGCAGAGTTTGCAGTGAGCCGAGATGGCGCCACTGCACTCCAGCCTGGGGGACAGAGCGAGACTCCTTCTCAAAAAAAAAATAAAAAAAAATTAAAAAAAATAAAAATTAAGTTCTTTAGTTGCACTAGCCATATTTCAAATACTTGATGGATACCTGTGGCTAGTGGCTAACATAATGGATAGCACAGATATAAAACATTTCCTCGTCATATAAAGTTCTATTGGATAGTGCTGGTCTGTAGCTTATAGGATGGTATCTTAGTCTGCTTCAGCTGCTAAAACAGAATACCATAAATTAGGTAGCTTAATCAGTAGATATTTTGACCAGGCATGGTGGCTTATGCCTGTATTCCTAACACTTTGGGAGGCCGAGGCAGGTGGATAACTTGAGCTCAGGAGTTTGAGACTAGCCTGGGCAGCATGGCAAAACCTTGTCTCTACAAAAATTAGCTGGGCATGGTGGTGCACGCCTGTAGTCTGAGCTACTTGGGAGGCTGAGGTGGGAGAATTGCTTGAACCTGGGAGGTGGAGGTTGCAGTGAGCCATGATCGCACCACTGTACTCCAGCCTGGATGACAGAATGAGACTCTGTCTCAAAAAAAAAAAAAAAAAAAAAAAAAAGAAGAGATATTTCTCACAGTTCTGGAGGCTGGAAGTGCAAGATCAAAGTGTTGGCAAATTACGTTTCTTAAAGAGGGCCTGCTTCCTAGATTGGAAATGGCCATCTTCTCTCAGTATCCTCACATGGTAGGGAGAAAAGCAGCTCTAGTGTCTCTTCTTATAAAGGAAGTAATGCCACTATAGGGGCTCTATTCTCATGACCTCATCTAAACCTAATTCTCTCCTAAAGGCCACGCCTCCCAATATCCTCACCTTGGGGGTTAGGGCTTTATCATATGAATTTTTTTTTTTTTTTTTTGAGACAGAGTCTCGCTCTGTCTGTCACCCAGGCTGGAGTGCAGTGGCACAATCTCGGCTCTCTACAAGCTCCGCCTCCTGGGTTCACGCCATTCTCCTGTGTCAGCCTCCTCAGTAGTTGGGACTAAGGCGCCCACCGCTGCGCCCGGCTAATTTTTTGTATTTTTAGTAGAGACGGGGTTTTACCATGTTGGCCAGGATGATCTCGATCTCCTGACGTGGTGATCCACCCGCCTCGGCCTCCCAAAGTGCTGGGATTGCAGGCATGAGCCACCGCGCCCGGCCTATCATATGAATTTTGAGGGAACACAAACATGCAGTCTGTAGCAGATGGTAATAGGCTGATATATTGCACTTGTTGATGTAAATCTGATAGGTTTCTTTCTCTCCAAGGACAGCTTTTAAAATATTTAACAATACCAATAATTTTTCAGGTTCTGTGAGAATTTTGTAATTTATAAGTTGCAGACTTAAAATAATCTATAATCTATTTTGTCCTAACAATTACAAATATATTTTTTTATTTCAGATTATATGTATTCCTACCAGATGGAGATAATTACAGCTTTAAAAATTTTTATTTTTTCATTTTATTTCACATATTGACATTAAATTTTTATTGACACATACTTGTACATATATATGGGGTACAATGTGATGTTTTAATACATGTACTCAATGTGTAATGATCAAATCAGGGTAATTTGCATAATGATTTTTCTGTAGGGAGAAAATTCAAAATCTACTCTTCTGGCTATTTTCAAATATATAATATGTTATTGTTAACTATACTCATCCTACTATGCAATAGGACACCAGAACTTATTCCTGGGTTCTACATCTGTTTATTAAGCCAACCAAGGATTGGAAATATTGGGAAAAAAATTGCGTCTGTACTGAACATGTACAGACTTTTTTCTTGTCCTTATTCCTTACACAATATAGTACAATAACTATTTGCATGACATTTACATTGAATATTATGAGTGATCTAGAGTTGATATGAAGTATATGGGAGGATGTGCAAAGGTGATGTGCAAATACTATGTCATTTTATATCAGGGACTTGAGTATCCTTTGTTATCCTCAGGAGATCCTGAAACTAGTCCCCCATGGATACTGAGGGCTGACTGTATAGTCCTATCCTCACGGAACTTTCATTCTAATGAGGGAAGACTGACTATAAACAAAATATATATAATAGGCGGTGGTAAGTACCGTGGAGAAGTAACAAATGGGGCAAAGTGAGTTATACAGCTCCATTCTTAGAAACCTTGGAGTACTTTTCTTAGTTTATACTCGTGGTGGTTTCCTTTTGTCTCCTTTATTACATGGGACTCTGACATGTGCGCATAGCTAGGGTGGCAGTAGGATCTACCCGATAGTAGGGTGGAAGTAGGATCTACCCAAAAAGCATCCTGCTGATACAGGACCAAAGCATCCTGTTGTTCTCCAGCCTATAAAAAGAGCTAATGGTCTTGCTTCTCTTAACTGTGGCCTCCTACACTGTGTTTTGGACGATTGGTGATGTCTTGGATATTCTGTTTCTTTGGAACTTTGAATATACAACACTTTACTAGGGAATTAGCAATGGAAGCAGAGCAAAGATGTACAGAGGAAACAATGCATAACTCTGATGGAATTGAAGTCATGAGGCAGCAGAAAGCTGAAATAGGCAGAGTGGGAGGGTTAGAGGGAATTCAATTGGGAGTAACAGAAGTAATAGTTAACGGAGCCAGAATGCTTGAGTGATATAATTGGAAAGCAGAGTTGGGAGCAATAGGTGCTAAAGAGTAGTTGCTGTAGTTCCTCTCTGGGTGGTAGGAGCAGTTGTCATATTACTATATAGCTACTGAATGAAGAAGAGTTCTTAGTGAGGTCTGGGTGAACAGCTCTTCTTAGTATTCTGTGTGACCCCATTTGACCTTTTAGCAAATCTCTAAGTCAATAAATAGCCCCTAAGGTAAACTAAGTTTTTCTCTGCTATTTTTTTGCTTGAGAGAGCTATAACTGTAATAGACTTATATTTCTGAACATTTTAGTGCTTGCCAATATTTGGTAATATTTATGTTTCCTATATTTGTAATGAACATACTTCTTCTGGTACACTTTTTGTAAATTATTGTTTCATGCATAAAAGTTCGCCTTTTATTGTATAAAATTCACTCAGATTAATTTATACACATTGACAATGGGTAAATAGAATTTTTCGGATAATTAAAAGCTGAAGGATGCCCATGTAAGCAAAAAAAAAAAAAAAAAAAAAAAAAAAAAACCAACAAATATAAACCCAAACCCCTCAAACAATTTCGAACACAAAACATTCTTCGCATGCCGGCATTCATTCTCAAGCCGGCATCCATGCTTGCAGCTGTGAAGGGGGCAGGAATCAGCGAGGTGACCTGGGCTGAGTCCCGGGAGTGGGAAGAGGTGGCAGGAAGGGGATCTGAGGAGGAGAACAGGGGTCCTGGTGGTCTGTGCTTCTTCCCAGACACGGGAGCTGTAGAGGGGACCTGTGCAGCAGATGCTAGGGGGGCCACTAGGCCCAGGCAGTCTTGGGACTTGGGTCTGTCCTGCTGTGCATCCATAGTGGGTGCTTTAGAAACGCTAGACCCACCAGAAGCCCCTGTTGCAAGTGAGGACAAAGTGTGGGAAGGCCGTGAGGGTCTGCAGTGTGAGATGGCCTTGTCCTCAAGCTGCAGTGCACTGTTGATGCGGGGCCTAGAGGCCTGGGATCTGGCGGAGCCACTCCTGGGGGCGAGTGTCTGCCCTGGTGCTGTATCTGCGTTGTTTTCACAGTGGCTATGACCCGAAGAGACAGCCTGAGGTCCGTCCTCACTCACTGTGTTTGAGGAACTGAGGGCCAGCTGGCAGTGGGATGAGGCTGGCCCCCTCCTCCGCTTTAGTTCCGGGAGGCCTTCCGTAGAGCTGTAGGAGCTCGAGCTGGCATTTCGTTTGGTGCACGATCTGGTCCGGGAGGTCTGGGATCTCTGGTTATATCTCACTTCTGACCTCTGGGCACCTGCTGCAGCTGTGGCTGAGGCCCAGAAATATGAGGGGCCTACATCCATTGCATTGAGTAGTAACCCCAACATGGGGTTCAATGTGGAGGGGGGAGGGGCTGCTGCGGCAGCTGCAGGAGCCAACGTGCCAGGCCTCCTTCTTCTCATGCCGGCATCCATGCTTGCAGCTGTGAAGGGGGCAGGAATCAGCGAGGTATACTGGGCTGAGTCCCGGGAGTGGGAAGATGTGGCAGGAAGGGGATCTGAGGAGGAGAACAGGGGTCCTGGTGGTCTGTGCTTCTTCCCAGACACGGGAGCTGTAGAGGGGACCTGTGCAGCAGATGCTAGGGGGGCCACTAGGCCCAGGCAGTCTTGGGACTTGGGTCTGTCCTGCTGTGCATCCATAGTGGGTGCTTTAGAAACGCTAGACCCACCAGAAGCCCCTGTTGCAAGTGAGGACAAAGTGTGGGAAGGCCATGAGGGTCTGCAGTGCGAGATGGCCTTGTCCTCAACTTGCAGTGCACTGTTGATGCGGGGCCTAGAGGCCTGGGATCTGGGGGAGCCACCCCTGGGGGCGAGTGTCTGCCCTGGTGCTGTATCTGCGTTGTTTTCACAGTGGCTGTGACCCGAAGAGACAGCCTGAGGTCCGTCCTCACTCACTGTGTTTGAGGAACTGAGGGCCAGCTGGCAGTGGGATGAGGCTGGCCCCCTCCTCCGCTTTAGTTCCGGGAGGCCTTCCGTAGAGCTGTAGGAGCTCGAGCTGGCATTTCGTTTGGTGCACGATCTGGTCCGGGAGGTCTGGGATCTCTGGTTATATCTCACTTCTGACCTCTGGGCACCTGCTGCAGCTGTGGCTGAGGCCCAGAAACATGAGGGGCCTGCATCCATTGCATTGAGTAGTAACCCCAACATGGGGTTCAATGTGAAGGGGAGAGGGGCTGCTGCGGCACCTGCAGCAGCCGACGTGCCAGGCCTTGTTCTTCTCATGCCGGCATCCATGCTTTCAGCAGTGAAGGGGGCAGGAATCAGCGAGGTGACCTGGGCTGAGTCCCGGGAGTGGGAAAAGGTGGCAGGAAGGGGATCTGAGGAGGAGAACAGGGGTCCTGGTGGTCTGTGCTTCTTCCCAGACACGGGAGCTGTAGAGGGGACCTGTGCAGCAGATGCTAGGGGGGCCACTAGGCCCAGGCAGTCTTGGGACTTGGGTCTGTCCTGCTGTGCATCCATAGTGGGTGCTTTAGAAACGCTAGACCCACCAGAAGCCCCTGTTGCAAGTGAGGACAAAGTGTGGGAAGGCCGTGAGGGTCTGCAGTGTGAGATGGCCTTGTCCTCAACCTGCAGTGCACTGTTGATGCGGGGCCTAGAGGCCTGGGATCTGGGGGAGCCACCCCTGGGGGCGAGTGTCTGCCCTGGTGCTGTATCCGCGTTGTTTTCACAGTGGCTGTTACCCGAAGAGACAGCCTGAGGTCCGTCCTCACTCACTGTGTTTGAGGAACTGAGGGTCAGCTGGCAGTGGGATGAGGCTGGCCCCCTCCTCCGCTTTAGTTCCGGGAGGCCTTCCGTAGAGCTGTAGGAGCTCGAGCTGGCATTTCGTTTGGTGCACGATCTGGTCCGGGAGGTCTGGGATCTCTGGTTATATCTCACTTCTGACCTCTGGGCACCTGCTGCAGCTGTGGCTGAGGCCCAGAAATATGAGGGGCCTGCATCCATTGCATTGAGTAGTAACCCCAACATGGGGTTCAATGTGGAGGGGGGAGGGGCTGCTGCGGCAGCTGCAGGAGCCGATGTGCCAGGCCTCCTTCTTCTCATGCCGGCATCCATGCTTTCAGCTGTGAAGGGGGCAGGAATCAGCGAGGTGTACTGGGCTGAGTCCCGGGAGTGGGAACATGTGGCAGGAAGGGGATCTGAGGAGGAGAACAGGGGTCCTGGTGGTCTGTGCTTCTTCCCAGACACAGGAGCTGTAGAGGGGACCTCTGCAGCAGATGCTAGGGGGGCCACTAGGCCCAGGCAGTCTTGGGACTTGGGTCTGTCCTGCTGTGCATCCATAGTGGGTGCTTTAGAAACGGGAGACCCACCAGAAGCCCCTGTTGCAAGTGAGGACAAAGTGTGGGAAGGCCGTGAGGGTCTGCAATCCGAGATGGCCTTGTCCTCAACCTGCAGTGCACTGTTGATCCGCTGTAATGCCGCCTCTTTTTCCAGGTGCAGGTCTTCAGCAGTGACCCGGTACCCCCGCTCTAAGGGAGGTGGCAGCATCAAAGGCTCCCCTCGCCTGCGTGGCAGCAGGGGAATCTTGTGTCTATGGGGCCTAGAGGCCTGAGATCTGGGGGAGCCACCCCTTGGGGCGAGTGTCTGCCCTGGTGCTGTATCTGCCGCCTTTTCACACCGTGTGTGACCCGAAGAGACAGCCTGAAGCCTGTCCTCACTCACTGTCATTGCGTAACTGAGGGTCAGCTGGCAGTGGGATGAGGCTGGCTCCCTCCTCTGCTTTAGCCCCGGCAAGTCTCCCGTGGAGCTGTAGGAGCTGGAGATGGCATTTCTTTTGGTGCACGAGCTCGCCCAGGAGGTCTGGGATGTCTGGTTATATCTGATTTCTGAGCTCTGGGCATTCAGTTCTGTCTGCAGAGGCCCGGGCCTGGGCACAAAGGGAGAGAGGCCTCCATTGTCCCGCAGGGGCCGAAATGCAGACCATGCATCCCTGGTGACCTCGGGGACCGTTCTCTGATCATCAGCATTTTCTTGGACTCCAGGGTCCTCGTCCTGCTCAGGCATCCCTGCCCCGCTCTCCTGCCCTGCTGGCCCCCTCCTCCACTTTAGCCCCAGCAAGCCTCCCACGGAGCTATAGGAGCTGGAGATGGCATTTTGGTTGGTGCACGAGCTCGTCCAGGTATTCTGGGATGTCTGGTTATATCTGATTTCTGACCTCTGGGCATGGAGGTATGTCTGCAGAGGCCCGGGCCTGGGCACAAAGGGAGAGAGGACTCCATTGTCCCGCAGGGGCCGAAATGCAGACCGTGCATCCCCGGTGACCTTGGGGACCCTTCTCTGATCATCAGGATTCTCTTGGACTCTAGGGTCCTTGTCCTGCTCAGGCATCCCTGCCCCGCTCTCCTTGAGGGCCCTCAACACTATCTTCCCTGGACACAAGTCTGGGGACAGCCGGGTGTTGTGAACCCCAATGGGGTGACTACCTGCTCCTGGGGCCCCACAGAGTCCTTGTGCTCAGTGTAGTGGCCGAGCTGGAGGATGCCCTGGAACTCGGAGCACACAGCACTGACTTGCTATGGTACCTGTGCAGTGAAATTGAAGGCAGAATCACCAGGATGGAACACAGGTCTTGCAGGATCACGGAAAACCTTCTTGGAGTTGTCTTGACACCACTGATGTCGAGTGTCTGGGTGCTTGTAGGATGACCTGCCACTCAGTCCAGGGGCAGGAGCAACGGGGAGATCCCACAAGCAAAGTGAACTGGGGGATGGGTTGAAGGGGCTCCAGGCAACTGAGCCCTACTCGCAGGTCCTCAGCCTTGGCCCAAACAGGAATGAGGGGCACAGAGTGCCCGGGTAACCGCTCCTGGGAGCAGTGGGGAACCGTCGGATGCTTGAACTCTCGAGAGCTGGGCTCTGAGCGTCCTCATCCAGCTGCCAACTCGGCCAAAGGCTAAGCCAGCAGACTCTTCTGTTGCCGGGCAACGCGCCTTCTAAACCTGAGGGAGTGGGCACGTGAGCACATAATGGCACCAGTGACAGAGCGACCATAATGGATTAATAAGCACAGCCAGGTACTCGCACAAGGCACTTGCTGGCAATGGCAGGAGGCGGACGTGGGGTGTCGTGCAATAGGTACTGGAGGGAGAGACGCGGGCACAAAGGTCGCGGGAGGAGCAGGTGCCCACAGTGGCTGCAGATCTGCCCGTGGATCACTGAAGATTCCTGCTCTCCTGCTGAGGCGGAGACTGCAGTGAGCTGAGATCGCACCATTGCACTCCAGCCTGGGCAACAAGTGCAAAACTCAGTCTCCAGATAAAAAAAAGAAAAAGAAAAAAAAGAGGCCGGGTGTGGTGGCTTATGCCTATAATCCTAGCACTTTGGGAGGTCGAGGTGGATGGATCACGAGATCAGGAGTTGGAGACCAGCCTGGCCAACATAGTGAAACCCCGTCTCTAGTAAAAATACAAAATTTAGTCAGACATGGTGGGCAGGAGAGAGCATGTGCAGGGGAACTCCCATTGATAAAACCGTCAGATCTCATGAGACTTATTCACTACCATGAGAACAGCATGGGGGAAACTGCCTCCATGATTCAATTATCTCCACCTGGCCCCACCCTTGACACATGGGAATTGTTACAATTCCAGATGAGATTTGGGTGGGGACAGAGCCAAACCATATAATGCTTCCCCGGCCCCTCCCAAATCTCATGTCCTCACATTTCAAAAGCAATCATGCCTTCCCCAAAGTCCCCCAAACTCTTATTTCAGCATTAACTCAAAATTCCATAGTCCAAAGTCTCATCTGAGACAAGGCAAGTCCCTTCCACCTATGAGCCTGTAAAATCAAAAGCAAGTTATTTTCTAGATACACAGGGATACAGGCATTGGGTAAATACACTCGTTTCAAATGGGAGAAATTGGCCAAAGCGAAAGAGCTACAGGCCCCATGCAAGTCCAAAACCCAGCAGGCAAATCTTAAAGCTCCAAAATGACCTCCTTTGACTCCATGTGTCACATCTAGGTGATGCAAGAAGTGGGTTCCCAGGGTCTTGGGCAGCCCCGCCCCTGTGGCTTTGCAGGGTACAGCCCCCCTTCTGGCTGCATTGAGTGTCTGCAGCTTTTCCAGGCACACAGTGCAGGCTGTCAGTGGATCTACCATTCTGGGATCTGGAGGATGGTGGCCCTTTTCTCACATCTCTGCTTGGCAGTACCCCAGTGGGAACTCTGTGTGGGGGCTCCAACCCCATATTTCCCTTTGACACTGCCCTACCAGAGGTTATCCATGAGGGCCCCCCCTCCCCCCCGCAGCAAACTTTTGCCTGGATTTCCAGGCATTTTCATACATCTTCTGAAATCTAGGCGGAGGTTCATGAACCTTAATTCTTAACTTCAGAGCATCTGCAGGCTTAACACCACCTAGAACCTGAAAGGCTTGGAACTTGCACCCTCTGAAGCCATGGCCTAAGGTGTACCTTGGCCCCTTTTACCTATGGCAGGAGCAGCTGGGATGCAGGGCACCAAGTTCCTAGGCTGCACACAGCAGGGGGTTCTGGGCCCACAAAACCATTTTTCCTTCTAAGCCTCCTGGCCTGTGATGGGAGGGTCTGCTGTGAGGGTCTCTAACATGCCCTGGATACGTTTGCCCCATTGTCTTGGTGATTAACATTTGGCTCCTCATTACTTATGCAAATTTCTACAACCCAGTCTCCTCAGAAAATAGATTTTTCTTTTCTGTTGCATCATCAGGCTACAAATTTTCTGAACTTTTATGCTCTGCTTCTTCTCGCATGCTTTGCTGCTTAGAAATTTCTTCTGTCAGATACCTTAAATCATCTCTGTCAAGTTCAAAGTTCCACAGATCTCTAGGGAACTCTAGAAAAAAATTCTTATTTTCACTCTTTCCCGCCTATCTTATGCCTGTTTCTAATACAGGTGCACAATGCCTGCAGTGTCTTTGCATAGTAAGAGTGACTTCACTCCATTTCCCAACAAATTCCTCATCTCCATCTGAGACCACCTCCGCCTGGACCTTATTGTCCATATCACTATGAACATTTTGGTCAAAGTCATTCAACAAGTCTCTAGGAAGTTCCAAACTTTCCCACATTTTCCTATCCTCTTCTGAGCCTTCCAACCTGTTCCAGCCTCTCCCTGTTACCCATTTCCAAAGTTGCTTCCACATTTTCGGGTATCTTTACAGCAGCACCCCACTCTACTGGTATCAACTTATTGTATTAGTCTGTTCTCACACTGCAAATAAAGACATACCTGAGACTGGGTAATTTATAAAGGAAAGAGGTTGAATTGACTCACAGTTCTGCATGGCTGGGGAGGCCTCACAATCATGGTGGAAGGCAAGGAGGTGCAAAAGCATGTCTCACATAGTGGCAGGCAGGAGAGAGCATGTGCAGGGGAACTCCCATTTATAAAACCATCAGATCTCATGAGACTTATTCACTACCACAAGAACAGTATGGGGGGAACCATCCCCATGATTCAGTTATCTGCACCTGGCCCCACCCTTGACACGTGGGAATTACTACAATACTAGGTGAGATTTGGCTGGGGACACATCCAAAGTAAATCAGTAGGTTTTGACTTCTTGATTGATTGCTAGGTTGCATAGAGGACAAACATGGAAATTAATTAAGTACGTTAATATCTGGCTTCAGATCTTAGACAGGATCAGAGGGCCAGCTCAAATTTGCAAGGAGGGGAGGTAGATCCCACCATTTTATGGGTGAATGGCAAAATCAAACAGAAATTATGTGGGATGGGAGATACTGATGCAGGCATCTTTGGAAACATTCTACTTAGCTAATTTTATGCTAGGCTTTAGGTCAAGAAGAAGAGAGAGAGCTGACATGCTGTGGTACACACTTATAGCCCCAGCTACTTGGAAAGCTGAGGCAGGAAGATTGCTTGATCCCAGGAGTTTGAGGTAGTGTGCGATGATCGTTCTTGTGAATAGCCACTAGCCACTGAACTCCAGCTTGGGAAACATTGAGACACCCTGTCTCTTAATTTAAAAAAAAAAAAAAAAAAAAAAATGGAGGGAAGAAAGTGATCAGTTTTTAATGTAAATATTTTTAATGGGATAATGATATTTTAAGATTAATGTATATTGTATATCAGTTAACTATAGGTCAATAATTATATAAAACTTAAGGTACGAAAAACATTTATTTTTGCTAACATATCCGTGAGTTGACTGTTCTTGGCTTGGTGAGGCTGCAAGCTGCAGATAGTCTAGGTATGTTTTCTGTGTGTTTGTTCCCCCTTGGATCAGTGGACTACCTGAGAATGTGTTTTTGTCACAGTGATAGAATCACAAGGAAACTCCAGTTCTGGAAGTACATTTTAAGCCATTGCTTCTATCATGTCCACTAACATTCCGTCAGCCAAATCACGTACCTTGTCCATGGCTCACATTGATAGTATAGATAAATATACCTGATCTCTAGCAGGAGGAACTGCATTGTCTTGGGGAAAGGTTGTAGATATAGGGAGGAGTGATGAGTTGGGAACAATAATGTAGTCTGCCACAAACATATTAAAGTGTAACTGGATATGGTTGATGCAGAATTTTGAACCTTTGTTTTAATTCTGATTTTTACTCTTTTCCCCCATCTAGTGCCCGTTTGTAATATAGTAATTCTCATGATTTTTGTCTGAATTGAAATATTCTATGAGATTAGATTGTCTACGAAAATACAGTCGATCCTCCTTGTTTTCAGCTTTTGTATTTGTGAACTCACCTACTATTTTTTGTAACCCCCAAATCAGTACTCACAGCACTTTCATAGTCATGTGTTTGCATAGAGTGTCAAAGAATTTGAGTTTGAACAGGGTGATATTCTGCCTTCTTTTTCAGCTCTCATACAATAGTCAGGTATCCTTTTTGTGGTCTATTTAATGCCATGCTTTTCCTATTTTTGTACTGTTTGTTGGTTGTTTTGCCATTTAAATTAACCCCCAAGCATAGTGCTGAAGTGCTGCTTAGCATTCACAAGTCCAAGAAGTCTGTGATGTGCCTTACAGAGAAAATACATGCATTAAATCAACTCCATTCAGGCGTGAGTGCTGTAGTGCCATTGGCTGTGAGTTCAGTGTTAATGAATGAACAATGTATATTATTTATTTATTCATTCATTTAATTAATTATTATTATTATTATTTTTGAGATATAGTCTCACTCTGTTGCTCAGGCTGGAGTGCAGTGGTGCAGTCTTGGCTCACTGCAACCTCTGCCTCCTGGGTTCAAGCGATTCCCCTGCCTTAGCCTCCCAAGTAGCTAAGACTACAGGCATGCGCCACCATGCCTGGCTAATTTATTTATTTATTTATTTATTTTTTGTAGTTTTAGTAGAGACGGGGTTTCACCACGTTGGCCAGGCTGGTCTCGAACTCCAGACCTCAAATGATCTGCCCGCCTTGGCTTCCCAAAGTGCTGGGATTACAGGCGTTAGCCACTGTGCCTGGCCAACAATATATATTAAATAAGCACACATACAACAAAAGTAGGTGTTGGTAAGCTTACAAAAATATGACCAGTAGCTTGCTGAAACCTAACTTTTTATTTGTTCATGGAACTTTCTAGACCGTAACTACACTGAATAATGAGAATCTGCTGTAATCTTTTTAGGTGCTGTAGATGAGCCATTGGATTAAATTATTACAGTATGTTTCAGACTGCTCTATGTTGAACCCTAGTGAAATGCCTCTCAAACCCTCATAAGGATCACAATCTCATGTCCTTTTTTTTGTTATTAAATGCCCAGTATGTGTTAGCGATTTAAACAAAATTCAAATATAATTTTTTTTTTGAGACAGAGTCTCGCTCTGTCACCTAAGCTGGAGAGTGCAGTGGCATGATCTTGGCTCACTACAACCTCTGCCTCCCGGGTTCAAGCGATTCTCCTGCCTCAGCATCCTGAGTAGCTGGGATTACAGGTGCCCGCCACCACGCTGGGCTAAATTTTGTATTTTTAGTAGAGACGGGGTTTCGCCAGGTTGTCCAGGCTGGTCTGGAACTCCTGACCTCATGTGACCTGCCTGCCTTGGCCTCCTAAAGTGCTGGGATTATAGGCGTGAGCCACATGCCCGGTGTTGACTTTTTAATAATAACCATTCTGACTGGTGTGAGATGGTATGCCATTGTGGTTTTGATTTGCATTTCTCTAATGATCAGTGATATTGAGCTTTTTTTCATATGCTGGTTGGCCGCATGTGTGTCTTCTTTTGAAGTGTCTGTTTATGTCCTTTGCCCACTTTCTAATGAGATTTTTTTTTTCTTGTAAATTTGTTTAAGTTCCTTATCAGTGTTGGACATTAGATCTTTATCACGTGCATTGTTGCAAAAATTTTCTCGCATTCTGTGGGTTGTCTGTTCACTCTGTTGATAGTTTCTTTTGCTGTGCAGAAGCTTCAAGAAGAAAGGAATCCGATTGGTTCTGTGTCTGTCTCTTTTGGTATTTTCAGACTTATGTAGTCATCCATACAGAAAGATGATTAGGAAAATAGGACAAGAATAGCAGAAATCTACATAAAAATGTAGGAAATTAAAATTAGTTACCAGCACACAAAAAACTACTATATGTTATAATTACATACTATAACTCACCCCTCCTTGCCAAATATTCTCTCTCTTTTGACTTCAAAATCATGGCTTATATGTACTTTCTGTATTTCCCAGATGCAAATATAATTAATTGACATTATTTATCTAGGAAATGTTACTGATATCTTAATTGTAGTCATTGGCTTGAGTGACGGGTTTTGGTAATTCAACTACTATTACTTGAAAGTAGTAGATTTCATAGGATACTGTTATAAAATCTTTTCACGCCTGTAATCCCAGCACTTTGGGAGGCCGAGGCGGGCGGATCACGAGGTCAGGAGATCGAGACCATCCCGGCTAAAACGGTGAAACCCTGTCTCTACTAAAAATACAAAAAATTAGCCGGGCGTAGTGGCGGGCGCCTGTAGTCCCAGCTACTTGGGAGGCTGAGGCAGGAGAATGGCGTGAACCCGGGAGGCGGAGCTTGCAGTGAGCCGAGATCCCGCCACTGCACTCCAGCCTGGGCGAATGAGCGAGACTCCGTCTCAAAAAAAAAAAAAAAAAAAATGTTTTTAACCTCTTTTCTGATTTCAGGAGTAATTAGTAATTGTGGTTTACTGGAAAATTCAATGAATAGGGTGTTAAAGGAAGCAATTCATTAATAATATATCTAATCTATTGGGAGACTGAGGCGGTTGGAACTCAGGTTGGGAGACCTGAGTTCAGGAGTTCGAGACCAGCCTGGCCAACATGGCAAAACTCCGTCTCTACTAAAAATACAAAAATTCGCCGGGCATGGTGGTGCCTTCCTGTATTCCCAGGTACTCGGAAGGCTGAGGCAGGAGAATCACCTGAACTCCAGAGGTGGAGGTTGCAGTGAGTCAGGATCGCAGCACTACACTCCAGCCTGGGTGACAGAGTGAGACTCCATCTCAAAAAAAAAAAAAAAAAATTAAATTAAAAAAAAGCGGGCCGGGCGCATTGGTTCAGGGCCGGGCACGGTGGCTCAAGCCTGTAATCCCAGCACTTTGGGAGGCTGAGGCAGGCGGATCACGAGGTCAGGAGATCAAGACCATCCTGGCTAATGTGGTGAAACCCCGTCTCTACTAAAAATACAAAAATTAGCTGGATGTGGTGGCAGGTGCCTGTAATCCCAGCTATTCCAGAGGCTGAGGCAGGAGAATCACTTGAACCTGGGAGGCAGAGGTTTCAGTGAGTCCAGATCATGCCACTGCACTCCAGCCTGGGCGACAGAGCGAGATTCTATCTCAAAAAAAAAAAAAAAAAAAAAGCAACAGAAGCAAATGAGAGTGCCTGGAAGTGGTCATTGTGGGGCATTCCCGTTTGTGTGACCCAGGTCATGTCCCTCCCTAAGCCCTGGTCTCTCTTGCCTCCTGCAGGGCTGGTGAATTACCAGATCTCCGTCAAGTGCAGTAACCAGTTCAAGTTGGAAGTGTGTCTTTTGAATGCAGAAAACAAGGTCGTGGACAACCAGGCTGGGACCCAGGGCCAGCTGAAGGTGCTGGGTGCCAACCTCTGGTGGCCGTACCTGATGCACGAACACCCCGCCTACCTGTACTCGTGGGAGGTAATGGTGGTTTGGGACTTGCTTAAGGGAGGTCTTTTGCCCCCATCTGGTAGCCCTGGCTTCAGCAGGATCCCAGGACAGGTGAACGGGCAGGTGTGGTCCTCTGAGCTTTCTGGTGTTTCCCACCCTTGGTGGGAGGCCCAGATTTTTTATTTATTTATTTACTTTTATTTATTTATTTATTTATTTATTTATGTATGTATTTATTTTTTGTGATGGTCTCACTCTGTCACCCAGGCTGGAATGCAATGGCCTGATCACAGCTCACTGCAGCTTTGAGCTGCAATCCTCCTACCTTGGCCTCCTGAGTAGCTGGGACTACAGGCACATGCCACCATGCCTGGCTAATTAAAAAAATTTTTTTTGTAGGCTGGGCATGGTGGCTCACGCCTGTAATCCCAGCACTTCGGGAGGCCGATGCGGGCGGATCACTTTAGGCCAGGAGTTGGAGACCAGCCTGGCCAACATGGTGAAACCCCGTCTCTACTAAAATAGGAAAATTTGCAGGGCATGATGGTGCACGTCTGTAATCCCAGCTACTCGGGAGGCTGAGGCAGGGTAATTGCTTGAACCCAGGAGGCAGGGGCTGTGGTGAATTGAGATCATGCCACTGCACTCTATCCTGGGTGACAGAGTGAGACTGTCTCCAAAAACAATCCTTTTTATAGAGTTGGGGTCTTACTCTGTTGCCCAGGCTGGTCTTGAACTCCTGAACTCAAGTGATCCTCCTGCCTTAGCCTCCCAAAGTGTAGGGATTCCAGGCATGAGCCATCTCGTCTGGTCAAGGAGAAGGCCCGATTTTGAAGGGCAGGTCCCAGGGTCAGCCAGTGAAGGGCAGAGCCTCTGATTGCTGCTTCTCTGCAGGCCCAGAGGTGACTGCTGGGGTGCATGCACGAGGGGTCTTCCTGCTGTAGGGCAGGCCAGATGGGGCTCAGGCTGTCGGGGCGCTCACAGCTGGCACTTTGGCTGTCGTAGGTGTGGCTGACTGCACAGAAGTCACTGGGGCCTTTGACTTCTACACACTCCCTGTGGGGCTCCGCACTGTGGCCGTCACCGAGAGCCAGTTCCTCATCAGCGGGAAACCTTTCTATTTCCACGGCGTCAACAAGCATGAGGATGCGGACGTGCGTTGGGGCTCCTGGGTCGTCGTGGGGGCTGCTTCTGGTCACCTTCCACTTTAGCCTTCCCTGTGTCCTGCAGTTGAGGGCAGCTCAAGGCAATGAGGCAAATGGCTCCAAACCACCCCATGGTGGAGCCGGTGCTTGGGCTGGAGAGGGGGCCTCATGGGGTGGTTCTCCAGGGTCCTGGCTCTCAGAGGAAGTGCCGCTTCGACAGGGACAGGGGTCACTCGGCTCTGCTGTCCCCTAGATCCAAGGGAAGGGCTTCGACTGTCCGCTGCTGGTGAAGGACTTCAACCTGCTTTGCTGGCTTGGCGCCAACACCTTCTGCCCCAGCCACTATCCCTACACGGAGGAGATGCTGCAGATATGTTACCGGTATGGGATTGTGGTCATCGATGAGTGTCCTGCTGTGGGCCTGATGCTGCCATGAGTCCCTGCTGCGCACCCGCTCTGCCTGGCCAGCCCTCGGGCCACACCGTGACCCTCTGTCCCTTCCCTTCTGGCCCGCTGGCAACTCTTCAACAACGTGTCTATGCATCACCATATGTGGGTGGTGGAGGAACCGGTGCTAAGAGACAAGAACCACCCGCCATCATGATGTGGTCTGTGGCCAACGAGCCTGCGTCCTTCCTGGAATCTGCTGGCTACTCCTTCAAGTCAGTGCCCACTGCCTGCCCTGGGCTGGATCAGGCAGGAGACCCTGGCAGATGGCAGACTGTGGTGGACGTGTGCTATTGGAGATCAGCATCCTGTCCCAGCCCAATGGGAGGGCCGTCCATACCCAGACGGTTCAGGGAACTAAATATCTACCCACCCAAATTGTAGTTTTCTTTTTCTATTTTTTTGAGATGGAGTTTCGCTCTGTCACTCAGGCTGGAGTGCAGTGGCACGATCTCGGCTCATTACAACCTCAGCCTCCTGGGTTCAAGTGATTCTTCTGCCTCAGCCTCCTGAGTAGCTGGGATTACAGGCACAAATGAGCCACTGCGCTTGGCCTGTTTTTTTTTTTGAAACAGGGTCTCACTCTGGTTGCCCACGCTGGAGTACAGTGGCACGATCTCAGTTCACTGCAGCCTCGACTTCCCAGGCTCAGGTCATCTTTCTTCCTCAGCCTCCCAAGTATCTGGGATTATAGATGTGTGCCACCATGCCCAGCTAACTTTTGTTTTTTGATTTTTTTTTTTTTTTTTTTTTTTTTTTTTTGACGAAGTCTTGCTCTGTTGCCCACACTGGAGTGCAGTGGTGGGATCTCGGCTCACTGCAACCTTCACTTCCCAGGTTCAAGCGATTCTCCTGCCTCAGCCTCCTAAGTAGATGGGACTACAGGTGTGTGCCACCATGCCTGGCTAATTTTTGTATTTCTAGTAGAGACAGGGTTTCACCATGTTGGCCAGGATGGTCTCCATCTCTTGACCTTCTGAGCCACCCACCTCGATCTCCCAAAGTTCTGGGATTACAGGCGTGAGCCACCGTGCCCAGCCAACTTTTGCATTTTTTGTAGAGACAGGGTTTCACCATGTTGGCCAGGCTGGTCTTAGACTCCTGACCTCAGGTGATCCGCCTGTCTCGGCTTCCCAGAATGCTGAGATGATAGGCGTGAGCCACTCTGCCCGGCTTATTTTTGTATTTTTAGTAGAGACGGGGTTTTACCATGTTGGCCAGGCTGGCCTTGACTCCTGGCCTCCGGTGATCTGCCTGCCTCATCCTCCCAAAGTGCTGGGATTACAGTTGTGAGCCACCAGTCCTGCCCAACTTTTCTTCCTTACAATTGTGCAGTTCTAACTCGGCATTCAGAGGTGGAGTTTTCATTTGCGGTAGAGGCAGCAGAGGTTGTAGAAATGCTCCTTGAGGCAGATGCCACACCCCAATTTCATGGAGTGCTTTGGGCTGAGCCGAGTCTGCAGCAGGCAGAAGGCTCTGAGATGTTGTCCCAGCCTGGGCAAAGGACAATTCAGAGCTCGGGGGAATAGGGGTGTGCTCAGCACGACTGGGTGGACAGGCCCTTTGTTGTGAATAGTACAGGCTTCCAGGAACGGGTGCCTGAGGCTTCCAGACAGGCTTCTTTGGGAGGTGGCCAGAGGAGATGCCTGTTTCCGGGGCAGGAAATGGAGGGAGCGCCCAGGCTGGAGAGGTTCAGCCAGGCTGTCACAAGGCTCTGAAGCTTCCCATCTGAGGGCCTGGCTGTTGGAGAGTATGGGTTTGGAACTTGAGGCTAGGAGGTTCTGTTCTGTCCTGTGCCAGCCACAGCCTTCGGATGGGCAGAGCAATGATGGGGGGAAGATGTAAAAGAAAAGAACTGAGGAAAGAAGAAGAAAACCAGATTCAACAACAGTCTAGGCCGGATGCAGTGGCTCACGCCTGTAATCCCAGCAGTTTGGGAGGCTGAGGTGGGTGGATCACCTGAGGTTAGGAGTTTGAGACCAGCCTGGTCAACAGGTAGTGAATCCGTCTCTACTAAAAATACAAAAATTAGCTGGGCATGGTGGTGGACGTCTGTAATCCCAGCTACTAGATAGGCTGAGGCAGGAGAATTGCCTCAGGTGAACCGGGAGGCAGAGATTGCAGTGAGCTGAGATAATGCCACTGCATTCCAGCCTGGGCTACAGAATGAGACTCTGTATCTCAAAAAAACAACAACAAAAAACAAAACAAAACAGTCTGTTCTGTGGAGGCCTTGGGCAGATGCTGGGAGCTCTGAGCACGGACTGGTCCCTCTGTTGGGAGCCTCTTCCCTTCATCCTGCCTGGTTAACTTGACTCAGCTTAAAGGCCATTTCTTCTAAGAGCCTGTCCCTGACTCTCCAATCCGGGATGTGTCTGTTGTCTCATAGAGTGCCCAATTCCTACCACCACTTGTCATTTCCATTTGCAACATTTCTTTCATTGTTTGTTTTTCAGAGTCAGGGTCTCACTCTGTTGCCCAGGCTGGAGGGCAGTGGTGCAATCACAGCTCGTTGCCATCTCGACCTCCTGGGCTTAAGCGATCCTCCCCACTCAGCCTCCCAAATAGCTGGGACCACAGACGTGCGCTGCCTTTCCAGGGTAAATTTTAATATTTTTTTCCCCACGAGTCAGAGTCTTGCTCTGTTGCCCAGGCTGGAGAGCAGTGTTGCGATCTTGGCTCACTGCATCCTCTACCTCCTGGGTTCAAACAGTTCTCCTGCCTCACCCTCCCGAGTAGCTGGGATTACAGGCTCATGCCACCATGCCCAGATAGTTTTCTTCTTTATTTTTTGTTGAGATGGGGTTTCACCACGGCCAGGCTGGTCTCGAACTCTTGACGTCGTGATCCACCTGCCTCGGCCTCGCAAAGTGCTCACAGGCTTGAGCCACCATGCCCAGCCCTAATTTTTAAATTTGTTGTAGAAACTAGGTCTTGCTATGTTGCCCAGGCTGGTCTCAAGCGCCTGGTCTCAAGCCTCCCAAAGTGGTGGGGTTCTAGGCGTGAGCCACCTCGCCTGGCACTTGCACTGTTTTCCTGTGCATGCATCTCTACTCCCACTGCCCAGGACCTGTGGACTTAGATTTGAGTCATTACTGAGCACCTAGCACCCAGCCCCGTGCCTACTTCCCACCTCGCACTACCTGTTTGCTTGATGCATTGATAAATATTCCACCTGAATCCACAGCCCATTCACTCCTGTGTTCAAGAGCTATTTCAGGAAGTGAACCTCATTTTCGGCAGTGTTCAGTCCAGTGACCTCAGCTGTGTGTACCTGGCAGGGTGGCTACGCCTCTGGGGGAATTGGATTCAGAGGTGGGGGAGAAAGAGTGTTGTTAGAGAGCTCGGTCTAGGACTAGAGGAACGTGCCCTTATGTAAAACACATCTCAAGTTAGGGAAGAAAGCAGCGGCTCTGTGCTTTGTGTTTTTTTTTTCTTTTCTTTCTTTCTTTTTTGTTTGTTTGTTTGTTTGTTTGTTTTGAGGCAGGGTCTTGCTCTGTGGCCCAGGCTGGAGTGCAGTAGCCTGATTTCGGCTCACTGCAACCTTCACCTCCCGGGTTCAAGCAATTCTTGTGCCTCAGCCTCCCGAGTAGCTGGAGTTACAGATGCGTGCCACTATGCCTGGCTAATTTTTGTATATTTAGTAGAAATGGGGTTTTGCCATGTTGGCCAGGCTGTTCTTGAACTCCTGACCTCAGTGATCTACCTGCCTCAGCCTCCTGAAGTGCTGGGATTACAGATGTGAGCCATCGTGCCTGGCCCCCAGTTGTGTTCTGACAGGGGAAGATGGGACAGAGAGGATGGGAGGGTGTCTGAGCCTTTCCCAGACTGACGGAACCTGTGTCTTCTCTCTTTTGTGGACAGGATGGTGATTGCTCACACCAAAGCCTTGGACCCCTCCCAGCCTGTGACCTTTGTGACCAACTCCACCTACGCAGCAGACAAGGGGGTGAGCCTGGGGGTCCCCACCCCATTTCTCCCTGCCTTTGCCTGGGCTTGTCCTGAAGCCTGCTCATGGGAACAGCTGGAAAGAGCCATGTGCTGCCAGTCTGAGCTTTTTATTTTGTTTTACTTAGAAAGATAGAGACAGGGTCTTGCCATGTTGCCCAGGCTGGTCTCGAACTCCTGGGCTCAAGTGATCCTCCTGCCTCGGCCTTCCAGAGGGCTGGGGTTACAGGCATGTGCCACCGCACTCAGCCGCAGCCAGTCTGTTTTCAAAGATGGTCTTTGGGTTAATTACAATTCTCTCTCTGCTTACTCTCCAGGCAGTGTGGCTTTCTGAATCCAAGGAGGCTGGGCATAGGGAGATGGGATTTGTTTTGCTCAGTTTGGACTCAGCATTTTTTGTACTCGATTTAATAGACTCATAAAATGTCAAAGGTTTAAGTGAGCTTAGAGTTCGTCTGGCCCAAACCTGGCTGATCAGAATCTCCAGGGGAAGTTTTTTTTGAAATGCCAGATCTCTGCATTCTGATATCCTGATTTAGTAACTCCAGGGTTGGAACCTGAGTTTTTTTTTTTTTTTTTTTTTTTTTTTGTGAAGGCAGGGTCTTACTCTGTTGCTCTGGCTGGAGTGCAGTGGTGTGATCACAGCTCACTGCAGCCTTGAATTCCTGGGCCTAAGCAACCCTCTTGCCTCAGTCTTCCAAGTAGCTGGGACTCCAGGTGTACACCACCGTGCCCAGCTAATTTTAAATGTTTTTGTAGAGATTGGATCTCACTATGTTGCCCAGGCCAGTCTCAAACTCTTGAGCTCAAGTGATCCTCCTGCCTTAGCCTCCTAAAGTGCTGGGATTACAGGCATGAGCCACTGTGCCTGGCTGATACTAGCATTCTTTTTTTTTTTTTTTTTTAAAGATAGAGTCTTGCTCTGTTGCCCAGGCTGGAGTGCAGTGGCACAGTCTCAGCTCACTGCAACCTCCGCCTCCCAGGTTCAAGCAATTCCCAGGTTCAAGCAATTGGGGGCATAGGTGGTGACATCCCACTTTTGTTTGACTCTTGCTCAGAACCTTTTGGCCCAGCTCAAATCTACCATCTACCTCTTAATTCTGACCCTTCCCATGGGCTGCCACATCCTATTAGAAATATCCTATCCCACCTGGCGCGGTGGCTCACGCCTGTAATCCCAGCACTTTGGGAGGCTGAGGCAGGTGGATCTCCTGAGGTCAGGAGTTCGAGACCAGCCTGACCAACATGGAGAAAGCCTGTCTGTACTAAAAATACAAAATTAGCTGGACATGGTGGCGCATGCCTGTAATCCCAGCTACTTGGGAGGCTGAGGCGGGAGAATTGCTTGAACCTGGTAAGTGGAGGTTGCGGTGAGCTGGGATCACGCCATTGCACTCCAGCCCGGGCAACAAGAGAGAAACTCTGTCAAAAAAAAAGAAAAAAAAGAAAAAAACAAAAGACAGAAAGAAAGGGAAAAAAGAAATATCACATCCTGTTTCTCTCCTAAATTGGGAAAACTTACAAGGAACTACAGTAAAGATCTATGAGAATAGTGCAAAAAGGGGAAAACCAAAGAGTTCCTAAAAATTCCTATTCTCTTAAAAGTAGCAAACCAAATTGCTGTTACCCTCTACATGGTCCATTTCCCACATGGTTTTGGAAGTACAAATTGGGTAAACACCAATTTTTAGCTATTACTATTTCTGCTATTTTAAAAATAATCTTGGAAGGGTAGTTTTTTGAAAGGAGAGAGAGGCATGACATGGCAGGAAATTAGAAAGATTTTAGTTTAAAGCAAAATTTGTGACTGTTGATTAAAGTGATAGAAAATATGGAATATCATGCTGCCTCAGGTTATATGAGGGAGGGATAGGAGGATTATTTTTTGGCATTCCTGCCAATAATTCATGGAGTTAACTGACCAGTCACCTATTATATCCATAATTATGATGAGCTGCTGTGAAAATGTCACAGGGTGAACCACAGCTTGCTTTGATGTTGTCTCCATGCCCATAAAAATTGTCTCTGTCACTTCCAATCTTTCTAAACAGGTTCCTGCAATGTCTTTAGGGTTGGTATAATGTTAGCTTCAAAATACATATTATATTTAAAGATGCATTCAGCACATTTTCCTCTACAGGAGTAAGCTTAAAACAAATTATTGTGTATCATAATACAGCTTTGGCGTTTACAGTAATTCTCAGGCAAAGCTCAGGGTATAAGTATGTACTTTGTAAAGTAATAGGACTTAAATTCATTAAGTAAATCTATTGCTACCCTTGGTGCTTCTTTCTTATCTTCATTGAAGTTATTTCTTTTGTTTCACATGAAATAGAGAAAAACTCTAAAACTTGAGAAATTTTAAAGTAACATTGTAATATTTATATTTTTAATTATAAACATTGGTTTTCAATTTGAGCTTTAATCTTGAATCTTATAATACATGACCATAACAAATTTGCGTGAGTTTCAATGTTTCTGCTTTCCTACTAATATAACAGTGTTTGTATTTTACTTCACATGCAGGGTTCTGTTAAGTTTTATGTTAGATGCTAATGTTAGTGGACTTTAGTTAAAACATTAGAGAAGTCAGAATTAATGAAATAACTATCCTATGGAAACAATACCATCTTCTTTTCCAGATAAGGTTCAGGGAAGCTAGGCAACTTATGTAGATCACATAGCTAATAATTTGCACCAACATTAACTTTTTCCAGAATTTTCAAACACTTTTAAAACTAGATAGCAGTATAATGAACATACATGTGCCATTGCCAAGCTTACAATAATTAACCCTTGACCAGTCTTATTTAATGAACACTTCTTCCTACTTTCCCTCTCCTTCTGTTTTATGTTGAAGCAAATATTCATATTACTTACATCTTGTATTAGTCCGTTTTCATACTGCGATGAAGAAATACCCAAGACTGGGTGATTTATAAAGAAAAAGTTTAATGGACTCACAGTTCCACATGGCTGGGGAGGCCTCACAATCATGGCAGAAGGTGAAGGAGGAGCAAAGGCATGTCTTACATGGTGGCAGGTAAAAGAGAGCCTGTGCAGGGGAACTGCCCTTTATAAAACTTTCAGACCTCATGAGACTTACTCACTATCACAAGACCATCACGGGAAAAACCCACCCTCATGATTAAGTTGCCTCCCAGCAGGTCCCTCCCACAACACCTGGGGATTATTGGAGCTACAATTAAAGATGAAATTTGGGCGAGGCCACAGCCAAACCATATCATGTCTAAAAGTAAAAAATTATTAGAGAAATTACCAGAAGTATGATGATTATACTTAAAAATTATAATTTATTAATATTAAATATAAGGGACTCAAATTTCTCTCTTTTCAAATTACTTGTTTTAGTTAGGATTATGAGATTAATACATTGAAAGTGGTTGATGCACTTGGTATTTTTAACCTAAAGCTCCCCTCCCTTCTTTTTATTTTTCTTATAATTCAATTGTTGAACCAACAAGGTTGTTTGATGGAATTTTCCAGTCTAATTGCCATCTTTTTGTAACACTCACGGACTCAACGTAAAGGAATGAAGAAAAATCTATCACGCAAATGGAAAGCAAAAAAGAGGAGTCATCATTTTTGTATCATAAAAAATAGAGTTTAAACTAACAACAGTATAAAAGGACAAAGAAGGGCATTACATAGTGATAAAGTGTTCGATACAACAAGCAGACTTAGTTATCCTAAACATATATGCACCTATTTATGCACTAAACATTGGAACACCTGGATTCATAAAACAAGTACTTCTAGACTTATAAAAAGGGTTAAACAGCCACACAATAATAGTGGGTACTTTGACACCCCACTAACAGTGTTAGATAGATCATGAAGGCAGAAAAGTAACAAAAAAAATACTGGACTTAAATTTGACACTTGACCATTTGGACCTAATAGGCATCTACAGAAAACTGCACTCGTCAATCACAAAATATACATTCTTCTGGTCTCCACAAGGAACATACTCCAAGATTAACCACATGCTGAATCATAAAGCAAGTCTCAATAAATTTTAAAAATTTGAAATCATACCACCAATACACTCAGACCACAGTGGAATGAGAATAAAAATAAATACCAAGAAAATCCCCCCAAACTACAAAATTATATAGAAATTAAACAACTTGCTTCTAAATGACTTTTGGATAGACAACAAAATTAAGTCAGAAATAAAAGGATTCTTTGAAATTAATAAAAACAGAGACACAATATACCAAAATCTCTCAGGTGGAGCAAAAGTAGTGTAAGGAGGAAAGTTTATAGTGCCAAATACCTACCTCAAAAAGTTGAAAAGTTTTAAATTTGTGATCTAGCATCACATCTAGAAGAACTACAAAAACAAGAACAGTATAGTCCCAAAGCTAATAAAAGAAAAGAAATAACTAGAATCAGGCTGGAACTGTACAAAATTGAGACCCAAAAATCCATACAAAGGATCAATGAAAGAAAATGTTGGTTCTTTGAGAGGATAAAACAACATTCATAGACTGCTGCTAGATTAACAAAGAAAAAAACAGAGAAGATCCAAATAGGCACAATCAGAAATGACAAAGATGGCATTATAACTAATCCCACAAAGATACAAAAGATCCTCGGAGACTTTTATGAACACCTGTATGTATAAAAACTAGAAAATTTAGAAGAAATGGATAAATTCCTGCAAACTCCAAACCTCCTAAGGATGAACTGAAAGAAATTGAAATCCTGAACAGATCAATAATAACTTCTGAAATTGAATCAGTAATAAAAAACCTATCAACCAAAAAAAAAAAAAAAAAAGAGCTCTGTACCAGATAGATTCACAGCCAAATTCTGCCAGATATACGAAGAGGCTGACATCATCCTGATACCAAAACCTGATAAAGACACAATGAAAAAGGAAAACTACAGGTCAATATCCCTGATGAACACGGATGCAAAAATCCTCCGCAAAATACTAGCAAACTGAATCTAGCAGCACATCAAAAAGTTTATTCATCATCACCAAGTAGGCTATATTCCTTGCATGCAAGACTGGTTTAACATATGCAAATCAATAAATGTGATTCATCACATAAACCACATTATTCATAAACAGAATGAAAAACAAAAACCATATAATCATCCTTATAAAATCCAATATGTCTTCATGATAAAAATCCTCAAAAAACTAGGCATTGAAGCAATATCTCAAAGTAATAATAGCCATCTATGACTAACCCATAGCCAATATCATAATGAATGGGAAAAAGCTGGAAACATTCTCTTTAAAAACCATAACCAGACCAGGGTGCACACTCTCACCACTCCTATTGCTCATAGTACTGGAAGTCCTAGTCCTAGCTAGAGCAATCAGACAACAGAAAGAAATAAAAGGCATCCCAATAGGAAAAGAAGGAGTCAAATTATGTCTCTTAATTCACAATACGATTCTAACCTAAACTCCACCAAAAGGCTCCTAGATCTGATATATGCCTTCAGTAAAGTTTCAAGATACAAAATCAATGTACATACTAATGTATAAGTCAGTAGCATTTCTAAACACCAATAACATTCAAATTGAGAGCTAAATCAACAATGTAATCTCATTTATAATAGTCACAAAAAGTATAATATCTAGGAATGCATCTAACCAACAAGGTAAAAGATCTCTATAAGGAGAACTACAAAACACTGCTGAAAGAAATCATAGATAAAACAATCAAATGGAAAAATATTATATGCTAATGGGTTGGAAGAACCAATATCATTCAAATGTCCATGCTGTCCAAAGCAATCTACAGATTCAACATTATTTTTATCAAACTACCAATGTCATTTTTCACAGAACTAGGAAAAACTAAGTTAAAATTTACATGGAACCAAAAAAGAGCCTAAATAGCCAAAGAAATCCTAAGCAAAAGGAAGCTGGAGGCATGACATTACCTGACTTCAAACTATACTACAAGGATACAATTACCAAAACAGCATGGCGCCGATAAAAACCAGACACAGAGACTAATGGAACAGAATAGAGAACCCAGAAATAAAACCACACACCTACAACCAACTGATCTTTGACAAAGTCAACAAAAATAAGCAATGAGGAAAGGACTCACTATTCAACAAATAGTGCTGCGATACCTAGCTAACCATATGCAGAAGAAGGAAACTGGACCCCTAACTCTTACCATATACAAAAATTAACTCAACATGAATGAAGGACTTAAATTAAGACCTCAAACTATAAAAATCTTAGAAAAAAACCTAGGAAGTATTCTAGACATCAGGCTTGGGGAATTTGACCCAGCAATTCCATTACTGGGTATATACCCAAAGGATTATAAATCATGCTACTATAAAGACACATGCACACGTATGTTTATTGTGGCACTATTCACAATAGCAAAGACTTGGAACCAACCCAAATGTCCATCAATAATAGACTGGATAAAGAAACTGTGGCACATAAACATCATGGAATACTATACAACCATAAAAAAGGATGAGTTCATGTCCTTTGCAGGAACGTAGATGAAGCTGGAAACCGTCATTCTTAGCAAAATATCACAAGGACAGAAAACCAAACACCACATGTTTGCACTTTCAAGTGGGAGTTGAACAATGAGAACCCATGGACACAGGGACGGGAGCATCACACACTGAGGCCTGTTGGGGCTTGGGGGGCTGGGGGAGGGATAGCATTAGGAGAAATACCTAATGTAAATGACAAGTTGATGTGTGCAGCAAACCAACATGGCACATGTATACCTATATAACAAACCTGCATGTTGTGCACATGTACCCTAGTAAAGTATAATATTAATGATAATAATAATAGTAAAAGAATTTATGACTAAGTTCTCAAACGCAAGTGCAACAAAACCAAAAATTGACAAGTGAGACCTAACTAAATGAAATACTTCTGTGCAACAAAAGAAACTATCAACGGAGTAACAAACAATCTACAGAGTGGGAGAAATTATTAGTAACCTCTGCATTTGATGAAGGTCTAATATCCAGAATTAGGAATGTAAACAAATCAAGAAGAAAAAATTAAATAAGTTCAGTAAAAAGTAAGCAATGGACATGAACAGACCCTTCTTAAAAGAAGACGACAAGTGGTCAATAAACATGAAAAGAAGCTCACATCAGTAATCATTAGAGACATGTAGACCAAAACCACAATGAGATACGATCTCACACCAGTCAGACTGGCTATTAGAAAAATTAAAAAATAACAGATGTTGGTGAGGATGAGGAGAAAATGGAATGCTTATATAGTATTGATGGGAATGTAAGTTAGTTCAGCTACTGTGGAAAGCAATTTGGAGATTTGTCAAAGAACTAAAAATAGAACTATTGGCCAGGCATGGTGGCCCACACTTGTAATTCCAGCACTTTGGGTAGCCGAGGTAGTTGGATTTTTTTGAGCTCAGGAGTTTGAGACCAGCCTGGGCAACATGGCAAAACCTTGTCTCTACAAAAAAAATAGAAAAAAATAAAACAAAACAAAACTAGCTGGGCATGTGGTGTGCACCTATAGTCCCAGGTACCTGGGAGACTGAGGTGGGAGGATTGCTTCTGTGATCAGGTCACTGCACTCTAACTCGGAAACAGAGCGAGACCCTATCTCAAAAAAATCAAAAATAAAAATAGAACTACCATTTAATCCAGCAACCCCATTACTGTTTATACACCCAAATGAAAATAATCACTGTATCAAAAAGACTCATGCACTAGTATGTTTATTGTAGAGCTATTCACAATAGCAAAGAAATGGAATCAAGCCAGTTGTCCAATATTGGAGGACTGGATAAAAAAAAGTGTGGTACATATATACCATGGAATACTACACAGCCATGAGCACAATTGAAATCATGTCCTTTGCAGCAATGTGAATGCATCTAGAGGCCATTATCCTAAGTGAATTAACACAGTAACAGAAAACCAAATACCACATATTCTTACTTATAAGTGGGAGCTAAACAGTAGGTACACACAGATATAAAGATGGGGACAGTAGACAGTGGGGACCATAAGGCGGGAAGTGAAGGAGGAAAGAAAGGGTTGAAAAACTATTTGGTACTATACTCCCTATGTGGGTGATGGGTTCGATCATACGCCAAACCTTAACACAACACAGTGTACCCTTGTAACAATCCTGCACATGTACCTCCTGAATCTAAAATAAAAATTGAAATTAAAAAAGAGAAAACAAAAAAAAAATTGATAAAATCTGAACAATGTGAAAGTAATAATATACAGAACAAAAAAATTGAGGTAAAAAGAGAGAAGGTAAAAGTCCTAGCGAAATAACTTTCTAAATGGGGAGATAGACAAAACTGGAACAAGTAGCTTGAGATAAAAACATAATGAACAACACATGATAAATTAGAAAAATAAATAACAAGTTTTAAAAATCAATGAATTAGCCTTCCATTAAAAAGCCAACATTAATAGAACGATAAAAAATAATAGTTTAGATGAGTTGTAGCATATTATACAAACTTTCTCTTTTTTGGTTTCTCCACTTAGAAATATATACTGGAGCTGACTCACTTCACCATATGGCTAGTTATTAGTTTTTTTTCTTTTACAAATATGTATACTTCATTGCATACTTATGAAATATTTCACCAAGCTTCCCATTAATGGTTATTTTCAATATTTTGTGATAGTAAATTATAATGGTCTAATTCATTGCCATTTGCGTATTTTTAAAATTTTTTTCCTCATATATTTAGGATAGATTTATAGAAGAGAGATTGCTGGGTCAAAATTAAAGCATTTATGATTTTGCTAGATATGGTGAAATTCTCTTCTACAAGAGCTGTATCATTTTGCATTCCCACTAGCAACATATAAAGGCCCCTTTTACCTCAACTTGATAAAAAATGTAACTTTTGGATTTTTACCAATTGCAGCCTATGATACTTCATCCAAATGAAAAGCAGATATTTTTCTATTATGCTATATTTCCTTCTCTTACACTTAATTTATATTTTTTCTAGTATCATAAATGTAATTCTAATAACTTCTTTATGCTACAAAAACAAATGTATGCCTCTCTATTTATTCCCAGATAGTATTGCATTCTATAATATAGTAAATATTTTTATTCTACTGCTTCTCTTTATTTATTTTAAAACTGTACCTGAATACGTTAATTAAATTCTTCCAAAAGCATTCCCAGGATAATCTCTAATCAGCTCAATCTCTTTCTGTGGTGTGTAAGTAATACAGTTAAATCATGCTTATTTAGTTCCTGTGTAGATGATCTGTTCTGATCAGTATGACAGAGTTTTGATCACATTGCTTTTTGGGGTATTTCATTTTCTGCTAAATTTCCAAACTCTGTTTCAGACAAAGAAAGCTTAGATGAAAGCTTTGATGACTATATCACAATGTTGAATTTCTCAGCTCTTTGTTGAGTCACTAATATAATTTCTGAACATGATATATACTGCTTTCATTTATTGTCCTGAATTTTATTTTTTGATTAAAGCTAGTTATTTTTCCTTAAAGTGAAACATTGATTTGCTCTCCCTCAAGCTGAATCTCAGACTCACAACCACCTGCAGTGATATGCTTCTTGTGACTGCAGAATCAGTCAGGAAAATAAAGCTGTTTTGAACTATACATGCAACAATGACTGCTCTTCTCTTTTTCCATTCAAAGAAACCCCAGACTCCCTTTAATAGAAAGCAAACAAAAGCAAAGGTTCAGGAAAATGTTTATGAAATGGGGTGTAGAAACCAAACACAGTGGCAGCCATGTAAACCTTTTAAATTTAAGTGGTTTCATTTTTAGAAGAAATAAAAATAAGCCTAGCTTTTCAAAACATCTCAGGTTCTGCCTGAGTTTTGTGAGAAGTTTTTGCAGATGAATATGTTTTTATATTATCAAGGGGTCAGTGAATGACTTTAATTTCTACTATTCAATATGTAACCAAGTATGACACATCAATTCCATGAACTTCAGTTCAACAAATACTGTTTCTACAGTGCATGAGGAACTATATTAGGTGTTATGAAGAATACAGAGACAAATAAAACATGATTTCTGACTTCAAGAACATTCCCCAACCAGGTTAACTTATACCTCCTTTTTATCTTTCATAATCCTATTAGGTTATGTCCTTTTGCAATTAGGTCAAATTATTTTGGAGATTGTGTTGGGATCATTAAGTACTTTTTGTGTATCTCTGAAATGGAGCTACAGTATTTTGACTATTTAAAACACATTTATTTTATTTTAAGTTTGTGCCCAAGCTATTTCTGTTTCTTCATTTAGTATATAGAGAGAAATGAAGACGCTCTTGCTAGCACAACATGAAGAGAGAAAACCAGATTCTTAAATCAGTTTCTGGCTCAAAAAGTCAGGGTAATACCATGACTAGTGCCAGGTGCTGGAATGTCATTGAGGCAATGAGGCAGGCAATCAGGAAGAAAAGGACTCGGATGTAATCTGTGGCATCTCTCTCTCTCTAAGGTAAACAAAGAGCACCAGAAATTTTCAGTCTTTGGGAAATATCGAGAAGAGAATATTCTAACCAAACTCTCTTGAAATATAAAAGTGATGTAATATGTAGAACATTTTTGTGTTTTCTTTATTAGTAAGCCAGTTTTTCTGCCTGCCATAAGACTTTTCTATGTGAGAGAAGCTGGAAAAAATGCAATGTAGATGAACTCTCAGGGAAGAAAAAAAAAGCAAAGTAAATATTTGCTTCTTCTGGCCACAGAGAATTATGTGGACAAAAGAGAGCAGAGGCAAGAGAAACACTTGGCTGACATGTGTGAGTCGAAGCCTCACTCCTTTAAAATAAAACTCTGGCATGGAAAAGTATTTTAGGTAATAGATGGGATCATTGAAGCCAGAGAGGGTTTGCCTGCCTTCTCTTCGATTTTAGGACTCTCAGAGGGACAACTGGTAGTACACCAAGGTCTGGAATCAACCCATGATATTCCTGTAAAGAGCAGAAGACTCTTTACAAAGTTCTGTAGCCAGATAGAGGGTACCTATTTAGCATTATTGAGTTACTTTTGGTTCTCTTTGGTTTTAAGACACCCAGAGTTTCCTACTTGTCCCATATCAGGGGCATTACAGCAGGTAGCTGAGAGTTTGTGGACATTCCATGGATGAGAGCCAAGATGATTCAGAGAGAAATATAGCAAAGGCTGTATGATAGATAGAATGTCTAAGTCTAAGAACCTGTGGTGGAAAGGGAAGAGAAGAATCAGAATATATATGTAATGCCAGCTAGAGTACTGAGGTGGGGCCCAGTCAGACAGAAAGTCTATCTGACCTCAGACCAAGTAGAGACAAAAGCCACACATTATTCCAGGCAGTAGTTGAGAAGCAGGAAGCAACATATTCCACAAGAATGGGAACCTTGGTACCAATGCCTCAAAACCCCAGCCAGCACAGACACAAGAATCAGTAGAGGGCAAGGGAGTTTTCTTTGTTCTAATGCTGCGAAGTCAAGCAAACTACCTTTAGTAAACGTGGATGTCTTCTTGGAGTGGAACGCTTGTAAACTGAAGCATTATTTAGATAGATAAGAGACGAAGTTTTAAAGGAGAGTAAGGCATAAGATAAACATTTTACTATGATGGGAAAATTTAATATTTATGTTTACTATTCAGCAGCATATGAGCTACTCAGAAAGTAAGATCAGTTATAGACAAAAGGACATCTATGATCTGTTCACATTAAGTGCAATGTGAATAAATTTGTGACCCCCATTAGAATTATATCATAGCTTTTTTTGTCATCAATTCTATATATACTAATGGGACATGAATGACTTGAGGGCAGAAAGAAGTCTTATTCTTCTTCAGTATCTGTTATGATTAGCATAATGCTTGACATATACAAAGTATTGAAACAATGTTTGTTAGATTGAAATGAATTTATTGCCACTGAGAACATTTGCTTTGAAATCAAGGTTTCCTTGTATTTGGACTCAATAACCCTAGGCTAAAATTTTAGTATTTTTCCAAAGGTTCTTAATTTTGAAGGATTGGTTCAAAGGCAATCTAAGCTGAGGTATAGGCATGAGCAAAGACAGAGAAAGAGGAAACATGGAGTGTGTTTGCAAAATGTGAGTTCTACAGTTTGACTTACTAGTGCTTGTCATTGTCAGGATTAAATTTCATTAATAATATTAACATCGACAATTTACTAAGCACTTTTACCATATACATGCTACCGTGCTTATAACTTAAACCCTCTATTCAATGGACAATCCTATGACAATGGTTAATACTTTTGTATAAATCAGGTTCCAATTAGGAGACAGAAATCACACAGTAAATTAGACAGGGAAAGTTAAATATAAGAATTACTAACTATAATATGGGGCTGGCTGGTGAGGGGAAAAGAAAATTCTAAAGAATTTAAATAGAGCAGATACAGGTAGAAGGGTTCTACCCCTATTTCTGGGTGCCCAGCACACAAGAAAGAGGCAAATCTGCACGAAGTTTCTCTCACAGGACTGAGATGCAGAACTTGCTGGAAATGGTGCAACTGTGTCTCACTTGATGGTGGATAAGTTGGCTGAAGTGTTGCAATGGCAGGACTCACTGGGGTATTTATCTTCCAGGGTAATGGCGGAAGTTGCTCATGGGGAAGTCCTGAGAATTAGAACTACAGTAGTTGCCCATTATCCATGGGGGGATATACTCCAAGACCCCCCAGTGGATGCCTGAAACCATGGATAGTGCTGAACCCTATATATTCTATGTTTGTTCCTATACACACATACTTATGATAAAGTTTAATTTATAAATTAGACACAGTAAGGTATTAATAATAACTAATAATAAAATAGAATAATTATCATGTTATGCTGTAATACATGAATGTGTTCTCTCTCTCTCAGTCTATCTCACTGTACTCACCCTTCTTCTTGTAATGACATGAGATGATAAAATGCCTACATGATGATATGAAGTGAAGTAAATGACATAGGCATTGTGGTGTCGCCTTAGGCTCCTATTGACCTTCTGACAATACATCAGAAGGAGGATCATCTGCTTTGGGTGATTCTGGATCATTGAACTATAACAATGATGACGGTTGGATGTCAGGAGCCAACGATGTCGATGACTAGTGGGAAGCTAGTATATGTATACAGTTTGGATCCCAGGGGGAAGGAGCATGATTTCATCACCCTACTCAGAACAGCGTGCAATTTAAAACATGAATTATTTCTAGATTATTCTATTTAATATTTTCAGACTATGGTTGACCATGGGTATCTGGAAAAGCAGGTAACTGAAACCAGGAAAAATGAACCCCTGGGAAAGGAGGTGCGGACTAATTCATGTGCAAAGCTGTGGAAAGGGTTACAGGGGAATGCTGTTCACAAGGATGGATGGAGACATTGGCACCACTTGCAAAGCTGCTCTAGTGCCACAGGAAGCTGCCTGTGCAGATGTGCTGCAAGCTGCTGGCCATCAGGTACTACTTACTGGCTGCCACATGCTGCAGGAGTTGGGTACCATGGGATCCATGTGTGTTGCAGGAACCTGGGATAGAACCACATCAGAATGAGGAAGAGAAACCCCTATCACCTCCAGTGTCCCTCTAGCATCCTCTACTGATAAAGCTTAACATCACGCTAGCTGGCCGAGTCCAGGAGTAGGAGCCAACAAAGAAAGGTAAATTTTGAGCTGAAGGACAATAAATTAATAACTGACAGAAGCATCTTGTTTGCATTTTGAAAATTAGGAAATTGAGTGTCAGAGTGATTCTTTTGTGACATTCCTAGTCACACAAGGAATCAGAAAAGCTTGGAATTCAAATCCTTGTGTATTTAGTTTATATGTAGCTACTTTAGAAGATTCACCTGAAAACAGTGTATATGATAGATTGTAGTAGGAATGAGGCTGAAGTGGGAATATCTGGTAAGAAATCATTACAGTGGTCCAGGTAGAAGAAAATGGGGACTTCTAAGGTAGTTAATTACATGGACATTTCTTGCATGACCTCTGAATTTTCACTTCCAAGTTAAATTGGTTAGTATAAAAATTCACAGGCTCATGCCTGTGAAATTCAGTGACTCACGCCTGTAATCCCAGCGCTTTGGGAGGCTGAGGTGGGTGGATCACCTGAGTTCAGGAGCTCGATAACAGCTTGGCCAACATGGTGAAACCCCATCTCTACTAAAAAATACAAAAAAACTTAGCCGGATGTGCTGGTGTGCACCTGTAATCCCAGCTACTCAGAAGGCTGAGGCAGAAGAATCACTTGAATCCGGGAGGCGGAGGTTGCAGTGAGCCAAGATCATGCCCTTACCCTCCAGCCTGGGCGACAATAGCAAAACTCCATCTCAAAAAAAAAAAAAAAGTCACGGTTGTTGGAGTGTAACATGGTGAAAATAATTGACAGAAACATCCCAATGGACTCATTTTAAAGATATATTTTTATATGCATGTAAATAATATAACTTACAATGCTTAGGTAACTGTGCAATTGAAAAAACTTGAGAAAAATCTCCTTCTTAAGAGAAATAAGCCCCCTTGCTTTCAAAGGCCCCAAGGCCTCCTGGTGCAGATGTATCATCTGATGGTGTGGAGGTCCCAAAAGGTTCTTCAACACCCATTGCTATTCCTTCCAGGGGAATTTTTAGATTCTTCTTACGTTTCCCAACTGCCTTGGAGTCTATGGCTATGTGTATATTATTATTATTATTATTATTTTATTTTATTTTTTTGAGACAGAGGCTCGCTCTCTCCACCAGGCTGGAGTGCAATGACACAATCTTGGCTCACTGCAAGCTCCGTCTCCCAGGCTCAAGAAATTCTCCTGCCTCAGCCTCTCAAGCAGCTGGGATTACAGGCGTGTGCTACCGTGCCCGTCTAATTTTTGTACTTTTAGTAGAGACTGGGTTTCACCATGTTGGCCGGGCTGGTCTTGAACTCCTGACCTCAGGTAATCCGCCCACTTCGGCCTCCCAAAGTGCTGGGATTACAGGCGTGAGCCATCGCGCTTGGCCATGTGCCTAACTTCTTACTAGATGCAAGTAACTGTGGACATTCCCAGCACATTCCTGAGTGCTTAATGGTCAGTTTTCTCAGGTATGTCAAACTCTTGCAGGCTCATGTTTTAGATCTGAGATACATCCAAACTGTATGTTACCTTTCACCCATAACATATTTGGACTTATAAAGAGGAATTATTTAAAATTCTAATTCTCACTTGGAGAAATGTGCAAGGATTTCTAAAATCTGTGTTATACCGGATTCACTACTGCATCTTGCCCACTTTTACTAAACTTGGTCTTAGAACTTAGTGTCAGGAACTGGTCTCTCTGGTTTATCTTTGTCCTTTCCCCCTACTTTAGACTTGTGGACAATATAATGTAGTGCTTAAGAATGTGTTGGCAGTCCTGAGAATGTGCCATATGGAACTTGAGAGATAGGGAGCATAATGGACCATGGGCCACAGATGCTGTGTTCAAGAACTCACGGCTTCACTTGCACTGACACACACCTCCCACTGGCTGCTCCTGGTTACTGACTAAGCACAGTAGGGAGCTAAAGGGAAGCCCTGTCCTGGGAGACAGGGAACTCCTCTAATGGCAACTTTGGCCTGAGGACTGTCTGATGGTCTTGCCAAACCTTCCTTAGATTGCCTTGCTGTCCAGATCACTTGCATCCACCCTTTCCTTTCCTTTTTAAAAATTCTGTAATGACTTATATAGTAGTTTGACATCTCTCCAATTCTTTTCTGACTTCTTTCTCATTTTACCATAGACAATTTCTGAAATAAAATACTTATGTTTTTTATTCTGTCTTGGTGTCTGCTTCTTGGATGTCTTGAATGAACCCAGCTTTGGTATTAGATAAATGGGTTTAAATATGGGTTCTTCAATATACTGGTTATGTACACAGCCTGTGTCTGCAGTTACTTGACACTCTGTGTTCTGTAGTTTAGTCACTCATAATATGAGAATAATAATGGTTATGTACTACACAAGGTTTTAAGGAATAAATACATTCATACATGAAATACAAGTCCAGCTATTATCAGCATTGAACATGATAAGAGAAAATCCCATATGAAATATTAAATGTGTTTTTTGACCTATCTCATTAAGTAACTCTTGAATTCACACTTGCAAATAAAGAGGAAGTCATTATATCTGAGAAACTTGAAGAGTAAAAGCAGAAATAGAGAACAATATTCATGCTTTCCATACATGGGTAGCACAGTAATTAACATAGCAACAATCTCCACATGCATAATTTAAATGGCCTCATTTTGCTATATCGATCAACCTGGCATGAATAACAAGAGACAATAAATTAGAGGAGTCAGTGGGATCTTACTGAAGGCTGGGATACCCTACATATAAGTGAGACGTGTGAAGGATAAGAGGAAATAGTAAGCAGACATCTACTGAACCATAGGCAGCTTCTTGTGTGTAATCACTTCGTAAGTGATATTTGCCAAACATATTTACAAAAACTTAATTGTTTTAATTAATATTTTCTTAATGAAATTTTAATATGGACATGTCTTGAAACAACTATCCCAGAATATTATAATGTGATCTTTTCCCATTTTACACTTCATGTTTTTGAAACATTTTTATAAGTTATTTTAAATAATTTTCACAACCACGTGAGAGGTAACATGACAAATATTAACAATTTTATTTTATATCAAGGTAAACAGATGAATTATTTTATTTTAAATACATTTTATTATATTTTATATCAAGGTAAACAGATGAATTAACCAAAAATGAATTGTTTTATTTTAAATAAATTTTATTTTATTTTATATCAAGGTAAACCAATGAATTAACCAATAATGACCCTGTAGAGAGCATTTCGCTTATTCTCCCTTTATAGTTTAGTGAAATTCTAGATCTAATTGTTACCAGAAAAGGGGTCTTGTCCCAAGAGCGGTTCTTGGATCTCACGCAGCTAAAAATTCAGGGCGTGTTACAGAATGCAGTAAATTTAGCATAGTTTATTAGAGACTATTACAGAGTAGGGTGACCTCAGTAAGCAAGATGAGAAACATCACTTCCAAAAATATAATGCTTACTTATATAGGATATTAGAGTTAAGAATAATGCGCTTTATTACAAAGGCTTGTGATCAGCCTGTGACAGGCTATTAGTATTTTTATTCTCTTGTGTAACTATTAATTTCAACAAGAATTTATGGTTATTCTATTATCTTAAAGCGAAACCTGTTCTTAAATTAAGAATTCTTGTCCGGGCGCGTTGGCTCACGCCTGTAATCCCAGCACTCTGGGAAGCTGAGGTGGGCGGATCACAAGGTCAGGAGATGGAGACCATCCTGGCTAACACGGTGAAAACTCGTCTCTACTAAAAATATAAAAAATTAGCCAGGTGTGGTGGCGGGTGCCTGTAGTTCCAGCTACTCAGGAGGCTGAGGCAGGAGAATGGCGTGAACCTGGGAGGCAGAGTTTGTAATGAGCTGAGATCGTGCCACTGCACTCCAGCCTGGGTGACACAGCGAGACACCTCCTCAAAAAAACAAAAAACAAAAAAAACAAAAAACAAAAAAAAGAATTCTTTTTGTCCTAAGGGGTCTTATTTAGTTAGTTAGCATCATTAACTCATTCCCTCAACCATAAACATCTTGTCACCAAGAGTACCTAACTTCCTGGGAATGTCCCCCAGCAAGTCTCACTTTACTGGGTCTCTATTCAAGATGGAGTCATTCTGGCATGGACGCCTCTGACATAATCAAGAAATGGATAAGTTTGGTCACATTCAGAACTTTTAGATCCATTAATATATTTTCAATACTACGTTAGTTGGGTCTTACATGAAACCTCTGAAACTTTCCAAGGTGTTATGGAACAGAAATTACTCTGGGCTTTGTCCAACTAACTGAACTCTTCAAGTGGAGTCATTTCTTGGCATTTGTTAAAAGATATTTGATGCAATGATAAACACTGTTTCCAAACAATCAGTCAGATCTTATTCAAGTAGCCTGTCTGAAATCTATAGCTGTTTGGTCTCTTACACTGTTCTCATCAGGATTCTGTCCAAGGACAAGTAGTAAGTAAACCATATGGATTTTAATCTCCCCTGGTGAGTGAAAATGTGTCTGATTGCACAGCTGAGAGCTTCTACAGAGGAAGGCCAGCACACATGAAACAGATGCAAACCCCTGCTGGATCCTGCTATACATCTGCTTTGAAAATGGGTTGTGACAGGGCTTTTATTTATATAAGGTAGGCATACTTTCCTGGCCTCTGTGACTCTAAAGAAAAATTTCTGTAAGACTTTTGAAATAAACTTTGTCTTCTCCTTTTTATCTGTGGTAATTCACAGGAAAGCCTACTATTCCATTGGAAACATATTTAAGTTTTTTGAATTCCCCTTAGTTATACATAGGTGAAATGAGGATAATGGCTTATGTTGTAGCAAAAGTTTAAAACCACTTGTCCTTTTTAAAAAATAAATTATAGTATAACAGTATGTTAAAATGGGACTTTCTGCCTCAGTTTAGGCTAATCTCCAAGAAAATGGGTGGTTAAGAGTTTTCACATTTCAAAGTGAGGTTCTAGCTCACTTAATCAGAACTTGTAAAAAAGATGTTTAAGAAAAGTTTTTGTGAACCCTAGCAGAGCCATTACATCTGGCCAAATAAATGTAGACACTGAAGAATGAGCTGAGAGTTCTAACATCCCCCCATGTTAGGGTGAGGGGAGGATGAGTCATGTTTTCTCCTACTTCAAGTCAGGGGCAGGAGCCTCCTAGGACCACTCAAAAATCTTGATGGGTTTTGCCATGGGTCAAAGATGAATATTTCCAGTGGACCAAATTGTAGGTTAACTGCTGAAGAAAGACATTCTTCAATCCAAGAGGGACTTTTCTCAAGATGTCCACTAGAACATAAAGGACCCCAAACAGATGTAGCAGTGGATCCAAGAGTAGTCAACGGGGTTAACCGAAAGTGCCATTTGGATGAGAGGAGTGCTGGTGAGGGGCCCCAGGACGTGAGGATGTGTAAAAAAGCCCATAAAGCACCTGACAAAAAAAACAGCTCTCATTAAAGATCATTCATGTTCTGTCTACATCAACACTGGATCAACTCGTATCTTTTTCCTCTCCATTTAATTCCCATCTAGGGGATGAGTTAGAACAAAAAGGGAAATGCCCACTATGTCTCCAATTTTCACTTCGGACTTTCAACCTTCAGATATCCTGAGGTAGACATACAAATTCTTGTAATTCCAGCACTTTGGGAGGCCTAGGTGGGAGGATCACAAGGTCGCAGTTCGAGACCAGCCTGACCAACATGGTGAAACCCCGTCTCTACTAAAAATACAAAAATTAGCCAGGCATGGTGGTGCGTGCCTGTAATACCAGCCACACAGGAGGCTGAGGGAGGAGAATCGCTTGAACCCGGGAGGCAGAGGATGCAGTGAGCCAAGATCGTGACACTGCACTCCAGCCTGGGCAACAGAGCGAGATTCTGTCTCAAAAAAAAAAGACCAAAATAAAATTCTACTTTTATTTATTTATTTAATTTTATTTATTTATTTAATTTTATTTATTTACTTTTTTGAGACAGGGTTTAACTCTGTCACCCAGGTCAGAATGCAGTGGCACAATCACAGCTCATTGCAGCTTCAAACTCTTGGGTTTAAGTGATCCTCCCACCTCAGTCTCCTTAGTAGCTGGGACTATAGACACACTCTGCCAAACTCTGCTAGGATTTTAATTTATATTTTGCAGACACAGTGTCTTACTATGTTGCCCAGGCTGGTCTTGAACTCCTGGCCCCAAACAGTCCTTCCACCTCGGCCTTCCAAAGTGCTGGGATTACAGTGTGAGCCAACACACGTGGCCTTAACTTTTCTTTTTAAAACAGTTTTATTGAGGTGACAGGTTTATTTATACTTTCCTACATATTTTAACAGTTTTATTTACTATCATAAAATTTAACTATTTTAAGTAAATATTTCAGTTATTTTTAGGAGGCTCATAGACTTACACAACCATAACTAAACATTTAAAACATTTCCACCAGCTCAAAAAATTTTTTTTGTTTCTTTCTGTCAACCTCAGCCCTAAGGCAACCACTCAATGCCCAGCCTTAAGGCAAACACTCATGTGTTTTCAGTCTCCATGCATGGGCCTTTTCTAGAAACTTCATATCAATTGAGTGATACAATATGTAATCTTTTATGTCTGGCTTATTTCATGAGCATATCTTTGAAGTTCTTCCACATTGTAACATGTATCACTACTATCATGTATCACTACTAACTTGTATCACTGTGTCCTGAATTGGTGGGTTCTTGTCTCCCTGACTTCAAGAATGAAGCCAGGGACCCTGGTGGTGAGTGTGAGTGTTACAATTCTTAAAGATGGTGTGTCCGGAGTTTGTTCCTTCAGATGTTCAGATGTGTCCGGAGTTTCTTCCTTCTGGTGGGTTCGTGGTCTCCCTGGCTTTAGGAGTGAAGCTGCAGACCTTCGCGGTGAGTGTTACAGCTCTTAAAGGTGGCGCATCGGGAGTTGCTCCTTCCTTCTGGTGGGTTCGTGGTTTCTCTGGCTTCAGGAGTGAAGCTGCAGACCTTCTCGGTGCTACAGCTCATAAAGGCAGCCCAGACCCAAAGTGTAAACAGCAGAAAGATTTATTGCAAAGAGCGAAAAGAACAAAGCTTCCACAGCATGGTGGCCTGCTTTTATTCCGTTATCTGGCCCCACCCACATCCTGCTTATTGGTCCATTTTACAGAGAGCTGATTGGTCTATTTTACAGAGAGCTGATTGGTCCGTTTTGGCAGGGTGCTGCTGGGTGCCGTTACAAACCTTTAGCTAGACACCGAGTGCTGATTGGTGCTTACAGTCCTTTAGCCAGACAGAAAGGTTCTCCAAGTCCCCACTCCACCCAGAAGCCCAGCCGGTTTCACGTCTCACCGGGGCTCTGCGGCACCCAGCCCCGGCGCTCAGGCAGCCCAGAGGGAGCTAGTCCCTGATCAAGTCCCGCAGGCGCCGGCTGGCCGAGCCGAGTGCGGGGCCCACTGAGCCTGCGCCAACCCAGAACCCACGCCTGCCCGCGAACGCGGCGCGCAGTTCGGGCTCCCGCCAGCACCTCTCCCTTCACACCTTCCGGTGAGCAGAGGGAGCTGGCTCCGGCATCGGCCAGCCCCAGAGAGGGGCCCTCATAGCGCAGCGGCAGGCTGAAGGGCTCCTGGCGTGTGGCCAGAGCGGAGGCCCAGGAGGCGCGGAAAGCGAGCCAGGGCTGCTAGCACGTTTTCACCTCTCATCACTACTATCATGATCACTACTATCATATTTGTGAGTATTATTTCATACTGTGTATATATCTCAATTTGTTATTCTAGTCACCAGTTAGTGGACACTTAGAATGGTTATAATTTTGGGCTATCATGAATACTGTTTGCTATGAACACTCCATGTATAAGTCTTTGTGTGAACATATGGGTCATGTGTCTTGGGTAGATACCTAGAAGTGGAATTGGTGGATCATATGGTAAGCACTGTTTTCCAAGGTGATTATACCAGTTTACATTCTCATCAGCATTGTATAAGTGTTCTAGTTGCTTCACATCCTGGCCAACTTGATATTGTCAGTTGTTTTGATTGTAGCCATTCTAGTCGGTGGTAATGGTATCGCATTGTGGATTTAACTTACATTTCCCTAAGGGCGAATGGTGTTGAACATCTTATTTTTTTAAATTTTATTTTTATCAACATAAAAGAAGGAACTTTGTTTTGTTTTTATTAAGTTGTTTGCTTTACTCTAAGTTCTTTGCATTCTCATATACATTTTAGAATTAGCTTGTTAATTTCTGTAAAAAAGCCTAAAAGGATTTATTTTGTTTTGTTTTGTTTTTTTGAGACAGAGTCTCACTTTGTCACCCAGGCTGGAGTGCAGTGGCACAAATATTGCTTACTGCAGCCTTGACCTTACCAGCTCAAGCAATCCTCCTCCCTCAGCCTCCCGAGTAGCTGTAACTACAGGCATGCGCCACCATGTCCAGCTAATTTTTGTATTCTTTGTGTAGACGGGGTTTTCCCTTGTTTCCTGGGCTGGTACTGAACTCCTGAGCTCAAGTGATCCGCCCATCTTGGCCTCCTATAGTGCTGGGATTACAGACCTGAGCCACTGCGTCTGGCCAGCCTGATTGGATTTTAATAGGAGTTACATTGAATCTATAGATCAATTTGGAAATAATTGCCACAAAATTTTAAATTGAAGGAAGTTTGGAATTTTAAAAATTGTTACACAAGAATGAACATTTAATTAATAAACTGAAAGTGTTCTTGTATACAGATGTGACTAGAGAACATTCAGTCTCTGAGTCACCAAAGTAATGGGATTGCCATTGACTTTCATTCAGGTGCAGGACAGAGCCTGCCTGCCCCTCAAGGTGGATTTTAAGAGGCCAGTCATGAAGAAAGATAATGTTGTGGACTGTTTGTACCTATTTGACCTATTCTTTTAGCTTATTAATTGAAGTTTTAGTCAAAGTCATTTGATATAATCAGAAATTCTGCCTTTTACTTTTTCTCAATTTTATTAAAGCTTTTGACTAATATACCTGTAAAATTATAGAAATTGTAGTAACATAAACACCTCGTTTGTTTGTATTTTCATCAAACCATTCTTTCATTTATGTGTTTATTTTTCAAATGAACAATATGCAGAGAACAAAAACCACATCTAATCCCCCACGTTCCCTGCCAAATCTTTGTAATACCTTAAGGTTTGTAAAAATCAATCAATCTTTTACAGCCCTTAAGGAATTGCAAATATATATATATTTTAAAGCCAAAGAGAAGGGAGTATAAAGGTTCTTTTGTCTACCATTTTATATTCTTCGGCATGCTCTCTGGATCCTTCACTTCCTTCAGCTGTTTTTATGTAGTATACACAAAGAAAATGTTACTTTCAGGGAAAATTGCATGCATTATTTACCTACGGGTTATTAAAAAATGCAAGGAAAACATTATTTGACCTGATAAACTCTCTTAGTGATGACATAAATGATCTAAGAATCTAAGTCTCTGAGTAAAATAGAATGGAGAGACATTGAAAAAAAACAACAATAAGACAAAAAAAAATCCCCAAACAGGGCTAAAGACACACAGTCTGATCTCCCTGGGGAAATGAGGACTCAGTCACAGCAACTATTGATAACATAATGAGGGACATTGCTCCTATTTTTATCTTTTCCCATGATTAGTTAAATAAGGAAATTAAATAAGACAAAGAATGAATACTTGAGAAAGAAACAAACATCACATAATTACAGCCATTTGTCCACTTCCTGACTTTATTGCTGAATTTTCCTTTAACCTTAAAGATGCCCATATTTTATTTGGTCAACCTGGTGCAGAAGGAAGTTAATGAAGACCTAACAATTCAGAGAAGAATAGTGTTTCTTTGAAATCACCTTACTGATGACCAGGACTAGCAGATGACCGTTTTGTTCTTTTTCCTTTTGAAAGGTACCAGACCCAATAGCTGATAGCAGTAAGCACTTTAGATGATTAACTTGGTCTGAATCTTGGCTTTATTTCTTCTAACAGAAGACACTTTGGTGTATATAAGAAGCACTTAAGATTCTTGTTAAAAATGCAGTTTCCTGGGCCCCATTTTCAGAAATTCTGATTTAGTGTCTCCTGGCAACACCCAGGATAATCTGCATTTTAATAAGGATCATAGGTGTCTTTATTGCTAAAGCACTGGGCCACACTTTGAGAAAACTGCTCTGATGAGTGTGTTTTCTGACATAATTTTGCAACGGAATCATCTCTCCCAAAGGACTGCTTTGGCTGTGCATTTATAGCCAGTTGAAGGTTTGATAAGAACAGCTGAGGAGTTGTGAATAGTGCTTAATTGTAGGAAAGCTAATTAGCCTCTCAAAGGACAGAGGTAATAAATTATGGATCGTAACTTATTTTAATAGTCACAGCTTAAGTGGACGGCACAATGAGGCATAAGCAGTTTAACTTGATTAACACACTTCAGAACTCATTAAATCTATCATTTTTCTGTTCCATCCCATTCCTTCCTCCTTGATCTTTATTTTCTCTTTTCATATATCTTTTTTTCTGTTTTCTCTTTCAGTAGATGATCTCAATCTATATGTCTCCTCCTCATGATTTCTCTCATTTTATGTTGAACCTCCTATATATCTTTTTATTTCTTTCACTTTCCATCAAGCTGTTATTTTTATACTCCACTCATATTTATTTTTTTCTTATTTTTCTTCCCTCTCTCCAATGGATATCTTTCTATCTTATATGCAGACCGTTCAATACAACCACTTCTTCCTGATAGCATCCCAACTGAGTTATACTATTCAGAACGTTATTGATGATCAAATGAGATAATTTATAGGAAAGTGCTTTGAAAATAAGTAAAGATTTATTAAGCTAAAACATAAAGATTTATTTCAACTTTAAAACTTAGCAAGAATCGTTGCGGGAATCTATTTCAAGATTGTTTTCACAAACAGAGGGAAGAAGACACAAGTGACAAGGACACAACACAGTCAGGCTCTCCATGTTACTCCTGGAGGAAACTGACGTTTTAGAGTCAGTACACTCACATGGAGGAAGGAAGCAGCCCAATAGGGTAGGTCAGAGCTGAGGTCCCTGCTCTTCTATCATTGGGAGGGGTGGATGGAAGAACACATCCACACTGAAGGGAAATTAAGAACATTTAGGAAATTTTGATCTTAAAAGAAACTAAGAAAATTCTGCCCAAAGATTTCAAGAAAATTCCTAATCTTACATTTTTACACACTACTCTGTTCTATTTATTGCAACAACATTGGTTTACAGAAGTCTGACCATAGCCTACTTATAGATTTTTCTATTTTGCATTATTTGCTTACTCTAAATATAATATGTGAGATGAAAGCAAGATAAGTGCTTAATTATTTTTTCTATTTACTAATTTTCATAACAATGAGTGGGTATTCTAGTAATTTCCAAAGATAATTCTTAAGGTTTTTTTTTTTAATTTTTAAGTTCAGGGGCACATGTGCAGTTTTGTTACATAGGCAAAGTTGTGTCATGGGGGTTTATTGTACAGATTATTTCATTACCCAGGTATTAAGCCTAGTACCCATTAGTTATTTTTCCTGATCCTCTCCCTCCTCCCACCCTCCACCCTCTAATAGGGCCCAGTGTATGGTTTTCCCCTCTGTGTGTCCCTGTGTTCTCATCATTTAGCTCCCACTTATAAGTGAGAACATGTGGTATTTGGTTTTCTGTTCCTGTGTTAGTTTACTAAAGATAATGGTCTCCTGCTCCATCCATGTCCCTGCAAAGGATATGATCTTGTTCTTTTTTATGGCTGCAAAGTGATAATATTCCATGACATATATGTACCACATTTTCTTTATCCAGTCTATGATTCATGGACATTTAGGTTGATTCCATGTCTTTGCTATTGTGAATAGTGTTGCAGTGATCATACGTGTACGTGTGTCTTTACAATAGAATGATTTATATTCCTTTGGGTGTATATCCAGTAATGGGATTGCTGGGTTGAATAGTATTTCTGTCTTTAGGTCTTTGAAGAATCGCCACATTGTCTTCCACAATGGTTGAACTAGTTTACATTCCCACCAGCAGTAGATAAGCATTCCTCTTTCTCTACAACCTCACCATCATCTATTATTTTTGGACGTTTTCTTTTAATTTGTCATTATGTACTCAGTAAACATTATTTGACAATTCTGTATGTTGCAGTTGTTATTTGTTATTATTGTTATTCAAACAGTTCTATCTTTGAAAAGTGGGAGCTTGTCTTCAGGTTGGCACTATGTCTTTTGAACACAGTGGTCTTTGTTTTCTGTCAAAATAGGATATCTCAGATATCTCTTATACATCACTTGATCCAGCCTGAAGTCAGCTAAGTCCCCAAGGAGTCTTGGTTTCTTTCAGTAAGGAAAGTATAATTAGAATTCCACAATTTGGAAGTTGCCTGGTGTCTTACTCTCTTGATTAGAAGACAAAAGAACATTGAGAGGAAATGGCAGCATGATCAGAGGACAGTAGTTTGTGTAAATACTTTAGGAAAACAAGAATGCTGGTGATTTTAATAATTAAAATATATCTTTGCAAGCTATCTTTCATTTTTATTCTAGCATAACTTGCTTCCTTATGTTTTGGTTTAACATTTTTTTCTGATTTTGTAGATACATATTTATTATCCTTTTTTTTGTTTTGTGTCTCCTCGGTATTAACTTTATTAACTGTGAAAAACAAAATTGCTACTATGAATGACTTGAGCAAACAGTCTCAACCAATGTTTTTCTCTTAGCTGGTTTATTAGTGTGCTGAGTAATGTGTGAATATGTATTTAGGCTTAATATCTGGTTCATTAATTATCTAGTGCTATTTTCCCCCCTTCCAAATTGTAAAGCTCCTATTAATGAAACTGATGGGTAGCAAAATAACAGCTAATGAATCCTCTAATTTTGTATTAGTGTGTTACACAGCTAAGGGGCATATAGAGAATTACAGTGTTTTAGAGGTATGCAATCTGGAAAAAATTGCTATTTTCTATCTTACAGATGAATAAATAGAGACTAAAAAAGATTAGATAATTTCCTCGATGACACATATAAGGAAATATTGTTAAAAATATGACTTTCATCATTTTACCCTTGTATACCAATGCTCATTTTGTTTAGGGGAAATTAGGTGAATATTCAGCTTTGTTTTAAATATGCTTAAGTGGAAGGAAAATAAACAACCAAGTATTTATTTGAAATATGTATGTAATTACATGTACGTGAGAAAAATATAGGCATTAAATTAATTATATGGCATTCTCATCATGAAATTCCTTTTAAAGGAATGTTTAAGAAAGGACAATATGGTTGAGAAAATGTTTATGTAATAATAGAAAATGTATCCATGCTCAAATGATAGTGTATAAGTCAGTTTCTCACTTTTTTGAAGGTTTATTTTAAATTAAATATCTTATATGAAGGTGATTTATAGATTTTCTTATACGCAATTTCGTTTGGTGGAGAAACCCCAAATTAGGAAAGGAAACAATGCATTTAAATGATATAATGTTTTAAAATAAGTTTAGATGTATCTGTTTTTAAGGACACAGATTCCGCATTTCTATGAGCAGAAAGCAGACAGAGCACATTGAAATGGCTTGTAATTAATTTTCACAATGACTGTTTAGCTACCAGTAGCAGTTTCTCAGTTTTTTTTTTTTTGTTTTTTTTTTTTGAGACAGAGTCTTGCTTTGTCGCCCAGGCTAGAGTGCAGTATCGCAATCTGGGCTCACCACAACCTCCACCTCCTGGGTTCAAGCAATTCTCCTGTCTCAGCCTCCTGAGTAGCTGGGACTACAGGTACGCACCACCATGCCCAGCTAATTTTTGTATTTTTAGTAGAGACAGGGTTTCACCATGCTGGCCAGGCTGGTTTCAAACTCCTGACCTTGTGATCCGCCTGCCTCGGGCTCCCAACCTCCCAAAGTGCTGTGATGACAGGAGTGAGCCACTGCACTGGAGAAGTTTCTCCAATTTTTTTCTTTTCTTTTTTTTTTTTGAGTCAGGGTCTCACTGTGTCGTCAAGGCTGGAGTACAGTGGCGTGATCTCAGCTCACTGCAACCTCCACCTCCCGGATTCAAGCAATTCTTCTGCCTCAGCCTTTTGAGTAGCTGGGACTACAGGCCTGTGCCACCATGCCCGGCTACTTTTTGTATGTTTAGTGGAGACGGGATTTCATCTTATTGGCCAGGCTGGTCTGGAACTCCTGACCTCATTATCCGCCTGCCTCAACCTCCCAAAGTGCTGGGATTACAGGCATGAGCCGCTGCACCTGGCCCTCTCCAGTTTTTAAGAACATGCTTCTGTCTTGAATATTTGCCTAGACTTGTCTTTGTTATCTATTTATTTATAGATAGTACCATGACAACCCTTACATTCTGTGAAATAAATATTTATTAAGTAAAACATACACATCCCTGTGCCAGACAACATAGGAGATACTGTGGTAACAGAGTTCCTGACCTACAGGACCTGTAAGAATAAAAGCACAACCAAAATATGAAATGTGTAATACAGTAAAAGTGGCCTTACATCCTTCGCATCAAGAAGTGAAATTCATTCTTCAATCCTTAAATGAAAACTGGCTCTCTCTATTTCTTTTATCAATGGAATGAGATAGTCTAGCCAATAGGTGAATGGAAGAACAGGTTGAAAAAAAAAGAAACAGGGCACACCAGCCAGCAGCTGGTGCAAGCTGCCGGACATGAATAAGACCGTCTGGAGCCTTCCTGCTGAGCTGAGCTCCCAGCTGAATGCAGACACATACATGACCATAGGCAAACTCAGCAGAGAAACCTCCTAGCCAATCCTCAAAATACATGAAAAATAATATTGGCTATTTGTTATCCACTGAGGACTTGGGGGTGGTCAACATAAAGTGGTATTTAACCAGAAACAAAACACAATGTTCTATAAAAGAGCAAAAAATATATTTCATATAAGGAACGACAACATTTAGTTCAGGAGAAATGTGAAAATGTTCGTGAAGAATGTGGTGTTTGAAATTTGTACCAAACATTGTGTAGGAAACATGCATTGCGGACATGTTGGAGAAGTGCTTTAAAGCCAGGATGAGGCATTCATATCCATCCCAGAAGTCAATGAGACTTCTAACCTTGTTTGTTTAGGGAAGTGGCATAAACGCACTGCAATGCTGGTAACCAGGAGAAGAATGAGAACGGTGAGGCACCTCGTCAACGATTGTTGAATGAATGACCAGAATTTTTCTAATCTATAAGATGTAATAATCCAGCGAAATCTGACTTAATGAATGTCAGTTTACTCCACTGTGAGAAAGTGTCAGAAAATGTCAGGAAATGTCACTTCATCAAAGGGCCTGAGAACAGGAGTGAATAAAATGTCTTAATGTTAAGTAAAATGTTGAATATATTGGCATGCTGCAAATCTGCATGGATATGTTTTGAATTGATAAATAAAATGACCTTTCTGGCAAAGTGTGCTATTATTTTATGCACAGTCACAGAGTACGTTATGACACACAGTGTACATGTGGAAAACATTTGCCCTTCTTGGTCATTTGGATTAATTTGTACTATAAATGCATCTTTTACCACCCTGTTCTCAGATTCATGGGTTTGATGTATGGCACTGTTTAGGTCTTTATTTCTCCTTTTAACTTTCCTGGAGGGAGTCTTCCAGTGTGACCACAGTGATTGATGTCCACTCTCACAGTGACTAACCTCAGAGGGTGTGTACCTGGACAGCTTTATGGCTCATGGAACTCAGGGAACATTTCCAACCACTTTTATTTTGTTTCCTCTTGTTTTTTTTGCTGTCTCTCAAAGAGAGAAGTTTGAGCTTACTTTCTTAATTTATTTAACATCATCTCGTAGAGAACCACTCCTGTGTCTTGATTTCAGCTACTACATCCTTGCCTGAGGGTATCACTATGCCAATCAGTAGACCCTTTGCATGAGCTCATTTGTGATCGTATCTATTATTAGTTGTGTCTTCTGGCTCTAGCTTTGGGTCGTTGTCTTAATTTCTTCAGCACAGAGTGTTGTATATTGGAGACGCTCAATAGATCTTTGTTTTTGTTGATAATATGCTGTTATATTGATGTGTTAATTCATTATATTGTCTCTATTGTAATTTGCTGCACTTTAGCATGTACTATATGGATTTGTTGGCTTTGCTGAATTGTCAGTGGTGATTTTTACCATTTATATTATTCATTTTCTTGTGCTTGAATCTGTCTTCTAAGCTGCTGTAGATAAAACTGCCATTCTTGTTGTCATATTCCCTACTAATTAAAGATATAATAGGTGCTTCTCCAGTCATTAGGCTGACAAATTTGACACATCAGTTATGAGTAACCTGGAACAAGTAGCAAAAGCTTTTGACTTGAGCTACATCCTAGCAGTGTAACTGCTAAAATCCTCCCTCCTTTTTCCTTTCCTTTCCTTTCCTTCCCTTTTCCCTTCCTTTCCTTTCCTTCCTTTTTCCTTTTCCTTTTCCCCTTCCTTCCTCCCTCCCTCCCTTCCTTCCTTCCTTCCTTCCTTCCTTCCTTCCTTCCTTCCTTCCTTCCTTCCTTCTTTCCTTACTGTCCTACTTCCCTTTCCCTCCTTAAAATAATGTTTGTTTTCTGACGGTGTAAGTTATATAGTTCCATCAAAAGAAATTTTGGGAATTATGGGAAAAAACATCTACACCATTTTTCTTCACCAAGGGACCACCAAACTCTGTTTTCTAAAGTTTCTCTGTGCCTGAAATCAGATATCAATAAATACTCTCTGTTGTACAGTTAATTTTGCCCAAAAGTTATTTCTACCCTGTAAAGATAATAAATAATACTAGTACAAATCTTTGCTATACTCTTATTGTGGATAATCAAATTTAACATTTTCATTGATGCTGAATAATTGCATCATCACCACCTCTTTCTAAGGTCTCCTCACAATGCAGAGAAGCCAGAGCCTTTGTGTTTAAGAATCCCCCTCCCTGTATGGTTTCAGACTGACCTATGCCAAGAAGTAGCATTTCTGCTTGATTAGGAAGGCAGAAGACTGCAAGGCCATTTTTTTCTGAAGGCAATTTCCATCATATGCTGTGCAGATGAGAGATTCACATTGGCTTTCCAGCCAGCTACTGAAAACCATTGCTTTTACTGATGCAGACAGAGAAGATCAATGGGAACTTTCATATACTCATATATTTCAAAGGCATTGCAGCAACTTCCCTATAAGCTCATGAGAAACCCCATACCAGTGCTTCGGGCTGTGATCATGGGCATGGGGCTTCCCTGACCACCCTCAACTCTTGTTCACTCCCCAACTCATCACTTACTTCCCAACTCTTCTAATGGTTGAATTCTTTACTTTTTCATATTAAACCCTTCATACTTAGAACACATTAAGTGGCTCTGTTTTCCTAGCCAAGTATGTATAAAAATTATTTAAGTTTGGTGTTGATAGTCTTATTCTTCAGTTAAAGAAACAAGTTCAGTGGGTCATGTAACTTGAACAAGCACACAGAGCTAGGAGGTGAAGGAGGGAAGTTAGTACAGGAATCTGTCTTAGGGTTTATCCAAATTACTGTTCTGCTGTTGCTTCTGCCATCTTAAAATGCTTCCTGTGCTCACTTCCAGCAATGCTGCCTCATCTATCACCTAGTGTCCTGTAGCTTTAGCCTCTCCCAAGACTCAAGCCAGCTATCTCTGCTCTGAAATATGCGTCTCATTTGGCTCTCAGGGACCTGCCCAGGGTTCTGAATTTGTGGGGTTAGGGTCATGTCTACTGTATTCCAAAGATGAAGAAACATCTTTCTCCTTTTCTGTCCCCTAAAGGTTTTACAAAATTGTGAAGCCTCTCCTTGTCTATTTGTATTCTGGGGTATCTATCTTTCATCTCAAACCTTATGATTGATGGTGGGGAGCATGGTGTTTAGCTTTATTATTTCCATCAGCCAGATTATTTTCTGTCTGAGAAATTCCTTGCCTTTGCATTGAGTATGTAGATTTTATCCTTATTTCTTTTTGTGTTTTTTTTTCCTTTATCCTTATTTCTTTTTGTGTTTTTTTCCCTTTAAAGAATCAAAATCTGAAATCAGAAACAAATGTGTTTTTAATTTTAGTGTCTCTTATGACTTCCATGTTCTTCCTATCTCTTTACTAAAACTCAATAATCTTCTGAATTGATGAGATATTTACAGAGATTTTTCTCATGTCTATGTTTGGAGTAACAACCTCAAAATCTAAAGATGCTGCTTTTGAATTTCATCTTGTGACTCTCTGTGTAACTAATTGTTCAGGGTAAGTGTCTATATGTACTGTGAACATTTTAAATATGGCTTAAATCTGCTATCCTTTGTTAATATTAAAATTAAAACATCAAAGTTATTAATTTTTTTGTCAAAGGTTTAAATTCTGCATCAGTTAGCTGAAAATTAACTGTTAAATACATCAGTAACTCAATTTTTCTTTAAAGATAAGTGATTCATGAAAAAAATATGGAATAGTGTTTCAGTATGTCTTGCTTTATTTCATGGAGATTTTCAATTAGATGAATGCTTTTGTTATCAATTATCATGGAAAGATAAGTTAAATACACTCAATTAAATAGTCACTTTTGAAGTTTCTAGGTCTAACTTTGACCCATCCTAATTTACTTTAGCTTCCTTTTAAAGGAAGCCAATAATTTACCTAAGGATTTGTTTTTATTAGGTAAATTAGCGTACCCATTTGACTGTGTCAAGAAAAAGTAAGAGATATTTTGGAATGAAAAAGCAGTACCTTTTGAGGGACTATAATAATGATTAACGTCTCTGTGTTCACTTTCTACTGTCATGAAAGATACAGATGCTTTTGTCTATTGCTCTCTTTTGAATTCTTTTACAGCTGTCAGTACAGAAAACTATACATGGACTATAAGGAAACACTGCATTTGATTTTATGACATGGACTTACTATTAGTCATCAGATTTCAAACAAATTTAGATTTACTCATTTGTTCACTTACTCCAGAATCATACTGAGTCTTTGTTTTAGGTGCTCAGTGTATCCAGTCCCCCTCACTACCCCTCAAACAGTTAAATGTGGCCCTTGACATCAAGGACTCAGAATAAAGAGAGGGAGAAGCATGTAATCAATTACAACACAAAGCAGAAAATACTGTAATCATAGAACATGAACTGACAAAATGTATATAGATTGTACGGGAAGACCACATCCAAGACGTACTGTGGAGACCCAAGCTGTATTAGCGGGAGATCTTCTGGTAGATGTGAGTTGGAAATTGAGTTGAAGATGAGATAAACAGTTCCAAAAAGGAACAGGATAGATATTTTCTCTTGGTTAAGAATAATAACATGAATAATAACATGAATAATAACAAGAATAATAACATGATGACTACTTTTAGTCATCATTTTTATATTTAATCTTTGTAGCCAGATTAATTTAAAACTTTTTTCCGTTTTGTATCTCATCTCTTGAGACTCATAGCAGCCACTCATGTACTCAATGACACAGTTTTAGCATTTTCTTAGTTGTATTACATAATTCCAAATTCTGTAACTTAAGGTAAAGTGAGTAAATAATACATTAATAACTTAGTTACTATGAGTTATATTTGGGAATAATAGCCCTTCCAAAGAGCTTATGAATGCTGCTCTCCAAAGGTTAGCAAGAGCATAAAAATTATGTGAGGGTTATTTTAGAAACTTTTACTCCTAAAAATTAACCATATCTTCAAAGACTGGACAAGAAATTGATTTTATTTGGGGAATGTATTAGTTTAGAAGAGAATGCATGTTAGTGAACTATTTGAGTGCCTTGCTCCACTCTGGCCCCAGTCTTTGGCATGTGGGACCTCTGTGGGATAATGAGCTGAGATAACTTTCTTACCTAACACTAAACACATGAGAACTTAGAAGATGTACTGATTCTGGCAGTTGCCAGTAATGTGGCATCAGACGTTTACTTACACTTCCTAGAGGAGTAGCAGTTTTCCTACCTGTAAAATCAGGGTTATGTTATCCTGTGGAGATGTGAAAATAAATTAATGTACACAGCAAAGGGCTCTATATACTACAGAGTACTTTGTCAAACTCCTAAACATTGAAGAGAATGTACAATGTGTAAGGAACCACTTTAGGATAGAGGAAGAAGCCACATGACACATAGTCACACAATGCCAGAGCAGTACCACAGATGCCATCTGATGTCTCTCGACTCAGGATTCATTCTACTACAGCATGTTGGGTTTCCTGTGAGTCTGTGTTGAAGAAATGGACCCAGAAATGTTGCTGTGTTAGCAGTTTGCCACTAAAAATGACCACTTAGGAAAAGCATATTTGTGGCCCGTCTGCTTTCATTGTGGGAGCTGTAAATGTAGAAGGAGATAAATTACTCCCCATTAATCTGTGCCTAACAGTGCACTTCTTTTAAAATTCTTAGAAGTATCTCGCATTTCATACTTAATACTATACTAATTCATGCTAATGACTTGAGAATTCCTAAGAGATGACTGAATTGTGCAAATGAGTAGCGATGCACATTAGAAAACAACATTATAAAATCAGGTATGTGAAATCCTGAGATGTACTTGCTTTATTTATTTTAACAAGGGCAGTTTACTTTCTGTAACTCATAATAAAGTACTACTGTGGAATAGAAAATGTACTAAAGTTGTTTTATTAAAGTAATAAAGCCTGAATAGGAGGCTTCACTAAAGCCCACCACCATTAAATTGTTATGAATATTGAGTTAAAGATGCCAGGTTATTGTATTTTTAATTTTCTGTATAAAATTCTATTTAAAATTTTGCACGTTTCAGAGAACATAAGGAATTTATGACTACTCTTCTTCCCTTACTTGTCTTTGGAATGAAAATATTTTTTGCAAATATCTGAAAAATTCCAAGCTGACATTTCTTTTCATTTGGCTAAGACGCTTGAGTAATACAACTGAGATCATGACCAAGTTTACAGAGGAGCTCTCTGCTGAGAATATATGCTGACTCTCACTAATTGCCCTTTTGCAAGCAGAAACCCGAGGCACAAGCAACATGAGGTCAATGGATGGTTTCAAGGAGGAACATCTATACTGTGTATATGTACTCTAGCCACCGAGCTCTTCCTGGTTGGTTCTGCCTACTCTTGGAGTTCATGTCCATCCACTCAGCTTTAGTATGGTTACAAGGTTTTGAAAATCAGAGCACATACCCTTTGCCTCCCCTGGGTTATCTCAGGGCTTATGATACATAGAAATGCGTAATACATGCTGTTGACCATATGAAGCTTGACTAATTTTATTCATCATGGCTAAAGAGGAGGGGAACCATATTTTTCCTTCTCTCGTACATTTTCTTTATCCTATAAGTTTTGGTGTAATATAAAGCTAGTGGATTACAGTGAGAAAGGAAAGAAGAATCAATACTATTAGCACCTGAGAAAAATACATAGAATCAACATTCTTGCTTACAATTTTAGTAAGGCACCACATGAGCATCACCACTTGTGGAAAAGTAACTTAAAGTGCAACTGACTGGCCATTGTGTTCTTTATTCCACATGATCAATAACTCTTCGTTAACAGTATGGAAGTTGAAGCTATACATAAATGATTTCTGTACTTTGTTTATACACCTTTGCCTTCCTTAAAATCATATTAAGCTGAATCGTACTACACTATTTTTCATTGAGTGAAAACCCAGTTTGTATGAAGAAGGTTATTGTTAGCTCTTCAGAACTTCTCATAGGCTATAACCCATATAAAATAAATAAATAAAAACAGCAAGTACATAACATATTTGGAGGCCAAATTTTCTTTTATTTATTCTTATTGGCATGGTATACAAGGAAATAGTTGGAATAAAGTAATATATGGCTCACATGTGTGCACTTGTTTTCATATTACATTTTATTTAACCTCTTTTTATTAAATGGATTGTGTTTTATCAATTGCTAGTGTTAGCTCACCTGTTACAAATTTAGAAATTTATAACACAAAAATATAGCAAGAAAGCATGAAACAGCATGAAATTATATTGTTATTATATATTTTCCCCATCTTCTCCTTCCTCTTTGCCCCTCCAATCTCTTATCTGGACTGCTCTGGCTCATTATATATTATGAATTCAAAAGTGGAAGTTGGCAGTTTGTGAATTTTGAACAGAGAGAGAAAACTTAAAACTTGTTTATGCCATGTGAAGTAATACAGTATGGCCAAGATTAGAAAGACAAAATCTACATGAAAGCAACGTTCCAAGCTCAGCTCTGGTCTAAAATATACAAGATAAGAGTTATTAGGTCTGGAATGTTCTTCTTGATGGTTTTTGGTAGCTTAGAGTCTGAGTTTTGTCTGAAAATTCCCAATCTGAGTCAGGCTTTTTCCTTTGCCAACATCCTTATTTCAGGTTATCTACCCCTACTAACATAGGTTATGCAGTGCAAGGTATCTTCATTCAAATTTCATCTTCACTATTTACTATTTGTATAATCTTTGGATATATTAATGATTTTAAGCCTTGGCTTCCACATTAGTTACGTGGAATTAATAATTTTTCTTTTTTTCTAGGAAATATATGGGAGAATACATGGTATATGGTAAATAAAGTCTTAAATTCGGGTGCTGGCATATTTTAATATTCAAAAAGTAATGCTTTTATTTCTTTCCATACATTGAGGAAGAAAAATGCTGGGTATTCATCCATTCCCTCACTCAGCCAATCAATTTAAAGTCTGTATTGTAGTCCAGTAGTGTATTAGATATAAGGAATAGAAATCAGGGGATCCAATCACTTTCCTAATGAAGCTTGCTGATTAATAGGGGACACAGATGTACGGACAACCTATTATAATGTAATGACACAGATGCTGAAAAACATATATATTCATATATATTTAATATATATGTGTGTGTATGCATGTGTGTGTATATATATGTATACCATATATATGGTATACATATACATACATATATATGGTATACATATACATACATATATATGGTATACATATACATACATATATATGGTATACATATACATACATATATGGTATACATATACATACATACATATGGTATACATATACATACATACATATGGTATACATATACATACATACATATGGTATACATATACATACATACATATGGTATACATATACATACATACATATGGTATACATATACATACATACATATGGTATACATATACATACATACATATGGTATACATATACATACATACATATGGTATACATATATATATACATACATATGGTATACATATATACACATACATATGGTATACATATATACACATATATATGGTATACATATATACACATATATATGGTATACATATATACACATATATATGGTATACATATATATACATATATATATGGTATACATATATATACATATATATACACACACACACACACATATATATATGACTATGGCCAGAGGAAGAAAAATGTCAGCTGATGTGTAAACAAATAACACAGAAAGACTTCTTGGAAAGATGATGCTTAATCTCTGTCTAGAATGTTGATGAAAAATGAATCAGGTAAAGAAGGGGTTGTGATGTCTTGAACATTCCTGGAAAATAATACAATGTCAAAAGCCACTGGTACCTAAAATTGCCTGGAGCTTGGAGAATGCCAAACACTTCCCACATGGCCAAAAGAAATCATTTTAGGACAGACATAGCTTTAAAAGTGGACTATTTCATGATATTTCCATTGTTTAACAATATTTGAGTAAACAACAAAGAAATCAGCTGCTCTCAAAGATATAAGCTGGGCCAGCTCTTAGCTTGTGTGAAGTTATTTATTTCCTGTGTCTTTGAGGAATTGCACTAAGGTGGACTCAAACAGCTAAAATTATTTTATCTTGTTTCATGTACATAAAAATGTGTAATACTTGTCAAGATGGGTAGAAACTATGTTCTATGAAGCCAATATATGGTGAATACAATTTCTCTTTACCATGACAATAAAAGCTATGTTGGCAAAAGGTATGGTTTCTATCTCTAATCATAGCTTTTACAAAATAAACCATTTTAATTAGCTTATGATGGAATTTTGACAAGAATTTAAATACAACTTGTTTTTTTATTTAAAAAAATTTTATGTTGTATTTCACACTGATGGGTCCCAGTAAGTCTATTAATTGCTGTGAAAAGTGGTAGATATTTTATAGGTAGTTATAATTTTACTATGGCTGTGATTCAATAAACAAGAAACAAAAACATGTTGACTCTGTTGTCATTGCTGTGAATTTTCTGTGGAGTTTACACTTTCATTGTGTGTTCCATTTTTACTTGGTGGACTTTCTCTGACTTCTTTAGGTTATATTTAAGATAAGTAACTTAGAACTGCCAGTGGGGTTTCTAAAAAGGTAGTATTATGGTTTGGGACACTGGAAAAAATCATAGTTCCTATTTTGTCGCATCAATTTTCTAATAATATCTAGCATTTTGATAAGTATTTTGATAAAGATTTCTCCATTTGACATTTAATTTTAAAATATTTTCCTTTCACAAGGACATGTGTAAGCAAATTTGCTTTGAGTCTCTGTGGGGATTAGTTCTGTATTTCCAGAAGTCACATAAATAGAGGGTGGTAGAGGGGTCAAAGTGGTCTCCTTCATAGAACTGATTAGATAAATATTTAACTTACTTAGGAGTAAAAGCTGATTAAAACAGTATTGTTTAAAACCAGATATATGTGCTCTGAAGTTTCTGTAGTTATTTTTATATGTTTATATAATGTAATCACATATTTTCATGAAATTTTTTGAGGTAAATTTTATTTCAGCATTTCTTTGCTAACTTTGTCAATATGTTGAAGCAAATGTTACTCTTAAAAGACATTTAAAAAGGTATATTTTGTTTTATTTTGATTTTCACAATCCATTTCACTTATTTTCGACTTTACAAAATTAAAATATTCCAAATGATTCCAAAGTGTTTAAAGAAAATTTATTCATCTCCTTTGACCCATTAAAAATACATGTATGTGTTTGTGTATGAATATATATGACAGAATGCATTTTCTCTCACTAATCTATTGTTACATAAGAATTAAAATTCTCTTGCTAATCTATTTTTACATAAGAAAGAATTAAAACACTTTCTCTTAAAAATACACAACTAAAAGTTTCTCTTAAAAGTATGCAACCAGTGTTCCAGTCTATGTGTTATTAAGAATTTAGAATTGAATAGAGTGCAATATTGAGGGCCACTATCTAACATTGTAGATAACTGTTGTACTGCTTCTGATTCTCTAAGTAAATCAAGTGCAAATTATTCAAATTAATGTTCTAAGTATTCTTTGAAATGCATACATCAAAATAGATTACATATGACAATTATATGGACTCTGTTATAAAAGAGGTACTCTAAACTAAACTCAGATTATGGTTTCTAAAGTAGTAACTGAACTTTATGAACTAGAAGTTAGAGGCAGTTATACCAGTATTTGTGACAGCAACTCTGAGATTATCATTTTGCATAATATGCTGCATGTCATCAGTAGCATAATGCTTGAGCCTCAGGGTCTCTCATTTGTGCAAGACCCTTTGGAGGCCTGTACCTTAGTAGAGGTACTGGCTTCTGCAACAGTATCTCCTGAGAGTGTGTTAGAAATGCAATGCCACAGGTATCACCCCTAAACTAATCAAATTCTGCCTTTTCACAAGATCTCCATGTGATTCATGTGCACATTAATGTTTAAGAAGGACTGTTCTAACTGCACTATTATTGATAAAAAATAATGCATAGCAGATAGTTGAAATTCTTAATGAAATGTAAACATCTTTTGCCAAAACACAAAAGTTTCAAATAACTCTTAGGGAAATCCTTTGGTCCATAAACCAATTTATAAAATCTATGATGGAAGAATAATATTTTGAGACATTAAACAATATTTACTGTTTTCGTCTATACTTCCTGTATTTCCTCTTTTTCCATCACTCTCCTTCAAACAGTAGGTAGATATTAATATGTGCATTGCCTTAAGGGTGAAATGTGATATTCTACAAAGCTGAAATTTTATGATCATAGTGTTCCAAAGGCTAAGCCCTCAGGTCAGAGGTCTCAAAATTATGATCTGCAAGCTAAATGCATCCCACAGATGTGTTTTGTCAGTAAAGTGTTTGTCCAGTTTATTTTTAAATTTGGACATATGTAGACAAATGGAGTCCACTATACCTGGCTCCAGTGGCATGGAAAGAGGATTGGGGATCCCTTAAAAGGCCAAGGTTAAACTTTCTCATCAAATTAACTGTGTGGAAGCCAAAATAAAAATTTAGAGAAATTATAAAGTTATCAATAGCTAACACATAGCACTTCAAATGTGCTAAGCATTGTTCTAAGCACTTACTAAATTATTTAATCTCCACAACAACCCCATAAGATAGATGCTATGATTATGACCATCCCAATATGAGGAAACTGAGGTATAGAAAGATGCTTATTTGCCAAAAGTTCCGCAGCTAGTGCAATATATGACAGAGTTGAATTTTGAACATAAGTAATATTATGGTGTCAGTCCTTGAAAAACTATGTTAGACCTACAGTTATATTTCCTGCACATAAGAAGTTCTGGGCTCATGTTTTTGAATCTGACATGTGCTTCTTCTCCTTTATAGTGCAGTGTCTATAGTAGAGGAATCCAGCACTATTGCAGTCCTAGTGATTCAATAGAAATGACACACAGAACACTGGGCTGCAGTAGAAGTTACTTTCTACATAGCTGGTAGATCCTTGATGCTGTTGTGTCTTCCCCAGTCTAAAGATACAAAAGGAAGTGAGCTTATAGCCGTGAACTGCTCAGCTTGCTGGAAGTTTGCTTTGTACACAGAGCAAGGCCCTGGAGAGATCCTGGAGAGCTGGGCCTGCTCACTCAGGTACTTACAGAATATTTATCTTCTACAGTACATATTTTCTGGTTCATTAGTAAGCACAGTGAGAGTAACCTTGAACCAAGCCCGAGTTGTCATGTTTTCCAGTCTTGCACCATGCACAGGCCTTTTGCGGTCTGGACTAGCTTAGCACTCCTTTTGTGCATCTGTACAGTTTGCTTCCTATTTCTCATCTAATTTATTTTTTAGATTTTAAATTATTTTGTCTCAATTGCTATGCTTCTAATTTGGTGTTTCTGTTTCTAAAGTTTTTGGGTTTTTAAAGTATTTTTATTGCTGTATCATGGTTGTACATACCTTCAGAGTACATGTGATATTTTGATACATGTATACATTGTGCAATGATCAAATCAGTATAATTGGGATATCCCTTGTCATAAACATTTATCTTTTTTTTGCATTGGGAACATTACACTTCTTCTAGTTATTTTGAAGTATACAGTAAATTATTGTTAACTATAATTTTCTTACTGTACAATCAAATACTATAACTTATTCCTTCTATCTAACTGTATTTTTACACACATTAAACAACTTCTCTTCATCCGTTCTCCTGCTGATTTCCCTTTCCAGCTTTTGGTAACCACTATTCTATCTCTGCTTCCATGCAATCAACTCTTTTTTAAACGTTTTTCTTATGTTTAGGGTACATGTGCAGGATTGTTACATAAGTAAACTGTGTGTTGTCGGGGTTAGGTGTACAGATTACTTCATCACCCAGGTAATGAGCATAGTACCTGATAGGCATTTTTCTTTGATCCTCTCCCTCTTCCCACCCTCCACCCTCAAATAGACCCCAGTGTTCTCCTGTTTGGGTCCACATGTTCTCGCTGTTTACCTCACACTTATAATTTAGAATATATAGTATTTGGTTTTCTGTTCTGCATCAGTTTGATTAGGATAATGGTCTCTAGCTCCATCCATGTTGCTGCAAAGAACATTATCTCACTTTTTATGGTTGTTTAGTATCCCATGGTGTATATGTACCATAATTTCTTTATCCTGTCTACTGTTGATGGGCATTGAGGTTGATTCCGTCTTTGCTATCGTGAAGAGTGCCGCAATAAACATATGTGTGTATGTGTCTTTACAGTAGAATAAATTATATTCCTTTGGGTATATACCCAGTAATAAGACTGCCAGGTTGAGTGGCAATTCTGTTAGGGCACATATGCAGGATTGTTATATAGGTAAACTGCATGTTATGGTTGGTTGGTGTACAGATTTGGGACTGCAGATATCTCTTTGATATATACTGATTTCCTTTCTTTTTCCCCATGCATTTTAGCATGTGAAATTTAGTGAAAGAACATTATACTATAAAACAAGTTATACAGTAAGACTACAGCAAATTTATTGTATCAGAAAGAAAGGCAGAGAAGACTGGTGTAAGGGCAGGTCAGTTTGAGATTTGGTGGTGTCCTGATGAAGTGGCCTTGGACTTTACTGTTACAGTGAACTCCTTCCCACTTCCAGCTGCTGGTCCCGGCATCTCCTTGCCTGAGGGCTTTCTCCAGCTGCTCAAAGATGTTCTGCTTGAATGTGAGGGGCCAGAACTACCTGGGAATTAGGACTCTACAGCAGCAGTCCTTGATTTCTCATTTTATTTGGAGGAACCTGTATACAAGGACATCTTTACTCCCATTCCATGGGAAGGAGGTGACTTATCTGACTGGTGATTTTGGATTCAGTCCTGTCCTTTCTTTCTCTTCGGAAGCCATTTGGTCAACAGGAAGTACATAGGCTGGTTTCCTCTGTGGCTTTTGGTCAGGCCCTCGGGAAGAGATCTGGTCATGCCAATGTCTTCATTGAAAGAAATATCTAATTCAAGGATGAAGTTTGTATCTGTATATCTTGCTTTCTGACTTTTGCCTCTATCTCTCATTTTGTTCTGAACTCATGAAGGAAGAGGGAGGTCATTAACTATTTTGATAAAGCTGTAACATTTGGCATTTCAGAAGATAAGGGGAAAAAGAATAATAAGAAGAGGGTAAAGAAAAGGGTAAAAAATCAGAAAATTGTCAAACTCGCTGAAGTTAAATCCAGTTGACACTTAGAATAAAATAAAATGAAATAGAAATTATTTGCCATAGCCTAAAAGGCATATGTACTTCTGCACTTCATCTCCCTTTTCTCTTCATGTTCATACTATGAGAGTCATAGTGTTTTTTTGAACATGCTGAGCTTGTTCCTAACTCATGGTCTTTCTACTTGCTGTTTTCTCTACTTAAAACTCTTCATTTATTTAACAAATGATTATTGAATACCTATAGCATACCAGTGCTGTTCTAGTTATTGGTCATCTCTCAATAAACAGAACAAAGATTTCTGCTAAATTTACAAGTTAGCCGAGGGCCTGAGGCAAGAAAAGGTAAGAAATTAAAAACATAAATAAATAAATGAATAAGTCATCTGATATATCAGAAAAGCATGCTTTAGAAAAAGAAAAAATGTGTAGCAGGTTAAGAGGATCAGGAACACCTGGGTTTTGGGAAGCATGTTGAGATTTTAAGTAGTGGGAGTTGAGCAGGTGGGGGTAGGCCTCATTGAAATGGTAGGATTTGAAGGAAATCAGAGAGCCATAAAGCTATCGAGGGAAGAGTTCTAGATAGAGAGGACAGTCATTTCAAAGCCAATACAAAGGCTAGTGGCACTTGCCTGCTGTGTGCTAGCCAAGTAGGCCTATGTGACTGGAACAGAGTGAACCAAGGGGAGAGTAAAAGGAGTTGTGGCTACAGAAATGGCAGAGCCCTTTCTTGCTGGAGGACATTCTAACAGCCATGATGAGTTGTGGCTTTTACTCTGAGTGAATTGAGAGATATTTTAGGGCTCTTTTCCTAGATATTCACAGTTCCTATCATTCCATTCTTAGCCCTGATTTCATCTCTTCTGAAAGCTCTCCCCTGACCACCTTATGTAGTTGCCTTTTCATCCTATTTTTTATTCACTTCCCTTGATGTTTCTTTCATATATATTTGTTACTAAAATTATTTTATGTATTCATTGACTTTTGTCTGCCTATTTTGTTTATAGATTTTCTTCACTAGAAGGCAAAGTCCAGGAGGATATTAATTATGTCTTGTTATTTCTATATCCCCAGATCTTAGAACATATGCCTGACATATAGTAGGCTCTCAGTAAATATTTGCTAAATGAATAGTTGTATTGAAATGGCAATAATCACCTTATATGTGTATTTTATCCAGGAACATTCAACTGTTCAGAACTAGCCTTAGAAAAGTAAGAAGATAATTAGGCCCACACAAGTTTGGATTTGTGTGTGGAAGAAGACACATGCATAGGAGTAAAGGATGTTTTTAAAAGGATGATTTTAATAGTTAACTATGGAATTTAAACTAGTCATGATGGCAAGTGAAGATGAACATAGTGATGGATAATGAAAACTTATGAAAGTCAAGGGACTTGCGGTCTTGAGGAGTCAAAGCATTGATGTAAGATTGCTAGAGTTGGAAGCTGGAGAGCCTGGTGGTGTTGTTTATAGTGGGCTTTCTGAAATTAAAAGATCTTGTTAATTTTCCCTTGTTAACTGTGAAGACACTCCAAGTGGTCTCTCTGCCTTTAGTATTTTCTCCCTTTAATCTGCCCATTCTACCCCAGTGTGTTTACTTCTCTAAAATGCAACTCAGATATACCATCAACTCCTTATAAAATTCCCTCAACAAGTCCTCACATCTCTGAAACTGATTCTCTTGACTTGCAAACACCTTCTTGATGTGGACTTTGCCTAATTTTTTTCTTCAACATTTTCTCATGGAGTTTCACCCGAGTCACTTAGGTGCAGATAAAAATGACCCGATGTTACATATTGTGCAACATGACTTTGCACATACATTTCTTCTGCATTTAAAGCATTCTTTCCCTATTTTTTTTTCCCAATAAACCCTAAGTATCCTAAGACTTAAGTGGTTTCTTCTTCCATGAAGCCGCCTTTACCATCTGCAGAGTTAATGTCTCTATTCCCTGCTCTACTTTTGCATCTCATCTATTTTTTCTAATTTTTTTATTATGCATATTGTCATAATATGCCTTCTCCTCTGTAAAGCAGCGATCCTAAGGAAATGGAAAGACTGAATTTTGTTTTAATATCGATGAATCTTATTCCCTCAATAAATATTTCTTTGAATGAATGCATGCATAAATGGAAGACTAAACTAATAAACTTGTTAGGATAGTTAACAGTGACTTCCAAAGATGCTTTTTGTTTATTTCAGTACAGGCCAGAGACAGATATTAAATTGTTTGCTGCCAATGGTAGCTTTATTGCTTCTTGCTATTCTGGAATAATTGAATTTTAACATTTCCTTGGAAAATATTGTAGTGTTATGTAACTTGGTGATGCGGGCTCTTTTTTGGTTCCATATGAACTTTAAAGTAGTTTTTTCCAGTTCTGTGAAGAAAGTCTTTGGTAGCTTGATGGGGATGGCATTGAATCATCATCCTGATAATAAAGCCGGGCAGAGACACAACCAAAAAAGAGAATTTTAGACCAATGTCCTTGATGAACATTGATGCAAAAATCCTCAATAAAATACTGGCAAACCTAATCCAGCAGCACATCAAAAAGCTTATCCACCATGATCAAGTGGGCTTCATCCCTGGGATGCAAGGCTGGTTCAATATACGCAAATCAATAAATGTAATCCAGCATATAAACAGAACCAAAGACAAAAACCACATGATTATCTCAATAGATGCAGAAAGGCCTTTGACAAAATTCAACAACCCTTCATGCTAAAAACTCTCAATAAATTAGGTATTGATGGGACGTATTTCAAAATAATAAGAGCTATCTATGACAAACCCACAGCCAATATCATACCGAATGGGCAAAAACTGGAAGCATTCCCTTTGAAAACTGGCACAAGACAGGGATGCCCTCTTTCACCACTTCTATTCAACGTAGTGCTGGAAGTTCTGGCCAGGGCAATTAGACAGGAGAAGGAAATAAAGGGTGTTCAACTAGGAAAAGAGAAAGTCAAATTGTCTCTGTTTGCAGATGACATGATTGTATATCTAGAAAACCCCATCGTCTCAGCCCAAAATCTCCTTAAGCTGATAAGCAACTTCAGCAAAGTCTCAGGATACAAAATCAATGTGCAAAAATCACAAGCATTCTTATACACCAATAACAGACAAACAGAGAGCCAAATCATGAGTGAACTCCCATTCACAATTGCTTCAAAGAGAATAAAATACCTAGGAATCCAACTTACAAGGGACGTGAAGGACCTCTTCAAGGAGAACTACAAACCACTGCTCAATGAAATAAAAGAGGGTACAAACAAATGGAAGAACATTCCATGCTCATGGGTAGGAAGAATCAATATCGTGAAAATGGCCATACTGCCCAAGGTAATTTATAGAGACTCTCCTTTTATTATCTCATTCTGAAGCACTTCTCTTTTAAGTATTCATGTATCCCAATATGGTTCATTTTGAAATACAAAATTTATTTTACTTTAAGGCTCACATGGTAATTACATAGAGTTCTGAATCTCTGCAATTCCCCAAATTTTCATCTTCAAAGTACAGAGAAACATTTTCCAAACTTTGTTCAATAAAACATCAGAATCCCTCTGTTAAATTTGGAAACAATGAGATAGTTTGTCTTACTTTAGGATACCAATAATGGATTAAACCATCTTAAGGACTATAAAAATATCCTACTGTAAATAAACCAGCATAATTTTATGTAAAACAGTGTTTACACATTTTAAAGGCTATAATCTCTTTATTTTTTCTTAAAATTATTAGTTATGGTTATAAGTAAGTGCTGTAAAAAGTATAATTGGAAAATGTTGTGATTTCTTTAGTTCTACTAATGCTGTTATTAATACTCCCAAGATACTTGCAACACCACAACCAAATGAGTTAAAGTTCTCTCCATGCCTACTTTGCAAAAAATGACTTTTGCAGCTGCCTGGAAATGAATATCATTCCTTTCTTTTCAGCAATGGTGGGTAGTTATGTAAACCACCTTGACTTTAGAACAGAATGAATTTTAGAGTAAGTAATACTTCACTCAATCTTCTTTGTTTAATCAAAAGAATTATTTTGGTTACTTTAGTTCATACTTAATTTGTGTTACTTTATGGATACTACAGGCAGGGCATTGTCATTTAATTATGACATGCAAAGCTTTACTATTTGAGATTACTGAATTGACTGGTTGATTAAAATTATATGTCAATATTTACATCTATACATTTATGTCTACATGCATGCAAACATGTAATAATAGTGATTATAAAATATCTACTAAGTGCCAGGCAAGACAGGCAAACCAGGTCATTGTCTTCAAGGGTTTTAGAATCTATGTATTCAGTATGTGCCTACTTGTCTCTAGATTGCGTTTTCACAGAAACTTCCACACTTTTTTTTTAACTAGGATAGAAGTGGATGCTCACCTAGATATTGAAGGAGAGTCCTAGAACTAACATTTTAGCATAGAGAATAGCCCAGTAGAAACCCACTCATAAAAGCAATTGGTCAAAAAAGACTCAAACTTCTTTTTTGCTGCCAGCAGCTAGGGTGAGACAAGTGATACTCATGTGGCTGTGCCATCCTCTCGTTTCACCTAACTAAGAAGTTGAAAGAACTCTACAAGGAAAACTACAAAACACTGCTGAAAGAAATCGTAGATGATACAAAAAAATGGAAACACATCCCTTGCTCATGGATGGGTAGAATCAATATTGTGAAAATGATCATAATGCCAAAAGCAATCTATAAATTTAACGCAATTTCCCTCAAAATACCACCATCATTCACAGAACTAGAAAAAACAATCGTAAAATTCATATGGAACCAAAAAAGGGCCCAGGTAGCCAAAACAAGACTAAGCAAAAAGAACAAATGTAGAGACATCACATTACTGAACTTCAAACTATACTATAAGGCTGCAGTCACCAAAAAAACATGGTACTGGTATAAAAATAGGCATATAGACCAATGGAACAGAACAGAGAACCCAGAAATAAAGCCAAATACTTATATCCCACTAATCTTCAACAAAGCAAACAAAAACATAAAGTAGGGAAGGGACACCCTACTCAACAAATGGTGCTGGGATAATTGGCAAGCCACATGTAGAAGAATGAAACTGGATCCTCATTTCTCACCATATACAAAATCAACTCAAGGGGGATCAAAGACTTAAATCTAAGACCTGAAACCATAAAAATTCAAAAGATAACTTCTGAAAATCCCTTCTAGACATTGGTTTAGGCAAAGACTTCATGACCAAGAACCCCAAAGCAAATGCAACAAAAAAGTAAATAGATGGGATCGAATTAAGGTAAAAAGCATCTGCAAAAGAAATAACGAGCAGAGTTAACAGACAACCCACAAAGTTGTAAAAAAATCTTCAAAATCTATACGTCGAGAAAGGACTAATATCCAGAATCTACAAGGACCTCAAATTAACAAAAAACCCCAAAAATCCCATCAAGAAGTGAGCTAAGGACATGAATAGGCAATTCTCAAAAGAAGATATACAAATGGCTAACAAGCATGTGGAAAAATGTTCAATGTCACTAATTATCAGGGAAACACAAATCAAAACCACAATGGGGTACCATCTCACTCTTGCAAGAATGGCCATAATAGAAAAATAAAAAAATAATAGATGTTGGCATGGTTGTGGTGAAAAGGGAACACTTTTACACTTGGTGGGAATGTAAACTGGTACAACCACTGTGGGAAACAGTGTGGAGATTCCTTAATGAACCAGAAGTAGATCTACCATTTGATCCAGCAATCCCACTCCTGGGTATCTACCCAGAAGTAAAGAAGTCATTATATGAAAAATATACTTGCACACACATATTTATAGCAGCACAATTTGCAATTGCAAAAATATGGGACCAGCCCAAGTGCCCATCCATCAACCAGTGGATAAAGAAAATGTAGTATGTATATACCAGGAAATACTACTCAGCCATTAAAAGGGACCAAATAATGGCATTTGCAGCAACCTAGATGGTATTGGAGACTATTATTCTAAGTAACTCAGGAATGGAAACACCAAACATTGTGTGTTCTCACTCATAATTGGGAGCTAAGTTATGAGGACAGAATGGTACAAGAATGATACAATGGACTTTGGGCCTCAAAGGAAAGGGTCAGTGTGGGGAGGGATAAAAGACTACATAGTGGGTACAGTATACACTTCTTGGGTGATGGATACGCCAAAATCTCAGAAATCACCACTAAAGAACTTATTCATGAAATCAAATACCACCTGTTCCCCAAAAACGTATTGAAATAAATTTAAAAAAAGAATTTAGGATCATGGTGTAGTATGCAGAGCAGTAGAGGAGTTCAGTGGTGATGCCCAATGCAGGATCCTAGACTGACTCTTAGTAAGAATTGGGGGTGTACTTTCTGCTGCCTAGTTACTACCCTCCCATCACCACCTTTGTTCCCACCCATTTCCTGGACCAGTTCACTGACTATTCAATTCTGTCACATACCTTGTATCCTTAACATGATTCTTAAACTATAATTGTTTGTGTATCTTCCAGTAAAGAAGGCTGATTGATAAACCTATTGTGAAAAGCCTAGAGTAGAGGGAAAAAAGAGGAAAATAAATGTGCCCAGAAAGGAACATCTCACTAGCTATAAGAATTAAAACCTCAAAAGCATATCCCCAGCTACCAAGGGGGATTTGAATTACAGTATTTGAAATGAAGTAAAATATTTAGTTTCTGTAATTTCTCCTCTAAGAGGGATTGAAAACCATATATACATACAAAATACACATACTCATTACACTGATTCTCTTGGAATTCTCTGACATTGATAAGAACAAGGATAGTGGTAAAATTTCATATTTATAATGCCTAGGTAAGGTTAATTTTATTTTCATAGCTCTATATAATCAAATTCAATTAAATAAAACTATAATAAAATTATTCTATTACTGTACCTTATGCTTCTTAAAAGGAGAAATTTTAATTTTATATTTTATTTTCTCTATGCTTAACAATATTTTGTACAATCTCTGTGTGTAGAGACAACTCTGTTAGATTGCATCAGCTTCCCTTTTCTTGAATATTTTGGTTGAGTAAATAGGCCAAAGGTGTATTGCAGAAGATGAATTGTAATTTTGGAATGCATTCTGTCCCTTCTCTCTTCCCTTACCAATCCCAGTATCCCCTCCCCATTATGTTTGTGTTATTACTTAAAGTGTCTTCATTCTCATACTAATGTTAGCTGTGAAACTTCAAGTCCCTTCTGAATCTTCCAACTCCTTGGCCCCTATTTTTAGTTAGTTGCAAAATGATATAGATGCAAGCCTTCACTGGAGCTTGACTGGTCCTCTTTTATTCTAACTGGCCTTTATAACTTTCTTACTAGGCACCTACAATAAGTACATGGCTTTTCCTCCTTATTTTATCTAACAGCTTACATTTGTGGTTTGTCACTTCAATTCCTTGAAAACATGCTCCCTATTTTAGCATCTATGGTCTTTCACCATATGACTTAAACCGCATTTCTAAGTTGACAGTCCTTAGTAATTTCTCTGTGATTTTCATGTCCAATATTGAAAGTAGCCCATGAATTTAAGCACATTTAAAAGTTACCACTTCTGTGATTTTTTTCTCGTGCTGCTCCTCTTGCCAGAGTTCAGAATGACCAATACGTATAAATTGCTTACTATGTTCCAGGCTCTCCATGAGCTTTTGGCACGTTTTATCTCAATGTTCATAAAAATCCTATGAAATAGAAATGGAAATTATGCTTATTTTACAACTAAAGGAACTGAGACGCAAATCACATAAGTCACATGCTCACAGCTGTACAGCTAATAAGTGAAAAAGATCCAGAATCTGACCATAGAGAGTCTAAACCAGCAACAATACCTAATTAATGAACATATGTTAAGTAGATAAAGGTATTTAAGAGATCACGTTCTTTGATTTGTCATGGTTACCATTCAAAATGAATAGTAAGATATCATATTATTATTGACAATGATAATAAAGAAAAGAAAAAAAGGCCTTATCTTTTATTTACACAAGTTTTACTTGTTCTCTAAGGTCTATGCCAAGTGATTCTCCTTCACAATTTCCTGTCCTTTTTCTCTGGATGAAATCCATCCCCTTTTCGATCTCTTATAACTCCTTTCTCATGTTTCTCTGATCCACTGTGGTTTATTCTTTCATGGATTGGAGCTCTTCTAGAGGCTCATATCCTTGTGTTATGTTTCTGCTAGGCTGTCAGCTTCTTAAGCATGACTTCTCATTCTGTGGTTCTCTTGAAAAGAGTAGGTGCCCCCAAAATATTTATTATTAGCATCAAGCTCTTATGAACACAGAATTACAAACAAAAATGGCTAAACTTAAATTATCTGTGATATCTTTGATGTCTAAAATTGAAGCATTGTTATTTTTAAAGAAATTCTCACACTACAAATGTATATTTTATTTTTTATTTACATGTTGAAAAAATATTCTGCATGTTCTTTTCTTATGTTCATGGTTAAAATATGGAGTTGCTGTTTCAGTTTTCAAAAAGGTTATTGCTTTTATGTATCCAGCTATAATTTTTATCTCAGGTTGCAGTTATAATTTGCAGGAAGACATTAAGACCAGTTTTCATATGATCAAATAATCAGGAAGAGTGCAAAATTATCCGTGTGCAAAGGGCTGAAAAAACCCATGAAAATACGGGGGTCCTGACTTGATGGTTTCAGATAGTGCCTGTTTTTCAAGGCACTTGCTGAAAGTGCCTTGAAATTTAAGCAACATTTCAATAAAAAATAGCAACACAGTCAAATAGGCATTAATCAATGGGGGACTAGAAGCAGGAAAGCAGCTATAACTCTATTTAGACAATAAGTATGCTGAAATGAGGATCAGGTAGCTGGGTGAATGCCTTTTATTTTATTTTTTTTTTCTGTTTATGATCACTTGGTGCATAGCAAGGGTACCACGGAGTATAGCTGTGAAGCTAATTTCCACTCTTTCTGATAATGTGTGGTTTCTCAAATTGATCTGACAAATGTGGATAAATAAAAAAGTGTATTTATTTGTCCTTGCAATAGTTTACTGAAAATGATGATTTCCAATTTCATCCATGTCCCTACAAAGGACATGAACTCATCATTTTTAATGGCTGCATAGTATTCCATGGTGTATATGTGCCACATTTTCTTAATCCAGTCTATCGTTGGACATTTGGGTTGGTTCCAAGTCTTTGCTATCGCAAGGACAAAAAACCAAACACCGCATGTTCTCACTCATAGGTGGGAATTGAACAATGAGAACACATGGACACAGGAAGGGGAACATCACACTCTGGGGACTGTTGTGGGGTGGGGGGAGGGGGGAGGGATAGCATTAGGAGATATACCTAATGCTAAATGACGAGTTAATGGGTGCAGCACACCAGCATGGCACATGTATACATATGTAACTAACCCGCACATTGTGCACATGTACCCTAAAACTTAAAGTATAATAATAATAAAAAAAAAGGTGTATTTATTTTACGGTGTTATAGTAGGAAAGGTGTTATCCACAGGATAATGGATAAATACACATTATTTCTACTATTTAGTTTCATTGTGTTCCTGGCATCTGCTAGAGGGTAAGAATACTGTGGGCCATTTCTTTCTTTGATGTTATACTATATTGAAAAAAAGAAAGAAAAATAAATGCTAACATGGGTTACTACAGTAGAGTTATACTTTAAGTTGTATGACATTTGCTTTTGTGAAGCCCTTATGTTATCCTGTTTCTTCCCCAAGCCTTCTCCTTAGTACTCCCAGGATTAGAAACTTCCCAATGGCAGGAATATTTTGCTTTTTAAAATAAGATATTTAACAACGTATTTTATTTCCTTCTTACATGTCACATGTCTTTGCAAAGTTATTTAAACATCAAGGTTTTGTAGAAATAAAAGGAGAGAATTAAGATAAGTGAAAGCAAGGAAAGAGGAAGATCAAAAAGAGTTCCCTGATAGAAGAAAAATCGCCTTGACATTTCCAAAGTGTTGAGAACAGGGCTCAACAAATAGGACACATTCTGGAAATGGGTCTATCCAGCCACATCTTAGAGAGAACAATGGAGCCCTCTCATTATTGGGCAATTTATGGTGACCTTGAAGAGCTATACTCCCTTGGAAAGTTCCTCCTGTTGTCAGACCTTGAGGAGCAGAGGTGCAGTGGTAAATCACAGGAGCACTATTGTGGGATACTGGGCTGTGTGGCACCAGGGACAGGTTTGGTGGAAGACAATTTTTCCATGGACTGCAGCAGGGAGGGATGTTTTGGGGATGATTCAAGCACATTGCATTTATTGTGCACTTTATTTTTTATTAATATTACATTGTAAAATATAATACAATGAAATAATTATGCAACTCACCATAATGTAGAATCAGTGGGAACCCTGAGTTTGTTTTCCTGCAACTAGATGGTCCCATCTGGGGGAGATGAGAGAGACAGTGACAGATCACCAGGCATTAGATTCTCATAAGGAGTGTACTACTCAGATCCCTTACAAGCACAATTTACATAGGGTTCGTGCTCCCATGAGAATCTAATACCACCACTGATCTGACAGGAGGCAGAGCTCAGGCGGTAAAGTGAGTGATGGGGAGTGGCTGTAAATACAGATGATGCTTTGCTCACTAGCCTGTAGCTCACTTCCTGCTGTGTGGCCCAGTTACTAATAGGACACAAACCAGTACTGGTCCATGGCCTGCGGATTGGGGATCCATGCTGTAGATTGATGTGAGCATCTTATACTAGGCAGACCAGAGGTGGGCTGGGAGGTTGAGGTATTAGTGATCATCAGATGGCAGAATTTGGACTGAAATGTTATTACAGTTTCACTTGTTCAGCTGATATCTCCAAAGTATTGGTCTTGGGAAACAAGAATTAAGCTCATTCTTATGCTTTAAATGGTTTGTCCTATACATTTCTCTAAAACATGCCATTACTTTGATGCATTCAGTGATTCAAAGCTTGAGTTAGAATACTAAAAAGTGAGGTTGCCAGTGCAGTATTAAAAAATAGAAACTATTTAAGAGACAACTCCTACAAATAGGTGACCAACTGTCCTGCTTTCCTGGGAACTGTCCTAGTTTTTGCACTGCAAATCCCACATCCCAAGAAACAGCGCAGTCTCTGGCAAACTAGGACTAAACAGATGCTTGAAGATTAAAATGCCTGTAGTTTCAGAGGTAGTTTTTTTTGTTTTCCCCTCAAGAAGCCTTTTATCTTAAGCATCCTCTAACATAGGTAGTGTTTTCTCAATTTCAAGACACTGCTGCTGGTCCATCTGTTTAGACAGGTTTTCCTCCACTGATAGGGGAGATAAACTACTGTTATTTCTCCTTTGCATTTATGAGGCTCTTTTCTCTGTACGCATAAAATGCTTTCTAAATATCTCATTAATCCTCACAACATTCCCGTTGGTAGGGGAGCAAGCATTATAACTTCAGGTAGTGAAGATTCTTGTCACTCTAATAATGGCATTTTATTACTTAGCTTAATGTGATTTTATTGTGGATGCCTGGAAGTTTGAAATAGAGTAGTTTTTGCAAATGGAAATAGTAAATAAACAAAAAACAATCATCTTGGACATAAATGCCTTAGGTTAAATGTTAAAGTTTGACGTTGAAGTTTGAGATATGAGAACACATAGTGCCTTCTTTTCCATTTTTGATTTACATTCAGCTTTTCTATTTTGTTAGTTTAGTTAGATAGCTTAACATTGCTTGTTTTCTATGGAAATGCTTAAGACTTCTCACATCTTTAGTATGCTTTAATGTGGAAGCATGCAATTTTAGAGCTGGAAGGGATTCTAGAGTTCATCCAATAGTCTATATTAATAATTCAAATTATCAATTCCTTTTTTAAGTTAGGAGGGGCAGTATGTTACAGTGGCAAGATTTCTGGAGTGAGTTTCCACATTGTTTTTGCCCCTGCCAGGCTGTGGGACTGTCAGGAAGTCCCTTACTCACTCTCAGACTAGGATTTTACATCTTGAAGATGAAGGGGTTGAACAAAGTAATTGCTGAGGTTGTCTCCAGTTCTGAAATGATAAAGACCAGATGCTTTGGTAGTTTGTAACTCACCTGGGGTCACAGAGTCAAGACCCTTATCCATGTCTCTGAATCCCTGTTCCAATCCAACTCCCACAAACAATCTATTCTCGTGATTTTTAAAATTATTTACGTAATAATCCTTCTATTTCACCTCCCCCGAAATAAAACCATATTGAATATTTTCCCTGTATTTTTTTGCTGGTATCTCCTGAGATTGGAAACACAATCAAACTTGCTTAGTAGGACACCTGTGTTCATAGACCACCTGCCTAAACAAATTTGCCAAGCACCGATTATATTTCCTAGAGGTGCACTGCATCTTGTGGCCACCTGCTTTATGGGTCTGTGAGCAGCTCATCAAGTGCATTAGGTGGGAAAGTCAGAATTTTTAGGAGGAGAGTAATAAAAACCACAATCCCCCAAATTTGTAGAAAATTAGACCTTTAAAATGACAAGAATATTTGTTGATTGCAAAAAATTCACTTAGCATAACTTGTGGCTTCAGAAGTTCACAAATCAAATTGCAAATAGTAATTCTGACCTCCTTATACTGAGTTTTTTCCTTTTATTTGTATTGGAATAAACTTTTCCTTCCAAGTGGCAAAAATTGCTATACATTTTGATTGTTTTATTTGCATGTTATTTCACAGAGATTGAAAACATAATTATTTCCATTTTACAGCTGAAGGAGTGTTGGTTGTGTGAGGAAATAATGAAGATACATTAAATAGAAATAGTTTCTGGAGTCCCACCTTAATGTTTTATCCATTAACATGGTTCTCACTTCAGTATTTCATCTTCTTCTCTGGCAGGTTTTACAGCAAGCATTCTATCTTGGGCAGTGGTACCATTTCATTCTGCTATATAATTAAGATAGAATGGTCACACAAGTGATTTGCAGTGGTTCTAGAAATAGTAATTAAGGTTTCTACCGTCACACTGTCAGGCATTTATTTTTTTTCCCTCAAACATTAAATGAAACAAACTGTTTAATTTCTTGAGCAGCTATACGTGTCTCTTGGGAATTAAAGTGCATCCAAGTAGAGGTGAAAAGAGCCATTTTAAACATTACTGGGCAAGCACATAGCTCACTGAAGAATGACTGCACCACTGATCATATGGCTGACAATCCTGTATAATAACTTCATGATTCTCATCAGAATTTATTCATTTTTTTTACTCTGTATTAAAATTCTTCTTTGGGTCACACATTCCAAGATATGTTGGGGATTTATTGCTAGATATTATCAGTCTTACTGTATTTCCTCAAATCTATGACAGACTGTATTTGGTGAACAACCAACAAGGCAAAAACACTTGCATTCATGAATTCAGAGGTTTCAAAGTGTGAAAAAGTGCATGCTAGAATGGATGCAATGTGATTGTTTTTAAAATTTTATTATCTGTTGACCTAGGTCTGTGCCAGGACTATGAGGGCTTATAAATAGTAAATAAAGCTATGACCTTTTAGTTTTGACAAGATCCAATATAAAGTACCATTTAAAAGGACTGTTGTTTCAGAGAGAAAAGTGGGAGATACAATACTAGAGATAGTAATTTTTATTTTCTAATACTGTAAGACTAGAAAGTAATTTTCTACAAACAGTTCAAACAGCTTCCAAGGGATTTACTTTCTTTTGAATAACTCATTTTAGACCTGAAAATACTTTATAATATTCCAAGGGAGACAACATCACTATTATAAACAGACCTTAAACAGTGCCTGAAACTAATGCAAAAAAAATCTTTCATTCCTATTTTTTTTTTCCTGGTTCACAGAAGTTGTGGGTAGAGAACACACAAAGCATTGCTGTATTATTTGGTGCTGACATTTGTATGTGTATAACAGCAACATTTATTATTTTCTTCAGATATCAACCAAATGCTTTCTGACATTGTACTCTAATTTTGCAGGATACAGAATCAGGTGTCATAATGACAGTGGAGGTGAACTGCAAGACTCAGTTTAGTGTCTCATTTTTCTCATTTTTCAGAGGTAGAGATAGAAGCATTCTGAAAAAGTCACTTCAATAATATGAATCTTCATAAATGCAAATTCTATTGACTTTAACATTCAATTTGGTAGCAAGCTCAAAGGGTTTGAAATTGTACTTAAAATGTTTTCTTTTTGGTAGTCAACAACAAATATTTCTGAGCAGTCGATGACATTAAGATTAAGTTGCAGGAAAACCACAATTCAATGCACAAACATTAAAATGTAGATTTCTATTTTCAGTTGGCAATGTCATCATCTTTCTTATGTGGCAAATAAGGAAATTTTGACATCATATTTACTGCCTGTCTCTAGCACAAAACTCAATTCCTAATTCATTGTGTGCACTATGTATTCGTTGAACTAAACGTATTGTCATGCAATAAATTACTAATTAGTCCATTCAATTAATATCTTTTGATCAGCTTATTTTTGCCAGTTCCCTGAGGAAACATTACAGCTGCTTTCTACTTTTTAGTCCCTGTTCTTTCACTTTCCTCTGTGTTTTTTTCTTACTATAAAATCGACTCAATTATCTTTAGCTTGGCTGCTAGTACTTCATTTTCACTTGATTTTTCCATTTTCAGGATAGAGTACATTTCCTCTCTCTAGCTATTATTGTCAAAGCTGCATTCTTCATCTGTCACACTGACCCATCTTTCCCTACCCGAAGTCCTTTATCAATTTTCCATTGCATTGAACACCAAGTCTGCAATATTCTCATTATTCCCTAAAGCCTATCACCAGGAAGATCAAAATACTTTTCCTTTTGCCAGTCACCACCTCTCCCAATTTCTTTTGTTTGCCTCGAATTTGTCTCCTTGGGTGTGGCTCATTTAAACTGTCAACATTTTTTAAATTGTTGCATATTAATTGTACATATTTATGGAGTACAAAGTGATCTTTTAATGCCTACATTATATAGTGCTCAAATCAGTGTAATTAGCATATCCATCACCTCAAACTTTTATCATTTCTTGTATTAGGAATATTCAAAATTCTCTCTTCTAGCTATTTGAAAATAGATAATACATTATTGTTAACTATAGTCAGGCTAAAGTGCTATAGAACACCAGAACTTTTGCCTCCTATCTAGCTGTAATTTTGTATTCTTTTTCTTTTTTTTTTTATACTTTAAGTTTTACGGTACGTGTGCACAATGTGCAGGTTTGTTACGTATGTATACATGTGCCATGTTGGTGTGCTGTACCCATTAACTCGTCATTTAACATTAGGTATATCTCCTAATGCTATCCCTCCTCCCTTCCCCCACCCCACAACAGTCCCCAAAGTGTGATGTTCCCCTTCCTGTGTCCATGTGTTCTCATTGTTCAGTTCCCACCTATGAGTGAGAACATGTGGTGTTTGGTTTTGTGTCCTTGCGATAATTTGCTGACAATGATGGTTTCCAGTTTCATCCATGTCCCTACAAAGGACATGAATTCATCCTTTTTTATGGCTGCATAGTATTCCATGGTGTATTTGTGCCACATTTTCTTGATCCAGTCTATCATTGTTGGACATTTGGGTTGGTTCCAAGTCTTTGCTATTGTGAATAGTGCCACAATAAACATACGTGTGCATATGTCTTTATAGCAGCATGATTTGTAATTCTTTGGGTATATACCCAGTAATGGGATGGATGGGTCAAATGGTATTTCTAGTTCTAGATCCCTGAGGAATCGCCACACTGACTTCCACAATGGTTGAACTAGTTTACAGCCCCACTAACAGTGTAAAAGTGTTCCTATTTCTCCACATCCTCTCCAGCACCTGTTGTTCCCTGACTTTTGAATGATCGCCATTCTAACTGGTGTGAGATGGTATCTCATTGTGGCTTTGATTTGCATTTCTCTGATGGCCAGTGATGATGAGCATTTTTTCATGTGTCTGTTGGCTGCATAAATGTTGTCTTTTGAGAAGTGTCTGTTCATATCCTTTGCCCACTTTTTGATGGGGTTGTTTGTTTTTTTCTTGTAAATTTGTTTGAGTTCATTGTAGATTCTGGATATTAGCCCTTTGTCAGATTCGATTGCAAAACTTTTCTCCCATTCTGTAGGTTACCTGTTCACTCTGATGGTAGTTTCTTTTGCTGTGTAGAAGCTCTTGAGTTTAATTAGATCCTATTAGTCAATTTTGGCTTTTGTTGCCATTGCTTTTGGTGTTTTCGAAATGAAGTCCTTGCCCATGCCTATGTCCTGAATGGTATTTCCTATGTTTTTTTCTAGGGTTTTTATGGTTTTAGGTCTAACATTTAAGTCTTTAATCCATCTTGAATTAATTTTTGTATAAGGTGTAAGGAAGGGATCCAGTTTCAGCTTTCTACATATGGCTAGCCCGTTTTCCCAGCACCATTTATTAAATAGGGAATCCTTTCCCCATTTCTTGTTTTTCTCAGGTTTGTCAAAGATCAGATAGTTGTATATATGCAGCATTATTTCTGAGGGGTCTGTTCTCTTCCATAGGTCTATATCTCTGTTTTGGTACCAGTACCATGCTGTTTTGGTTACTGTAGCCTTGTAGTATAGTTTGAAGTCAGGTAGCACGATGCCTCCAGCTTTGTTCTTTTGGCTTAGGATTGACTTGGCAATGCGGCCTCTCTCAATGAAATACAAGAGGATACAAACAAATGGAAGAACATTCCATTGTCATGGGTAGGAAGAATCAATACTGTGAAAATGGCCATACTGCCCAAGATAGTTTATAGATTCACTGCCATCTCCATCAAGCTGCCAATGACTTTCTTCACAGAATTGGAATTTTGTATTCTTTAGCCAAGGTTATATCTATCCTATTCCTATTACTCACACTCTTCCCAGCCTTTAGTAACTACTGCTTTACTCTCTACTTCTGTGAGATCAACTTTTTTAGCTTCCACACGTGAACGAGAGCGAGCAGTATTTTTCTTTCTGTTCCTGGCTTAGTTCACTTAACATAATGTCCTCCAGGTCAGGCTTATTCATGATGCTGCAAATGACAGGATTCCATTCTTTCTTATGGCTGAATAGTATTCCATAGTGTATGTGTATGTGTGTGTGTGTATAATGTGTGCATATATACACACATTATGTATGTATGTGATATATATGTACATATACGTGTGTATGTGTGTGCGTGTATATATATATATATATATATATATATATATATATATACACAAAACTTTTCTTCATACATTAATCCATTGATGGACACTGAGATTGATTCCAAATCATGGCTATTGCGAATAGTGCTGCAATAAACATGGGAGTGCAAATATCTCTTGGATATTCTGATTTCCTTGCCTTTGGATATATACCCACTAGTTGGATTGTTGAGTCATATGATTGTTCTATTTTTAGAGTTTTTTTCTAACTTTTATTTTAGGTTCAATGGGTACATGTGCTGTTTGTTAATATGGGTAAATTGTATGTCATAGAGGTTTGGTATACAGATAATTTTGTCAACTAGGTAGTCAGCATACTGCCCAATAAGTAGGTTTTCAATTCTCATTCTTCTTTCACTCTCCAACCTCAAGTAGACCACAGCGTCTGTTGTTTTCTTTTTTGTGTCCTTATGTATTCATTGTTTAGCCTCCACTTAAAAGTGAGAACATGTGATATTTGGTTTTCTTTTCCTGGTTAGTTTGCTTGGGAGAATGACCTCTGGCTCCATCCATGTTGCTGCAAGGGACGTGATCCCATTCTTTTTTAGGGTTGTGTAGTATTCCATGGTGTGTATGTACTACATTTTCTATACCCAGTCCACCATTGATGAGCATTTAGGTTGATTCCATGTCTTTACTATTGTGAATAGTGCTGTGATAAACATACACGTGCATATGTCTTTGGAATGGTAGAATGATTTGTATACCTTTGGATATTATACACAGTAATGGGGTTGTTGGTTTGAATGATAGTTCTGCTTTAAGTTCTTTGAGAAATCTTCAGACTGTTTTCACAGTTGCTGAATTAATTTACATTCCCACCAACAGCACATAAGCCTTCCCTTTTCTCCCTAACCTTTCTAGTATCTCTTATGTTTTAATTTTTTAGTAATAACAGTTCTGACTGTGTGAGATGGTATCTCGTTGTGGTTTTGATTTGCATTTCCCTAATGATTACCAATATTGAGCATTTTTATATGCTTTTTGGCTGTGTATATATCTTCTTTTGAGAAGTGTCTGTTCTTGCTCTTTTACCATTTTTTAATGAGGTTGTGTGTTTATTTGTTGGCTGTTTAAGTTCCTTATAGATTCTGGATATTAGAACTTTGTTGTTTGAAAATATTTTCTCACATTCTGTAGGTTGTCTGTTAATAGTTTCTTTTACTGTGTAGACGCTCTTTAGTTTAATTAGGTCCCAATTATCGATTTTTGTTTTTGTTGCAATTGCTTTTGGAGTCTTTGTCATGAAATCTTTGCCAGAGCTTATGGCCAGAATGATATTTCCTAGGTTATCTTCCAGGGTTTTTATAGTTTTAGGTTTCACATTTACGTCTTTAATCCATCTTGAGTTGATTTTTGTATATGGTTAATAAAAAGGGGTCCAGTTTTAATCTTCTGTATATGGCTAGCCAGTTATCCCAGGACCATTTATTGAATAGAAAGTCCTTTTCCCATTGCTCTTTTTTTTGTCTGCTTTGTCAAAGATGGGGTGATTGTAGGTGTGTGGCTTTATTTCTGGAGTCTCTAACGAATTCCATTGGTCTATGTGTCTATTTTTGTACGAGTACCATGCTGTTTTGATTACTATAGCCTTGTAGTACAGTCTGAAATCAGGTAGTGTAATGATTTCAACTTTGTTCTTTTTGCTTAGAATTGCCTTGGCTATCTGGGCTCTTTTTTTTGGCTTCATATGAATTCTAAGATACTTTTTTTCTAATTCTGTGGAAAATGTCATTGGTAGTTTGATAGGAATGGCATACAATCTGTAAATTGCTTTGGACCATATGGACATTTTAACAATATTGATTTTTCCTATTCATGAGCATGAAATGTTCTTTTATTTCTTTGTGTCATTTCTGATTCCTTTCAGCAGTGTAATTCTCATTTTAGATATCTTTCACCTCTTTAGTCAGTCATATTCCTAAGCATTTCATTCACTTTGTGGTGATTGTGAATGAAATTGTGTTCTTGATTTGGGTCAGCTTGGATGTTATTGGTATATAGAGATGGTACTGACTGTTTTTAGATTGATTTTGTATGCTGAAACTTTGCTGAAGTTATCAGATCCAGGAGTCTTTGTGCAGAGACTATGGGGTTTTCTAGGTATAGAATCATATCATCTGCAAGAGAGGAAGTAGTTTGACTTCCTCTCTTTCTATGTGGATGGCTTTTATTTGTTTCTCTTTTTATATTGCTCTGGCTAGGACTTCTCTATTTTCAGTTTTTTGAGTAACCTTCATACTGTTCTCCATAACGGCTGTGCTAGTTTACATTACCACTAACAATGTTTAAGAGTTTCTTTTTCTTGCATCCTCACCAGCACTTGTTATTTTTTGTCCTTTAGGTGATAGTCATTGTAACTGGGGTGAGATGATAGCTCATTTGGTTTTGATTTTCAAGTTATTGACAATTAGTGATGGTGAGCAGTTTTTTCATACACTGTTGGCCATTTGTATGTCATCTTTCAAGAAATATCTATATAGATGATTTGCCCATTTTAAAATGGGATCATTTAGTTTTTGCTGTTGAGTTGTTTGAGTTCCATGTATATTCTGGATATTAATACCCTATTGGATGAATCGTTTGCAAATATTTCCTCCATTTCCTCCATTTTCTTCTAGTAGTTTTATAGTTCCAGGTCTTACAGTTAAGTTATTTTGAATTTATTTTTGTATATGGCAAGAGATATGGGTCTAGTTTAATTCTTCTGCATATGAATATCAATTTAATTTTAATTTTAATGATGTTGTACCCCATAAAAAATTGTCAACATTTTCATTCTTTTGCAGACCGCAATTTATTTTGGTATACTCTCCTATTCTAACATGCAAAACATTATTTAAGTAATTAAAACAGCTTCTGAAATGTCATTCTGTCCACTAAATCTTCCTAGACTATTCAAATTAATACAAGCTTACAGTCATCCTAACTAATCAAGATAATGAGATTTCCTTTTATTATACCCATATCTCTCCTGTAGTAATGGAGAGTAATGTTTGTCTTTGAAACACTTCTTAAATTTATTCACCCAAAATTATGTACATAGAATATCTTACATTTTATTCAGTTCTTGATGTATGAATTTGTTCCATTGTTGGTATATCTTATAAATGTTTTCCCATGTCTGTGCTACCTCTTTGATGTCAGGAACTGTTTAAATAATTTTCTCTGAAAATATAAAAAATATATACAATTAAGTGCTTAATTTTTGGCTGCTTCTGTTCTTTATTAGTTATTCTTAGAACAAAGAATATGATATTCAGATACCCAAAATGTACTGAAAAGAAATATAAACTAGCGTGATGAGAATTTATTAAAAAAAGAAGTGGTCTTTTTTTTGGTGGGGAGGAAAGCCTATATTTTATACATAAACAGTAAAATTAATTTTATTACACTTGAGAGTTTTTATTTTTACCCTGGGAAGTTATGGTTCTTGTACTTCAATATGCATGAGAAAAATCTAGATAGTTATTAAAATTATAAACTATAAGATCCTAGCAGTAGCAATTTAAATGTATCCTAGAATGGGTTCCAGGAGTCCACAATTTCAGATTTTAAAATGTAGCTTCTTGCTATGCTTGTTGATAATTTTATATTTTCATTGTATTAGGCCATGTCAGCAGGTTGATTTATCCCATTATATGCCTGAAAAAAGATTCCTTGAAATTAGAATTATTATACCTCTTTCTTATTACCTTACATTACTGTTGCCATTTGAATAGCAAATTCATATAATATCATTTTACATTTTTATTGGAATTTTTGTCAAAAATATAAGGCATTCAAATTTTCTGCTTCATATACTCTGTGGGAGACATCAGTCACCTGTAATAGAGTGCATTGCTATGACCTTTTTGCAATTTTGCAATGCAATTTACTGTGAATACTACTGTATCATTTTATAGGTTCCAAATAGTCTTTGAAAAGGAGTTATCAGGGCCACTTGTGACAAGAATGTGATGTGCAACAAATAAAAACTTCAGAAGTAGCTAGTTTTTCTTGATACTGGACAGCAGATGGGGGTGTGAAGCTATGTAGAAAATAAACATTGTTTCAGTAGGAATATAACACCAGAGGAGGGAGAGTTCTTTAAAAAAATTGAACATAGTTTATGGAAACGTTCTCTCCTCCTCCTCATTTTCCCTTTCATACCTAACATATGAGCCAATTGTCTTGTTCAGTTTCCTATAAGGTAATATCCCTTTCTTAACAATAACACTGTACCATTTTCAATAACTTGTACACTACCCCTTTCTCTTTCAATTCCCATAATTTTATACATTTCCTAGGACTAGAAGATTGTAGTATAAACACGTGGTTATCAGAATTAAGTCTTGCTTTCTACTTAGAACTTTTTTCTTTTTTATAAATGTCTAATACTTTTATATATTCAGTACTTTTTTATTACACTTTAAGTTCTGGGATACATGTGCAGAACGTGCAGGTTTGTTACATAGATATACACGTGCCATGGTGGTTTGCTGCACCCATCAACCTGTCATCTACATTAGGTATTTCTCCTAATGCTATCCCTCCCCTATTCCCCCCACCCCCTGACAGACACCTGTGTGTGATGTTCCCCTCCCTGTGTCCATGTGTTCTCATTGTTCAACTCTCACTTATGAGTGAGAACATGTGGTATTTGCTTTTCCATTCCTGTGTTAGTTTGCTGGCAGTGATGGTTTCCAGCTTCATCCATGTCCCTGGAAAGTACATGAACTTAAGCTTTTTATGGCTGCATAGTATTCCATGGTGTATATATGTGCCACATTTTCTTTATCCAGAATATCACTGATGGGCATTTGGGTTGGTTCCAAGTCTTTGCTATTGTGAACAGTGCTGCTGCAATAAACATACATGCTCACGTATCTTTATAGTAGAATGATTTATAATCCTTTGGGTATATACCCAGTAATGGGATTGCTGGGTTAAATGGTGTTTCTGAGTCTAGATCCTTGAGCAATCACCACGTTGTCTTCCACAATGGTTGAACCAATTTACACTCCCACCAACAGTGTAAAAGCGTTCCTATTTCTCCACATCCTCTCCACATCTGTTAAAACCTGACTTTTTTTTTTTTTTTTTTTTGAGATGAAGCCTTGCTCTGTCACCAGGCTGGAGTGCAGTGGCACTATCTTGGCTCACTGCCACCTCTGTCTGCAGGGTTCAAGCAATTCTACTGCCTCAGTTTCCAGAGTAGCTGGGACTACAGGCACGCACTGCCACCCCCAGCTATTTTTTAAATTTATTTATTTTTGTATTTTCATAGAGACGGGGTTTCACCATGTTGCCCATACTGGTCTCCAACTCCTGAACTCAGGCAATCTGCCTGCCTTGGCCTCCCAAAGTACTAGGATTATAGGCGTGAGCCACCGTGCCCGGCCATTTCTCACTTTTTAATGATCATCATTCTAATTGGCATGAGATGGTATCTCATCATGGTTTTTTGATTTGGATTTCTCTAATGACCAGTGATGATGAGCTTTTTTTCATCTGTTTGTTGGCCGCATAAATGTCTTCTTTTGAGAAGTGTCTATTCACATCCTTTGCCCACTTTTTGCTTGGGTTGTTTGTTTTTTTTCTTGTAAATTTGTTTAAGTTTTTTGTAGGTTCTGGATATTAGTCCTTTGTCAGATGGATAGATTGCAAAAACTTTCTCCCATTCTGTAGGTTGCCTGTTCACTTTGATGATAGTTTCTTTTTCTGTACAGAAGCTCTTTAATTTAATTGGATCCCATTTGTCAATTTTGGCTTTTGTTGCCATTACTTTTGGTGTTTTAGTCATGAAGTCTTTGCCCATGTCTATGTCTTGAATGGTATTACCTATGTTTTCTTCTAGGATTTTTATGGTTTTAGGTCTTACATTTAAGTCTTTAATCCATCTTGAGTTAATTTTTGTATAAAATGTAAGGAAGGGGTCCAGTTTCAGCTTTCTACATATGGCTAGCCAGTTTTCCCAACACCATTTATTAAATAGGAAATCCTTTCCCCATTGATTGTTTTGTTAGGTTTGTCAAAGATCAGGTGGTTGTAGATGTGTGTGGCATTATTTCTGAGGCTTTTCTTCTGTTGCATTGGTCTGTATCTCTGTTTTGGTTCCAGTACCATGCTGTTTGGTTACTCTAGCTTTGTAGTATATTTTGAAGTCAGGTAGCTTGATGCCTCCAGCTTTGTTCTTTTTGCTTAAGATTGTCTTGGCTATAAGGGCTCTTTTTTGTTTCTATATGAAATTTAAAGTAGTTTTTTTCTAACTCTGTGAAGAAAGTCAATGGTAGCTTTCTGGGAATAGCATTGACTCTATAAATTACTTTGGGCAGGATGGCCATTTTCATGTTATTGTTTCTTCCTATCCAAGAGCATGGAATGTTTTTCCATTTGTTTGTGTCTTGTTTTATTTCCTTGAGCAGTGGTTTGTAGTTCTCCTTGAAGACAGAACTTTTTTCTTTATACTGGATTTATACATGTGTTCATATAAACTTATATTTATATGGGTATATTTTTAGAAGGAAAATGTAATAAATTTGTATTTGGCTCTAAACAGTATTTCTTTATAAAAATATTTAGTGAGAACAAAAAATGACTATTTTATTTTGTTTATAATGTTATCTTTGCTTAAATACCACCTTACCTGCTTTGGTTTTATGTAGCACACTTAAGAAGGCAGAAGCCTTATTAAGTCACACATCTTGCTTAATAAGGAACTAAGAGAGAGTTAGTTTATGTAGGTAGAACTGAGGTTTCAGAAATTTTGTCACCAGTAGTCATCTGGAGACACTGTCTCCATATGTCTATTATAACTTGAAAGTACTGAAGGGGTTTTATACATGACTTGAGAAAGAAAACATAAATATAGAAAACAAATGAATGGACATTGCTATGGTTTTGCTCTGTGTCCCCACCCAAATCTCATCTTGAATTGTACTCCCGTAATTCCCACGTGTTATGGGAAAGTCCTGGTGGGAGATAGTTTGAATCACCGTGGGGTAGGGGGGTTCCCCGATACTGTTCTCATGGTAGTGAATAAGTCTCATGAGATCTGATGGTTTTATCACGAGTTTCTCCTTCTGTATCTTCCCCATTTTCTCTTGCTGTAGATATGTAAGAAGTGCCTTTTGCCTCCTGCCATAATTCTGAGGCCTCCCCAGCCATGTGGAAATGTAAGTCCAATTGAATCTCTTTTTCTTCCCGGTCTTGGGTATGTCTTTATCAGCAGCATGAAAACAGATATAATACAGCATGAATACAGACATAAAAATTACATGTAGTTTTCATAAAGTTAAACTATACTTAATTATATGCAACAAACTGAACATTTCAGTGGAATTCTGATAGATGTTGTCAATTCCACCTTCTTGTACACTGGTGAAAACTCATAGCCAGCTAGTTCTTGGAAAGTACATTAGTGTGATTTGGTTCCAGAATAACTTTATCTGCATTTGTATAGAAAGATTCTGCAGAACTTTTATAGGTAAGTACTACACTAAATGAAAAGACTAGCAAGTTTGGCAGCAGGAAACCTGGTCTTCTCTGTATTCTCCTTTACAGTATTCATCCCCTTCTGACCCATCATTTCTTTGTATGTTTAATGCTACTAAAGCTAATTTATAGCTAGATGAGGTTTACATAAAATGGTATGACATGTAAAGTAATTATTGAAATGCCTGATGCATAGCTGGTTCTTAGCAAATGATAGCTGGTACTATGATGAAATTAGTGATGATCACCTATAATTACAAAAATGTTTGTTTCTTTAAATCAAGTCTTAACCTCAGAAAAATTATTGTATCTCAAATTGGAGGGCTTATTTTTAATCTTTATCCACTGTTTTAAAGAGATTTTTACCCTCTAATGTTCTCTGCTAAATAACTATTACACAGTCTTACTACTAAAGGTATCATTTCTTCGCTCCTGATACCTTTGCGACCCAACTTTTGGCTCAATAATTGGGGAAGGTGGATTACCCTGCTCTGATTTTTATGAAAAAGTCTTCCTCTGGTTGGGGTTGAAATGAAAAATATGCTGTATATGTACAAACATGCCTCCCATGACATTTCCTAAGTTTCTTGATTTAATACACTGTGGGTACAGCCACCACTATTGATGGCAGACTGTAGAAGAGGCAACAAAGGAAAGATCGACTTGCTCTGGAGGGATATCATTAAATTTCAACTCTTTAGTAATGTTTGTTGTTGTTGTTGTTGTTGTTGTCATCTTTTAATCAGGCATTCAGAGGGTCTGAGCTGATTTTGGTGGGGCAATTTCAGAGACAGAACTCTGGCCTGTGAATAACTTACATTTAAATGGGTCATATATATTCCTTCTTTACAAAGAGTGGAAAAACCACAAAATATTATTCAGATGAAATGAGCTAACCTTCCTTTAGTTAGGATATTGGTTTTAAAATAATATTCTGTGATTCGAAGTTTCATTCCTCTTTAGAAATATCTACTACTTGTTACCAAAAGTCTAAGTGCCTGTTAAAACTTCCATTGCAATTTATAAACCAAGTTTCTAAGCAATGCAAGTCATTTTATATATTTATCTCTCTTTGGCAGTTCTAACAGCTGAAGACTTAGCATTAGCTATGAATTTCATTACTGTAATTTTACTCCCATTCCAAATCATTAATATTGATGCTAAATAAGTGATAGTGTTAGCCAAACTCAATAATATTATTCTAAACTGCTTAGAAAAGGAAGTACACTCTCAGAATTTTTCTCATTGCCTTTGCAAATTGAGGATGAACTGAAATATGACAGCAGAGCTTTACCCAGAGGTTGCCATGTTGCCATTCTGGTTCCCCACATCCCTAATACATGTCACATTTATAAAAACTAGAAAACTATTGTCTTATCACTAAAGGCTCATTTTATTCAAAAATAGTTAAGCCAGAATAGCATTGATCTTTATGCTTTTCTGGCCACTTAAAGTAAATTTTTTATATTGGGAGAAATTTGATCTGATGATGCTATTAGACAATGTAGTATATACATTTGATTTTTAAAAATGTATCCATTATCAAACCAAAGACTCGAATTAAAACATCTTACCTGCATCTTTCCCTGACACCATTTACCCTACATCATACATAATTTTTATCTATGTTCTAAACATTTTCTTAGATGTGTTTACTTTGAACCACAGGGAAAATAAATGAAAAGATTCAGTTTGGTAGGAGAATGACTTACCATGAAGAGTAACATTACGATTCTCTCTCTCTCTCTGTGTCTCTCTGTCTCTCTATATATGTACATATACTGCTTCTTGGTTTTTTATGATGTACATATGTTTCTTCTTTGCTTCTTGGCCCTCAGAATCTTTACTGATTGACTTCTTGTTTTAACATTGTTTTAACATTCTTATTAATTTCTTTTGAGCAAGGTAATTTAGAAGGAATTTGGACTTTGTGACTGTTATACTTACATTCTCATTCTAGTTTTGTGACATACTAGGTAAGAGAGTTTGAACAATTTGAAGATTATTTGCTTTCTTTGGATTTTATTCATTTTATACAATAGAAAGATATAATAATTATTGTACTGTGGAGAATTTTTGGCAAATAATAGGTTTGCTACAATATTAGTTCATCACCTTACTTTCATATTTTCTTTTTGCTGGAATGTGAGTCATTTGTCTTATTTATTTGTGTATATTTATGGCCTAGTCCAATATCTGAGACATTATTGCTGCCTACTAAATGTCTGTTAAATATAAATGGTACCCTACTCCACATTGAGTCATTTTTATACCCCAAATTCCAAGAGTTTCCTCAGACAAGTTCCTATTAACTGCTGTTGGGTCACTGTTAAACAATCACAGGCCTATGCAGGTGTCTTTCCTGGGAATGTTAGATATGACTCACACTTACTTCCTTAGGCTTGCAGAGACAGATATTAAAGTGATGAAGTTTCTAAGATAAAAAAATCTAGAATGAAATTATGGCAAATTATATATGTAGTTTTATAGGCAAAAAGAGAACATTTTACAATGAAAATAACAATTATTACAGTGTCTAAATGCAAAGGACTGAGAAAATATCATGAAGAAAAGAGAGTGGTCAATAATATCCTATATTGGAAGGATGACATGTGAACTAAAATAATGCCGTTAAATTTATTAATTTGGAGTTGATTAGTTATAATAAGGGAATACTAATTATCATACCCATAAAAATAATTATGGTATAAATAAAAACATACTGCTTTGTGTAGATAGTAAGAAATGTATAGAACTTTTTAGGAAGTGATACAGAATATCAGTATGGATCTAAGTATTTAAAGTATTGCATGATATAGTCATATGGAATATTTTAACATGTGACCCTACTGTGAAAACATTTTTTAAATAATTCAGTTTTTATAAATAAATTATTTTTTAATATTGAGGAAAGAAAAACCCTCTCAGCCTTCCTTAATGCCCAAAAGGAAAAGAAAAGGAAAATCCTCTTTAGAAAATTCAAATTTAAAACACAAATTATTTGGGCTGTCTGAATCTTCAAACTTTTTTTAATCTTCAAATTTTTAATCCTTTTTTGAAAATTAATCTTCCAATTTTTTATTAAAATCTTCAAATTTTTTATTAAAATTACTTTATTTTAAAGGACTATTTAAGAGTCAGAGACTATGTGTTTAAACTTTCCCACTAACAGATTTCTCTGTAGCTAAGCATTATAGTTACATGATTTATTTCTTAATTAACTCATTTCTTTGTTTTTCCCAATTGAACTTTACACTCTATTTAAAGCAAATTTGTTTGAGGTTTCTTGACACATCATTTTTTTCTGCCCCCACTGCCTTGCTGTATATTCTTTTCATTCTCTGAACATTAGTTTTGTTCTAGACTCATCTTCAAGATTCATTCTACAGTAATCCAGGATAATTAGGTTATATCTAACTCTGTCTACAAACTATGCAGACACAGAGATGCATGGGATAGAAACCCATGGTTGTCAATTATACTTTACATTTAAGTAGAGACAGATAGAATTTGCAATTTGTGACTCAAATCTGTAACTGCTCATCTTCATTCACATTATTGCAGTTGATAACTTTTCAGTCTTTCAAAAATATGGAACTCTTCTGTCATCCAGTTTCTGTTGAACCCATATGTTGTCAAAGAAAAAATGCACTAGACAGAATTAAACAGGCCGGAAAGAATTAATTCAAGACTATTTTGATAGGGGAGATTCAACTCAACTCCAATGAAACAAAACATGGAAGAGTTTCCACTTGATGGGGTAGCTAGTGAAAAAGTGCTGGAGGAAGTTAGGCAATGTAATTAGGCCATCTATATTTACTAATTGGTGCTTATAGAAGTTAGAAGTTAGGCTCCTACCCTCTCACGCAGCCTGAAAGATAGGACACTATCTCCTTAAATGATCACATTTTGAAGAGATGGCGCCCAAGTCCTTGAGGAAGGGTTGTAAAACTAACTAGAGGCTTGGAGAAGATTTCTGTACATTTCAGAGGGGCAGAGAAAGAATTTGCAGTTACAGATTCTCTAAAGTAAATAAAATGGAAGTCAAGAGCTTATAGTTGGGAATAAGCCAGTCTAAAATTTAGTCAAACAGAAGGAAATATTAAGGTCATTAGGCCATCTTTGTTAAGGCCGTGACAGTCCTCCATTGTAAAACTCCTTTAGTATAGTGACAATAACATACTTCTGATAGATGTTGCACTATATCTCAAAAGGAGAGGAGGAGTAAATATTCGTCAAGTACAATTGTTCATTATTTCTTTTTCTGTTGTATGCACAGATTGACTATAAGTAGCTCTTCCCCACCTCCCCAAAGAATCATAAATTCTGGGACAGGTTTTTGAAAGTTGTTATTATGCATTATATAATATGATTTGGTATATTATTATTTTTCTGAAAGATTTAAAGCTGATAGGCATTAGGCTTATTTTCCCTTATGACCAGGCTGAAGCACAGTGTCTACAGGTCAAAGGTTTAGACTATACAGGACCTAGTGTTTAATTATGCTCTGCTGTTACTTCGGGTTTTTTTTGCTTTGGTTTACTCTCACCTGGTACAATCTGCTCAACTGCTTAGAATCTCACTTTTCATAGCTCTCGGCAGATTAACAGCTTCTTCTGTTTTCCTGAAAGTGGCATGTTGGGAATTTAGTCATGGTTATAGAAAGCCTCAGGCTTTTAGGAGAAAGATGCCACATTAATGCTACATTACCAAAGGAAATCTATAGAAATCTTTGTTTTTAGGCTATATTGACCCATCTATATTGACCCATCTATATGTAAATCATTTTTACACACTTCTGAAATTTAATATAATTTGTTACTACTACTTTTATATTTCTGCTTTTAATATTATTTGTAAAGGTTGACATTCCCATGACTCCTGCTCAGGAATACTATTTGATATCCCCCCTGAATTATATGGAGTGTGGGAATGGAGGGATGAGAGAAAAACCAACAGAAAACAATTAAACTTTGTGTTATTGTTGCTGGATAAAATCTATGTATTTGAGAAAAATATATTTCAAAGCCTTTTCATCTTTAAATGTTATTCAGTAGTTGAAGGCTAGCCATGAAACTCTACAATTTCAGTAGCAACTGAAAAATTCATCTCAGACCTTTGCTTTTTTTTCATGCAAAAAAACAGCTGCAGGCACAAAAAGCAATCCCAAGGATGCAATTACACTCAATTGCTTTCTAATGTATTCTTCACTCTTTACAACTATTACATTTCCACAGTAATATATTACTTAAAGTAACAATTATCCTGTGATTTGGATTGTTTTACACAAAATTTTACGATGGCAAGAATACTATTTATATATAAACTATAAGATATGAGTATTCAGTTGAAAAGTTTAGAAAAAAATAAATTTAAGTTTGGCTTTGCTTTAGCTACAATTTTAGAAGGTAAACTTAACTTTCAGTTTTTAGACTGGGAAAAATGTGCCAATTCTTTCCAAGGACATCGTATTAAGTGAAACAGAAAATACAGGAAAGCATTCTGCTGCTAGGACAGGTTATGGACAGCTCTGTGTTGTGTGTGCTGGAGATGTTCTGGAGCTTTTATCTTTACAGCTCTATAGCAAGTAACTGGAGACATTTTTCCTTGTTGATAAATGAGTGAAGGGCCAGGGGAAGGAAGTTAGAACAAAAATTACTCTTAGAATTCTTCTACTTTAAGAACAATAATACCTAACACGTAGGTCTTGCCATGTACTTGGTTTTACAAACATTTAATTCTCAGCACAACCTTGTTATTTAGGAATATCCATATCCTATTTACAGTTGTGGAAATCTAGGCTCTAAGAGGTGAGCATTCAGCCCAAGATCATGTAGTTGATAATTTGTAGCTGGAAGTCAAATGCAGACCTTTATGTTTCCAAAACCTATGTTCAAATTTGTTGGCCTCTACTCTGTTTGTTTAAAATCCAGAGTACTGTTTCATGTAGATGCATTCTGTAAGATTTTTGTGTGTGCCTGTTTTTGTTGCTATTGGTATCATAGGTCAGCACGTTTTGTTTGTTTAAAAATTCAGTCAATATAAAATTTAAAAATTACATATGAATGTAATTGTAATAGTATATGAATGTAATTGTAATAGTAACAAAATTAATATGGGGTACACCTCAATAGTACATATTTTGAAAAACATATATCAAAAAATCCTATGGCTTTGAAGTTCCTGGATTGATTTTATAAGTTTAAAAAGAAAAAGAATAAGAAAACTAACTACTAATAGATTTTTTTGGGTTTTCTGGGTTTTCACAGTGAAAACCCAGAAAACTCTTCTAGTGCCATACTTTACTCAAAGACAATTTTGTTCAAATGAAACCTTACCTGCAGTAGGGTTTGTTTAGAGGTGGCAAATTTAACTTCTAGTGAGAATTATCTTGAGGAGGTGAATCTCATCAGTGGAATCTTGCCATTTGTGATGCAAAGAAAAACATTAAAATCAAGGGAGCTCAGAAGGGTTGAGTCCAGCTCCAGAAATACAGCATCTCCGGTCCCATTTCAAACCTGCTGAAATATAATCCACATTTTAGGAAGATCTCAGCCATTCTTATTCATATTAAAAGTTGAGAACCACTGTCGTAAAACAAGAGGTGCAGGGGAACTTCTAATTTATTCTTATAAAATAACGTTTTGGTCCTCAATATATGTTGTTTATTAAAATCAACTATGGGACTTAAAAAAATGAAGTAGCTGTTGGGTTTATTGCAGACCTGTTGAATCATAAAATACATGGTGTGGGACATTGGCACATGGCATAGATAATTTGAGAAAAATTAATACACCACCCCCAAGACATATACATAAACACAAATACACTTAATATGCTCTCTCCCCCCCCCAACATAACTACATTAAAATGTATGTGGGTGATTCTAACATGACCACAGTTTGAGAAAACTGAGCGAAGTCTCTTTGATGCAGAACAAGCCATCTTCAAATCATCTTTCTGGAAAAAGCAGCATTTTGTGCTAACATTTACCCTATTCCCATTGATTCTAAATGCATTGGATCTTTAAAATTTGGTAAAATGCTACATTATCCTTAAAGTATATTTTCAATGCCCATTTCATCCAAAGGAGTTTTTCTTTTGTAAATCCCAATTCCTCTTTATCTGTATCTCTCAAAAGAAAAACCTCAGATCTATTTTGTACTATTTACTTGTGTGCAGTGTTGTTAATAGTATACATTTTTATTATCATTATATTTCCCACATTACCTAAAAAGTTACTTCGAATATCACACTGTTGGCATTCATTTTGTTGAAAAAACAAATGAATGAATAAATGGATAATCACTCAAAGGATAATAATGATGTAAAACCAGTGTAATGTATTAGAATACTAACTGAACCAGGAGTTAAGATATTTAGCTCAAGCCTCTTTTCTGCTGTTAAGTCAAGTATGACCTCAAATGAATTTCTCCTTTATACCAACTATTTTTGTATGATTATTGGGTGAGATATTTTAAGACTTTTTCTATACATATGAAATTTGAAACAAAATAATTAGCTGTTTTTTGACTAAATTATCTTATAGCTTCAAACAGTATTTTTCTGTGTCTTAGGATCTATTTCTACCTAATCAAGTCTTGATGTTGTAGATAGTTCTCATCAATAACTGTTGGTATCTTAATACAAAGATATCACAGGGCATTTAGTATCTGCATTCTCTATATGTGGCTGAATTTTATTACATGACTATACTTGCTATCTATGCTACATCAAAATTTTCAAAAAAATTTACTGACTTAAAATACTGACAGATTTATTATCTCACAGTTACTATAGGATAGAAGTCTGGGCACAGTTTAGCTAGGTTCTCTGCTTTAGGGTGCAAGCCCCAATTCAGATATTGGCTTGTGCTTCAGTCACATCAGGGTTTTGATTGGGAAAAGATCTGCTTCCAAGTGTCCTCAGATTGTTGGGGCAGAGTGTTGGCAGAGTCCATCTTTTGTTGTTGTAGAATAGAGGTTCATGTTACCTAGTGGACTGTTGACAGGAGATGGCTCTTAGCACCCAGAAACTACCCAGAATCCAGAATTTCTTACTATGTGGCCATTTTCCATAAGTCCTCATCAAACACGGCAGCTTACTCCTTCAAAACCAGAAATGGAGTGTTCCCTAATATGCTAAGAGAGTCTTATATAACAACATAATTGTGGAAATGACATCCCATCTCCTTTGCTATCATCTGTTGGTTAGAGACAAGTCATGGTTCTCAGTCACATTTAAGAAAAGGGAATTATGCAAGAGTATGGATTGCCTGGGCTCACTTCCATAGTTCACCTTCTGGCTTCCATGAATTCATGTCCCTCTCTCCAAAAAAATATATTTTCTCCCACTTCAAGGTCCCTCAAATGTTTGTGAGTCTTCCATGGGTTTTATGAAGATTTACTTCACTAGATAAAAGACACATCCATAGATATTTTAGAGATTATCTCTTCTCAACTTTTGGTTCCTCCTAAGATAGCTGAGGAACAACACCCTTCAGCTTCCTAGAGGTCTATTGGTATGGTTAAGAAGATCTGTGAGGCTCTCCTTTAATCTTTTGAAAAAGGCCATGGCATGACTTTTAATTTTTCTGAAGTTTTCACAAAAGATTACAAAATTTACAACCTCAGCTCTTTCTCTAGAATATAGATTACTGTCTGTGAATCTCATAAATTTAAGTTTGTTTTTCATTTAGAGTCTGAGAATTTTCAAAACAAATTCTGGTTCCTTTTGTTTAACTGTTCTTTCCTCAACTTATCTCTTTTCTCTTTCATTGTACTATAAGCAGCAAGATTGCACTTCCAAAACGTTGCTTGGGAATATACTGGGCATACAGTTGGCCCTTGAACAACATAGGTTTGAACTGTGTGGTTCCACTTCCATGAGGATTTTTTTTTAACTAAATGAGATTCTACAGGGCCAATTATAGAAATTGAGTATGCATGGATTTTAATATACTGGGGTCCTGGAACCAATCTCCAAGGACACCGTATACTCATGTTTGTCACTTACTGGTTGTACTTTCCACATAACTGGAGACAATTTCACTTGGCTTTCTCTTACTACATTATTGGAATCTCACTTCCTCAATTTCCCAATTTCATATTCCTCATTTCCTCTGAGCCCTAACTGTCAGCTTTCTCATCTATATTTCTATAACAGCGTGTTCAAGGTGATGTAGGCTCTATTGTGCTCATTAAAATTCTTCCAGCTTCTTCTAACTTCCTGATTCAAAAAGCACTCTCACATTTTAGTCATTTATTAAATTATCACCCACTTATGATACTGAAATTTGTATTAATTTTCTATTGCACAAACTTAGAAGTTTAAAAAACATGCTTATTATCTTATAATTTCTGTGGGTCAGGATCCCAGGCATGTCCTAACTGGATCCTCTGCTCAGGATTTCACAAGCCCACAATCAATTCGTCAGTTGGACTGCATTCTTACTGGAAACTCCACTAGGGGATAATCCACTTCCAAGCTCATTCTCTTGCAATTGTATGGCTGAAAGCCCTGTTTTTTGTTTTTTGTTTTTCTTTCCTGACTATGAAGAGGGCTAGGTGGCAGAGGACTGTGGTCAGCCTCTAGAGGCTTGCAAGCCCCAGATGACAGCCAGGAATAAAATGGAGGCCTCAGTCCTATGGTCACAAGGAGATGAGTTCTGCCAACAGTCTGAGAAAGCCTAAAAAGAAACAATTCCTCATTTGATCTTCTGATGAGAGCTTAAATGTGGCTAATACCTGGACCAGCCTGCTTTGTCTGAAAGAATGATGTAATTTCCTTTCATTTTTACATCACCTCTAATTTCCCCACATAAGGATAAATCAGTCATTAATTCTTCATTTTTTATCTTCTCATACATACAATGATGTAACATGTTAGTTAACCGCACAGACCTTGTAACCAGAATCCCTGGGTTCACATCCCAGCTTTGTTCTGTATTAGTTATCAACATCTCTGAGCCTCAGTTCCTTTACTATTATATATAATGCTGCTGTACCATAGGGTTGTTGTGAGGATTAAATGAGATACATGTGGAAAGCCTTTAACTAGGCATCTGGTACATGTAAAATGTTTAAATGTCTATATATTTTTAAAATGGAGACAATTTTATGATACTTCTTACCTATGTAAAAGTAACTAGGTGTAAAGTACTTTCCAGGAACCAACATTATAAATGACAATATTTGACATATTACTAAATTTCACAAATATTTGCCCAACCTGAGGATACAATTATTTTTCTTAATGTCAAGGAAGCAGGTGATTTTTCAATATATTGGTGAATGGGTTATATTAATTTCAGAAGCTAAATTAAATTAACAAACTCTGTGAATTCCATAGATCTTAAGATTGATACCCTTTCGGAATGACAGCTTCTTAAATGAGTTTTAATTCACAATCTATTTATTATTTTCACAATTATAAATCCTAAAAATTGAAGTCCTTAGGAAATGAGAAAAAAAGGACAGTCAGCAGGGTTTGCCATACTTATGCATCAGCTAAAAGTATAAACCTTGGTAGCATCTTGCTGGCACTATCTTTTTATCAACTTCTTTGTTAACGTGATTTTTTATTTTTTATTTTTTTGAGACAGAGTCTCACTCTGTTACCCAGGTTGGAATGCAGTGACATGATCTTGGCTCACTGCAACCTCTGCCTCTTGGGCTCAAGCAATTCTCCTGTCTCAGCCTCCCAAGTAGCTGGGACGACAGGCACATGCCACCACACCCAGCTAATCTTGTATTTTTAGTAGAGACAGGGTTTCACCCTGTTGGTCAGGTTGGTCTCGAACTGCTGACCTCAGGTGATCCACCCGCCTTGGCCTTCCAAAGTGCTGGGATTACAGATGTGAGCCACCCGTGCCTGGCCATTAATGTGATTTTTATCACAATCACTATAGTGTCTGTAATTTCAGTTATGCTCTCTTTTTCATATATCTTTCTTAATCCTTCTCCATGTCACCTTTAAATAAGTATCTCAACACTTGTCTTTCATCCATTTGGACTTCCAAAAAAACTACATACAAGTCAGTAAAATCCCTTATATGGGAAGGCTTTTAAGAGCCATATTTCTCATTTTGATGTAATAATATGAACCTTAAACTAGAAATCAGAAGATAGGGGGTCCCAACTAATATCTTTCTATGTTAAGAAATATTTAAGACCTTTGGTTCCTTCATCTTGTGTGAAAATTGAGTTGGAGACTAATTTCCTTTAAACCACCAAAACTACATTTCTGTGTATTTAGAGTATATTTAATAGTTGAAAATAATTGTTGGAGCCAGAAATAAAGATGGGATGAGAAAGCTTTTTTGGATGACACTAAGTAACTTTATTATCTGGTGGCCTTTGGAACTTCATGAGGCAGTTTAGAATAAATTTCTCCAGAATGGCAGAGACTGTCTCACCCTCCAGCTCTGTTCTGGAGTTAATAACCCATTCTTCAATTAGGATATGAAGATTGGAAAGGATGGCTTTTCTCCATTCACAAATTTGGGAAACAAGTTTTTAAAATCAGACACTGGATAACTGAATTTTTGAGACATCTTTTAAAAGCAGGTAATCTTCAAATTCTTGTTATTTTAAATATATAAATCCCTTATTTCATGCCTAGATTCTCATCAGTATTAAAGAAAAGGGATTTTTATTTGCTTAGTCTTTATTTAAGGCATAGACAATGTATGTTTAAGGCTGCATTATTTCATGATTATGTAAAGTTAATTACTCCCTATTATCCGTAGACTTAAACAAATGAAGCACACTTGGGTCTTATTTTTAACCATTGACTTTTAAAATTTTATAAACACATAAAATTTCATTATGCAAGGCTTCTCAAAATAAGTTAATAACTTCCAATATGGAATAATTAGATGGTCCAAATTTGAATCACACCATCTTTCATTATCCCTGTTGAAAAAGGAAGTAGAAATCAAGAGTAAGAGTGATGAGAAATAAAGGAAACACTCATTTTGAAGTTTTCCCACCTAGTGAATCACAGTGCTCAAGGTAGAATCCATTTCCAGAATGCCAATATTCCAAGAGGATTGATAATACTTTAGAACCAAAAAGCCAGCTTCCAATGAAAGAACAACTTCAGCTGGGAGAGAAATATAAAATCAGGCCTTTGCTCCCTCAATGTTATGTATTTTCATATATATACAAAGAGTTGAGAAAGAAGATTTAGTGTTAAGAAAAGAAAATTGTATTGGAAAATAGGCACATTGTCATTTGATAATTATGATGACTGATTTACGTTGAAATACATGGTTGATTACTTATAACATTTCTGAGAGCTCAGTATATTTTTATGCTGGAATTAAAAAAAATGAAATGCCTTCAACATATATATTTGATAAAAAAGAATAAAAAAACTTGAATTTCCTCTTGTCATTTTTAATGAGTAAACATTTATTTATTCTCTTATTTGTTAGGTTGCTGGAAATCATGTACTTTATATAGATATTATGGCAGAAAAGATATTTTCATGTATAATTTAAAAAATATTTTAATATTCTCATATGTTCTCATATTCCCTAGACTTTCTGCTATTTCTCTTCACTTTTCTACAGAGAGAGTCTCTATCCATGCTCTGCTTGTTCTGTCAGTAATAGACTACTTCTGCATGTTATTTCTTTCTAGGCTTATGGTAAAGGCCTTTGCACAAGGCTTCTCATGTTCTTGTCCACCTAAATCTGATACAAACCTTGTGCTCCAGGGTATTAGGGTGGGGCTATCTCAGAAAAAGTGTTCTTCTTTTTCTGTCTTAGGTAGTAGGGAGTTTACTAACTCTTCTCATGTGGTTATAAACCTCTGCTCCAAATCAGCGTAGACTCTTATGCCCAGGATTCTTTCCTGACCCTCTATCCAGGCAGAGTTTCTGCATCTGCTTTGACCCCAGCATCAATGTATTATTGCTTGTGTCTAGGACATGAGTAGTTTCTCTACATTTTCCCCAGAGGCAGATATCTTCTTCTACTTCCTTTACATAAGAAATCATTGTTGCCTATGCCCTTGTAGCAAGAGTATTTGTTGCTCTTTCCTCAATAGTTGAATGTTTTTGCTTCATAGGAAACAAAGGTCTTGGGAAGAGGGCAGGTATTTGTGCCTGTCCTCAAGAAACTAATTATCTAGTGAACATTTTGACTACCAAGGTGGGTTCTTTCAAGTGTCCTGCCTTGCTCCTAATCTTTCTTATGATTACACCATAAAGTCTTGTGGAAAAGAGTAAATGAGTGCTAATTCCCTTTGTTTGTAGAGTCCCCAGATCTTACCAACTGATATAGTAGCCCATATTTAGCCTTTAAGAATGTATAAACATTTTAGCTAATTTTGTCATATGCACTTGTATGGTAGCCATCTCTATTCTGTGGTCTGGCAAAAGAGAAATAGTTCATGTGTCCCTTCTTTTGGTGGGCAGGGTAGCAATTCTTTGGAATTCACTTTCACTGATGCCCTTGAGACCTCAGCTCTGTAATGAGTTCAAGAAAAGTTATGATTATAAATTACCTGTATTATTCTAATTATTATAGTAGAGGAAACATTTTCCTGTTAGTTCTGGACTTAGAAGAACATAACACTTCCTTCATATAATTTATACAAACAATTAAGAACAATAAAAACATATGTTGCTATTCAATTTAATAAGAAGGAAAAGATCAGTGAATGTAATTCCTTAACATTTAATCTAAATACATAAAATCACTTTATAAATTAATGTTTTATCTTGTAAGGATGACTTTAACTGCTTTGTTTTCATAGTGGACATAGTAGAGATGTGCTACTGAATGTCTTGCAGTAGGGTTTTGGCTAGATAATGTGGTGCATCCTTATAAAAGAACACTCTGCAGCTAATTAATACCAATGCTATGTCAGTTGTTTTCTTTGAGGAATTTTGCCGTTTCATCAAAGTTGCTGTATTTATTGGCATAAAGTATTCTATTATAAGCTCTTATCCCTGAACAGACATTGTTTCTAGGCCTATGGTAAAGGCCTTTACCTTAGTGTCTGTTTGCTCTAACCTGCTATGTTCTCTTTATGTTCCCGATACTGGTATTTTGTGTTTTCTCTCTTTTTTTGCATAAGTTTTGCTAGGGGATTACAAGTTTTAAAAGAATAAAAAGTAGAAAATCTAAATAGCATATATATCCATCTGTTTTTATATCAAACTATCAATTATAGATAGATGAATAACTATAGATCTACAGATGCATCTGTCTCTCTCTTTCCATACATGCACACACACACACACACACACACACACACACACACACACACACACAGATTTTCCTCAACTTGTGATGGGGTTAAATAATAAGTTGAAAGTATTACAAGTGAAAAATGCATTTAATAACCTAACCTACTGAACATCAAGTTAACCTAGCTTACCTTAAATGTTCTCCAAACATGTATATTAGCCTTGAGTTTTGAAAAATCATCTAACACAAAATCTATTTTATAACAAAGTGTTGAATAGCTCATATAATTTACTATTCAGAAAATACAGGAAGAAAGAATACTTTCAAACTCATTATTGAGGTCAGCATAGCCCTGATAACAAAATTGACAAAGATTTAGAAGAATATAAGTTTACAGACAAAAAATCTCTCTTGAACATAGCCACCAAAATCATTAATATATTAAATTCTAAAATATATATAAAAGGGTATAATACACTTATAAAGTAGGGTTTATCCCAGAAATGCGTGTTTGCTTTAACATTTTTTTAAAAAAGCAATGAAGGTAGTATATTAGATGAGATTGGGTGCATTCAGGGTGGTATGGCCACAGACAAGCTAGTATATCAGCCTAACAGAATAAAGCCTAAAAATCCTATAATTATCTCAATAGATTCAGAAAACCAATTTGATAAACACTTATTGATCATAGAAAAATCTCAACAAACCGAGAATTAAAGGAACATCTTTAATCTGATAAAGGGTACCTACTAAGAAATTATAAATAGCATCTTTATGTATGGAAAGCCTAAACTCTTTCCCTTAACAATAATAAAATGCCAATATCTGATCTTACCACCTCTTTTGAAAAATCTACTGGAAATGATATTAATTGCAGAAAGATAAGAAAAAAAGCCAAAATGATTATAAAGGAAACAGTAAAACCCTCTTCATTTGTCAATGACATTTTCGTGTATCTAGAAACTGCTAGTGTAATTAATAAGTAATCTGAACAAGATTGCAGAATAGAAAATCGGTATGCAGAGATAAGTTATATTTTTCTATACTGATAATGGAATGTTGGACACTGAAATAGAAAAATACCAATTATCATAGTATCAGAACATCAAAAAGTAATATATATTATAAAAATGTTCATCATGTCTATACTGTAAATGACAAAGCTATGCAGAGAAAAATTAAGGATTTAAATAAATGGAGAAATATACAATATTCATTGAATGAATAACTCAATTTTTTAAATGTTAGTTATTCCTAAATTAGTCTATAGATTTGACAAAAATCCTAATTAAAATGGAGCAGTTTTTTAAAGAAATCGAGAAACTCGTTCTTCAGGCACTGAAAAGACTTAAAGAAGGTGAAGCATTATTGAATAATGCTATGAACTAAATGTTTGTGTCCCTTCAAAATTGTGTTGAAATCCAAATTCCCAATATGATGGTATTTGGGGGTGGGGCTTTGGGGAGGTAATTAGGATGAGGCCCTTCTGGTGGGATTCATCACCTTATAAAAGGAGGAAAAAAATAAAAGATCTGTCTGTCTCTGCCATCTGAGGATACAGCTAAAAGGCAGCCTTCCGTAAATCAGGATAATGACAATAACACAGACTGTACTCATTGAAACTACCAAATGCTGGCAATATTTTGAAATACTGAAAATATTCACACGTGGCTGATGTAAAGGTAAAATGGTACAATCCGTATGAAGAATGGTTCAGATGTTTCTTATAAAATTAGTTGTGCATTTATCCTATGATCTAGAAGTTCCACTACTAGGTAATTACCTAAGAGATATAAGTCTACAAACTAACTTCTACAAGAATATTTATAAAAGTCTTTATTCATAAAATCTCAATAATGAGGATAACAGAAATATCCATTAAAAATGGATGAGCAAATTATGCTATATTCACTCAGAAATAAAGAGGAATGAGCTACTGACACATTCAAGAAACATACATGAATCTTAAAAAGTATTTATGTTGTAGAAAATAACACATACAACACACTGTATGATCTCATTTATTGGAAGTCCAAGTAGAAGCAAAACTAACGCATGGTAGTAGAAATCAGGAAGTGGTTGCCTCTGGTAAAGTTGGGATTGATTGGAGAAAGGGATAGGGGGTATTTTTTAGAAAGTGGATATATTCTATATCTTACTTTGGATGGCCATTTTATGAACATATGTAATTCTCAAACCTCATCAAATTAATCACATGCTTTGTTTCTTACAATGTCTTATAAATTTCATCTCAACTGAAAACTAAGATTAAGGAGATTTTGTAAAAATGCATCTTCATGCTTTATTATTACATAAAATCAGATTAAAAATTAGTTATTGAATAGTGGCAGTGGAGCAGGATGGCAGATAAGCTCCATTTATCATACACTCGCCTCCCCTCCCCCGACAAGGTCACCAAGTTAACAACTATCCACACAGAAAAAACACCTTTAAAAGCACCAAAAATCCAGGTGAGCACTTACAGCACCTGGTTTTACCTTTATATCACTGAAAGAGACACTGAAGAGATAGAAAACACAGTCTTCAATCATGGAAGCCCCCCACAACACCACCCTCAGCATGCTGCCAAGAGTATCTCTGGGTGCTGGGAAGAAGAGAACACAGTAGTTGTGAGGCATTGAACTCATTGCTATCCTGTTAGAGCAGAAAGAAAAACCAGATAGAACTTAGGGACACTCCCACAGTGGGAGCATTTAAACCAGCCCTAGCCAGAGGGGAATCTCTGATCCCAGCAGTCTGAACTTGAGTGGCTGCTACAGTACTCTGTGTCTCCAAGTAAACTTGAAAGGCAGTCAAGGCCATAAGGACTGCAGCTCTTAGGCAAGTCCTGGTGCTGAACTAGGTCGAGAGACAGTAAAGTTGGGGTTGGTGGGGGGCAGGGGACATTATGAGACACCAGCTGGAGCAGACAAGAGCATGCTGTCATCATCCCTTCCCTAACCCCAGGTTGTATAGCTCACAGTTACAAAAGAGATCCCTTCTTTCCTTTTGAAAAAAGGAGAGGGAAGAGTGGAGAAGACTTTATCTTGAATCTAGATACCATCTGCCTCAGCAGGATAGGATGCCTGTCAGAGTCATGAGGCCTCCATTCCAGGCCCTAGCTCCCAGATGACATTTCTAGACACACCCTGGGCCAGAAGGAAACCCTCTGCCTTGAAGGAAAGAACCCATTCCCAGCAGTATTCATCACCTGCTAACTGAAGAACTCGTGGGCTATGAATAACCAGCAGCTATACCCAGGTGCTACATCAAAAACTGTGGGTTAGCCTCTGAGACTTGGCTGGCCTCAGGTACCAGCATGACCACAGGGGAGCAGAGCACCAAGAGGGCTCTTGGAGTCTCTGATTCCAGGACTTGACTCTTGGATGGCATTTCTGGACCAACCCTGGGCCAGAAGGGAGCCCACTTCCATGAAGAGTGAGTCCCGGCCGGGCGCGGTGGCTCACGCCTGTAATCCCAGCACTTTGGGAGGCCGAGGCGGGCAGATCACGAGGTCAGGAGATCGAGACCATCCTGGCTAACACGGTGAAACCCCGTCTCTACTAAAAATACAAAAAATTAGCCGGGCGTGGTAGCGGGCGCCTGTAGTCCCAGCTACTCGGGAGGCTGAGGCAGGAGAATGGCGTGAACCCGGGAGGCGGAGCTTGCAGTGAGCCGAGATCGCGCCACTGCACTCCAGCCTGGGCGACAGAGTGAGACTCCGTCTCAAAAAAAAAAAAAAAAAAAAGAGTGAGTCCCAGGCCAGGCAGTATTCATGACAAGCTTACTTAACAAACCTTGGATCTTAAGGTAACATCGATAATAATCTGGCAGTATTTCTCATGGCTTGGGATGGCAGTGAATATGGGGTCAGGCTCCTCTGCCTTTGGAAAGAGGAGGGAAGAATAGGAAAGACTACGCCCTGTGGCTTGAGTGCCAGTTCAGCCACAGTACAACAGAAACCAGGTAAACTCCTAATTTTTGACTCTAGTACCTGACTTCCAGATGGCACTTCTAGACCCATGTCTGGGAGACCTTGCTACTCTGAAGGGAAAAACACAGGCCTGGCTGTATTTGCCACTATGTGATGTAGAGCCCCTGGACCTTCAGTGTACATAGGCTGAAGCCAAGGAGTGGTTACAGTAGGCTTCATGTGAGACCCAGCACTGTGTGCTGGCTTCTGGTGTAACCTGGCATAATCATAATGGTGGTGGTGACAGGGGTGCTCTTGCCATTTTATCTTCAGCTTTAGGTGGATCAGAGCAGAAAGAGAGAGACTCTATATGCTTGGGAAAAAGTAAGGAGAAAGAATAAAATTCTCTGCCTGGTAATCCAGAGAATTCTCCCGAATCGTGTCCAAGATTATCAAGGCAGAGCTTCTATGAATAATCTGCAAGAACCACAGCTTAGCTGGGCTTGGGGTGCCCCCTAAAGCAGATATAGCTTAGATCACAACACCTAAGTTCTTTCAACTATCTGGAAAGCCTTCCCAAGAAGAATGGCTATAACCCCAGACAGTGAAGACTATAATAAATACCTAACTTTTTAATGCCCAGATACGAAAGAAGATCTATTAGCATTAACACCATCTAGGAAAACATGACCTCACCAAATGAACTAAATTAGGCACCAGGGACCGATCCTGAAAAAACAGAGACATATGACCTTTCCAACATAGAATTCAAAATAGCTGTGTTAAGGAAAGGCAAAGAAATTTAAGATAACACAGAGAAGGAATTCAGAATTCTATTACATTTAATAATGAGATTGAAATAATTAAAAAGAATCAAGCAGAAAATCTGGAACTAAAAAAATGCATTTGTCATACTGAAAAATGTATCAGAGTACTTTCGTAGCAGAATTAGTCATGCAGAAGAAAGAATTAGTGAGATTGAAGACAGGATATTTGAAGATACACAATTAGAGGAGACAAAGGACAAAAGAATAAAAAGCAATAAAGCATGCCAATGGGATCTAGAAAATAGCCTCTAATGGGCAAATCAAAGAGATACTGGCCTTAAAGAGGACATAGATAAATAAGCAGGAGGAGAAAGTTTATTCAAGGGGATAATAGCAGAGAACTTCCCAAACCTAGAGAAAGGTATCAATCTTTCTTTCTTTTTTTAAATTCTACTTTTAAGTTCTAGGGTACATGTGCACAACGTGCAGGTTTGTTACATATGTATACATGCGGTATGTTGGTGTGCTGCACCTGTTAACTCATCTTTTACCTTAGGTATATCTCCTAATGCTATCCCTCCCCCCTCCCCCACCCCACAACAGGCCATGGTGTGTGATGTTCTCCACCCTGTGTCCAAGTGTTCTCATTGTTCAATTCCCACCTATGAGTGAGAACATGTGGTGTTTGGTTTTCTGTCCTTGCGATAGTTTGCTGAGAATGATTGTCTCCAGCTTCATCCATGTCCCTGCAAAGGACATGAACTCATCCTTTTCTATGGCTGCATAGTATTCCATGGTGTATATGTGCCACATTTTCTTAATCCAGTCTATCATTGATGGACATTTGGATTGGTTCCAAGTCTTTGCTATTGTGAATAGTGCTGCAATAAACATACGTGTGCATGTGTCTTTATAGCAGCATGATTTATAATCCTTTGGGTATATACCCAGTAATGGGATGGCTGGGTCAAATGGTATTTCCAGTTCCAGATCCCTGAGGAATCGCCACACTGTCTTCCACAATGGTTGAACTAGTTTACAGTCCCACCAACAGTGTAAAAGTGTTCCTATTTCTCCACATCCTCTCCAGCACCTGGTGTTTCCTGACTCTTTAATGACCGTCATTCTAACTGGTGTGAGATGGTATCTCATTGTGGTTTTGATTTGCATTTCTCTGATGGCCAGAGATGATGAGCACTTTTTCATGTGTCTGTTGGCTGCATAAATGTCTTCTTTTGAGAAGTGTCTGTTCATATCCTTCACCTTACTTTTTGATGGGGTTATTTGATTTTTTCTTGTAAATTTGTTTGAGTTCTTTGTAGATTCTGGATATTATCCCTTTGTCAGATGAGTAGATTGCAAAACTTTTCTCCCATTCTGTAGGTTGCCTGTTCACTCTGATGGTAGTTTCTTTTGCTGTGCAGAAGCTCTTGAGTTTAATTAGATCCCATTAGTCAATTTTGGCTTTTGTTGCCATTGCTTTTGGTGTTTTAGTCATGAAGTCCTTGCCCATGCCTATGTCCTGAATGGTAATGCCTAGGTTTTTTTCTAGGGTTTTTATGGTTTTAGGTCTAACATTTAAGTCTTTAATCCATCTTGAATTAATTTTAGTATTAGGCGTAAGGAAGGGATCCAGTTTCAGCCTTCTACACATGGCTAGCCAGTTTTCCCAGCACCATTTATTAAACAGGGAATTCTTTCCCCATTTCTTGTTTTTGTCAGGTTTGTCAAAGATCAGATGGTTGTAGATGTGTGGTATTATTTCTGAGGGCTCTGTTCTGTTCCATTGGTCTATATCTCTGTTTTGGTACCAGTACCATGCTGTTTTGGTTACTGTAGCCTTGTAATATAGTTTGAAGTCAGGTAGCATGATGCCTCCAGCTTTGTTCTTTTGACTTAGGATTGTCTTGGCAATGCGGGCTCTTTTTTGGTTCCATACGAACTTTAAAGTAGTTTAGGAGAACTACAAACCACTGCTTAATGAAATAAAAGAGGACACAAACAAATGGAAGAACATTCCATGCTCATGGATAGGAAGAATCAGTATTGTGAAAATGGACATACTGCTGAAGGTAATTTATAGATTCAGTGCCATCCTCATCAAGCTACCAATGACTTTCTTCACAGAACTGGAGTATGGCCATTTTCATGATTTCATTTCCTCCTTTCTCTTGTGGGCATTTAGTGCTATAAGTTTCCCCCTACACATTGTTTTGAATGTGTCCCAGAGATTCCGGTAGGTTGTGTCTTTGTTCTTGTTGGTTTCAAAGAACATCTTTACTTCTGCCTTCATTTCGTTATGTACCCAGTAGTCATTCAGGAGCAGGTTGTTCAGTTTCCATGTAGTTGAGCGGTTTTGAGTGAGTTTCTTAATCCTGAATTCTAGTTTGATTGCACTGTGGTCTGAGAGACAGTTTGTTATAATTTCTGTTCTTTTACATTTACTGAGGAGTGCTTTACTTTGAACTATGTGGTCAATTTTGGAATAAGTGTGATGTGGTGCTGAGAAGAATGTATATTCTGTTGATTTGGGATGAAGAGTTCTGTAGATGTCTATTAGGTCCGCCTGGTACAGAGCTGAGTTCATTTCCTGGATATCCTTGTTAACTTTCTGTCTCGTGGATCTGTCTGATGTTGAAAGTGGGGTGTTAGTCTCCCATTGTTATTGTGTGGTAGCCTAAGTCTCTTTGTAGGTCACTCAGGACTTGCTTTATGAATCTGGGTGCTCCTGTATTAGGTGCATATATATTTAGGATAGTTAGCTCTTCTTGTTGAATTGATCCCTTTACCATTATGTAATGGCCTTCTTTGTCTCTTTTGATCTTTGTTGGTTTAAAGTCTGTTTTATCAGAGACTAGGATTGCAACCCCTGCCTTTTTTTTGTTTTCCATTTGCTTGGTAGATCTTCCTCCATCCCTCTGTTTTGAGCCTAAGTGTGTCTCTGCACGTGAGATGGGTCTCCTGAATACAGCACAGTGATGGGTCTTGACTCTTTATCCAATTTGCCAGTTTGTCTTTTAATTGGAGCATTTAGCCCATTTACATTTAAAGTTAATATTGTTATGTGTGAATTTGATCCTGTACAAGAAGATTATAGAACACCAAGCAGTATGAGCCAAAGGAAGACAACCTCAAGACATTTAATAATCAAACTTTCAAAGGTCAAGGGTAAATAAATGTTCCTAAAAGCAGCAAGAGAAAAGAAACCAGTAACATACAATGGAGCTCCAAAACATCTGGCAGAAGATTTATCAGTCAACACCTTACAGGCCAGGCCGGGAGAGTGTTGCATTATATATTTAATGTGCTGAAGAAAAAGCAAAACAATACAAAACAAAACTAAACTCTTGTACCCTAGAATAGTATATCCATCAAAAATATTCTTCAAACATGAAAGTGAAATGAAGACTTCCAGATTTCATCAACATGACCTGTCCTGTAAGAAATGCTGAAGGGAATACTTCAATCAGAAAGAAAACAACATTAATGAGCAACAAATAATCACCTCAAGGTACAAAACTCACTGGTAATTGTAAGTACACAGAAAAACATAGAATATTAGGCCAGGCTCAGTGGCTGATGCCTGTAATCCCAGCACTCTGGGAGGCCAAGTTGGCTGGATCACTTGTGTCCAGGAGTTTGAGACCTGCCTGAGCAACATGGCAAAACCCCATCTCTAGAAAAAATACAAAAATTATCCAGGCATGGTGGTGTGTGTTTGGGGTCCCAGCTACTTGGGGGCTGAGTTGGGAGGATTGTTTGAGCCTAGGAGGTAGAGGCTCCAGTGAGTTGTGATTGTGCCACTGTCCTCCAGCCTGTGTGACAGAGTGAGGCCATGTCTCAAAAAAATGAAAATAAAACAAAAATACGATAAAAAAAAAGAAAGAAAGAAAGAAAAGAAAAGTGAACTAATCAAAAATATTAATTACAATGACTTTCCAGGACATAGTTCATACAGTAAGATATAAATAGAAAAATAACAAAAAGTTAAAAAGCAGGGTGATGAAGTATAGAGTTTTTATTAGTTTTATTTTTGCTTGTTTATTTATGAAATAGCATTGAGTTGTTTTCAGGTTAAAATAATGGGTTATTAAATTGTTATCTTGCTAAAATAATGGATTATAAGATAACCTTTGCAAGCCTCATGGTAATCTCAAACTGAACAACATAAAATCAACACACAAAAAATAGAAAGCAAGCAACTAAATCATATTACCAGAGAAAGTCACCTTCACTAGAGGAACAGAAATAAAAGAAAGAAAGAAGAGAAGACCTCAAAACAACCAGAAAAGAAATAACAACATGGAAGGAGTAAGTCCTTTCTTATAAGTAATAACATTGTATGTAAATGGACTAAACTCTCCAATCAAAAGACATAGATTGGTAAAATGGATGAAAAACCAAGACCTAATAATTTGTTGCCTACAAGAAACACACTTCACCTATAGAGACACTCACAGACTGAAAATAAAGTGATGGAAAAAGATATTCCCACCAATAGAGAAAAGAAAAAGAGCAGGAGTTGCTATTCTTATATCAGACAAAACAGTTTTAAGACCAAAACTATAAGAAGATGCAAAGAAAGTCACTATATAATGATAAAGGGGTCAATTCAGGAAGAGGATGTAATAATTTTAATATATATGCACCCAACACTGGAGCACTCAGATATACAGAGGAAATATAATAAGAGCTCAAGAGGCCCCAGTACAATATTAACACCCCACTTTCAGCATTGAACAGAACTTCCAGGCAGAAAACCAACAAAGAAACATCAGACAGTCTGCATCATAGACCAAATAAATCTAATAAATATTTACAGAACATTTCATCCAAGAGCTGCAGAATACACATTCTTTTCTCAGCACATGAATTATTCTCAAGGATGGACCATATGTTAGGTCACAAAAAAAGTCTTAAAACATTTAAAAAATAAAATAAGCATCTTCTCTGACCACAATGAAATAAAACTAGAAATTAATAACAAGAGGAATTTTGGAAACTATACAAATATATTGAAATTAAACATTATGCTTCTGAATGACCAGTGGGGTAGTGAAGAAATTAAGAAATAAATTGAAAAAAAATTCTTGAAACAAATCATAATGGAAACATGACACCAAAACTGTGGGGTACAGCCAAAGCAGTACTAAGAGTCAAGTTTATAGCAGTAAGTGCATACATCAAAAAAGAGAAAACACTTCAAAGGACCAATCTAATGATACATCTTAAAGAACTAGAAAAGCAAGAGGAAACCTAACCCAAAATTAGTAGAAGAAAAGAAATAAAGATTAGAGCAGAAATAAATGGAATTGAAATGAAGAAAACAATAGAAATGATCAATGAAACAAAAAGTTCTTTTTTGAAAAGTTAAAGTTGACAAACCTTTAACCAGACTAGGAAAAAAAAGAGAAGGTCCAAATAAAATCAGAAACGAAAAAGGAGACATTACACCTGATACTGCAGAAATTTGAAGGATCATTAATGGCTACTGTGAGCAACTATATGCTACTAAATTGGAATCTCTGGAAGAAATGAACAAATTTCTAGAGATATACAACCTCTCAAGATTGAACCAGGAAGAAATCCAATATCTGAGCAGTCCAGTAAAAAATAATGAGATCAAAGCCATAATAATAAGAGCTTCTGCGCAGCAAAAGAAACTACCATCAGAGTGAACGGCAACCTACAAAATGGGAGAAAATTTTCACAACCTACTCATCTGACAAAGGGCTAATATCCAGAATCTACAATGAACTCAAACAAATTTACAAGGAAAAAAACAAACAACCCCATCAAAAAGTGGGCAAAGGACATGAACAGACACTTCTCAAAAGAAGACGTTTATGCAGCCAAAAAACACATGAAAAAATGCTCACCATCACTTGCCATCAGAGAAATGCAAATCAAAACCACAATGAGATACCATCTCACACCAGTTAGAATGGCGATCATTAAAAAGTCAGGAAACAACAGGTGCTGGAGAGGATGTGGAGAAATAGGAACACTTTTACACTGTTAGTGGGACTGTAAACTAGTTCAACAATTGTGGAAGTCAGTGTGACGATTCCTCAGGGATCTAGAACTAGAAATACCATTTGATCCAGCCATCCCATTACTGGGTATATACCCAAAGGACTATAAATCATGCTGCTATAAAGACACATGCACACGTACGTTTATTGCAGCACTATTCACGATAGCAAATACTTGGAACCAACCCAAATGTCCAACAATGATAGACTGGATTAAGAAAATGTGGCACATATACACCATGGAATACTATGCAGCCATAAAAAATGATGAGTTCATGTCCTTTGTAGGGACATGGATGAAATTGGAAATCATCATTCTCGGTAAACTATCGCAAGGACAAAAAACCAAACACTGCATGTTCTCACTCATAGGTGGTAATTGAACAATGAGAACACATGGGCATAGGAAGGGGAACATCACACTCTGGGGACTGGTGTGGGGTTGGGGGAGGGGGGAGGGATAGCATTAGGAGATATACTTAATGCTAAATGACGAGTTAATGGGTGCAGCACACCAGCATGGCACATGTATACATATGTAACTAACCTGTACATTGTGCACATGTACCCTAAAACTTAAAGTATAATAATAATAAAATAGAGTAAAATAATTCTCCCACTAATGAAAAGCCCCAAGGACCTCAACAGATTAAAGGATAAAAACCCTATGATTTCGGTTGATGATGAAAAAGCTTTTGATAAAATTCAACATCCTTTCATGATAAAAACCCTCAAAAAATTGAGGATAGAAGGAACATACCTCAACATAATTAAAGGAATATATGTCAGACCCACAGCTAGTATCATACTGAATAATGAAAAACTAAAAGCCCTTTCTCTAAGATCTGGAACATAACAAGAATGCCCCCTGTCACCACTGTTATTCAACATAGTACTGGAAGTTCTGTCAAGAACAATCAGACAAAGGAACTATATTAAAGACATCCAAATTAGAAAGAAGTGAAATTATTCTTGTTTGCAGAAGATATTATCTTATATTTGAAAAGACCGAAAGACTCCACAAAAAACTATTAAACAATAAATATATTCAGTAAAATTGCAGAATACAAAGTCAACATACCAAAATCAGTAGCATTTCTATATGACAACAGTGAACACTGTGAAAAAGAAATTTAAAAAGTAATCTTAGTTACAAAAGCTACACATAATATAAAATATCTAGGAATAAGCTTAACCAAAGGAGTGAAATATAATGAAAACTAGGAAATACTCATGAAAGAAATCGAAAAGAACACACACACACACACACACACACACACACAATATTCCATGTTCATGGTTTGAAAGAATCAGTATTGTTAAACTGTCTATACCCAAAACAATCTACAGATACAGTGCAACTCTGATCAAAATACTGATGACATTCTTCACAGAAATAGAAAAAAAAAAACCCTAAAATTTATATGGAACCACAAAAGACCAAGAATAGTAAAAGATATCCTAAGTAAAAAGAATAATACTGGAGGAATCATTACCTGACTCAAATTATACTACAGAGCTATAGCAACCAAAACAGCATGGTGCTGGAGTTAAAACACATAGGCTGGGTGCAGTGGCTTATGTCTGTAATCCCAGCACTTTGGGAGGGCAAAGTGGGCAGATCACCTGAGGTCAGGAGTTTGAGACCATCCTGGCCGACGTGTTGAAACCTCATCTCTACTAAAAATACAAAAATTAGGCAGGCATGGTGGTGCACACTTGTGATCCCAGGTACTCGGGAGGTTGAGGCAGGAGAATTGCTTGAACCCAGAAGGTAAAAGTTGCAGTGGGCCCAGATCACGCCATTGCACTCCAGCTTGGGTGACAAGAGCAAAACTTCATCTCAAAAACAAACAAACAAAATACAGATAGGTAGATTAATGGAACAGAATGGAGGACCCAGAAACAAATTCACACACCTATAGTGAACTCATTTTTGACAAAGGTATCAATAACTTACACTGGGGAAAAGACAGTATCTTCAATAAATGTTTCTGGGAAAACTGGATGTCCATATGCAGAAGAATGAAACTAGATGGCTATCATTCACCATACACAAAAATCAAATAAAAATGGATTAAATACTTAAATCTAAGACCTTAAACCATGAAACTAATACAAGAAAACCTCCAGGAATATTTCCAGGATATTAGTCTGGGCAAAGATTTCTTGAGCAATACCCTATAAGCACAGACAACCAAAACAAACATAGACAAATGGAATCACATCAAGAACTAGAAATACCATTTGACCTAGCCATCCCATTACTGGGTATATACCCAAAGGACTATAAATCATGCTGCTATAAAGACACATGCACACGTACGTTTATTGAAGCACTATTCACAATAGCAAAGACTTGGAACCAACCCAAATGTCCAACAATGATAGACTGGATTAAGAAAATGTGGCACAAATACACCATGGAATACTATGCAGCCATAAAAAATGATGAGTTCATGTCCTTTGTAGGGACATGGATGAAATTGGAAATCATCATTCTCAGTAAACTATCGCAAGAACAAAAAACCAAACACTGCATATTCTCACTCATAGGTGGGAATTGAGCAATGGGAACACATGGACACAGGAAGAGGAACATCACACTCTGGGGACTGTTGTGGGGTGGGGGGAGGGGGGAGGGATAGCATAGGAGATATACCTAATGCTAAATGATGAGTTAATGGGTGCAGCGCACGAGCATGGCACATGTATACATATGTAACTAACCTGCACATTGTGCACATGTACCCTAAAACTTAAAATATAATAATAATAAAATAAGAAAAGAATACAATCAACAAAATAAAGAGACAATTTGCAGTATGGGTGAAAATATTTGCAAACTACTTCTCTGATAGGGGTTTAATGAGAATATATGAGGAGCTCAAACACCTCTACAGGAAAAAAATCTAAAAATCTAATCAAAAAATGGGCAAAAGATCTGAATAGGCATTTCTCAAAAGAAGACATAGAAATGGCAAACAGGCATATGAAAAGGTGCTCAATATCACTCATCATCAGAAAAATGCAAATCAAAACTACAATGAGATATCATCTCACCCCAGTTAAAATGGCTTATATCCAATGAACAAGCAATTACAAATGCTGGTGAGGATGTGGTGAAAAGGAAATCCTTGTACGCTGTTGGTAGGAACCTAAATCAGTGCAACCACTATGAAAAACAATTTGAAGTTTTCTCAAAAAAGTGAAAGTTTAGCTATGAAATGATCCAGTAATCCCAATACCGGGTAATACCCCTAAAAAAGGAAATTGGTATATCGAAGAGCTATCTGCATTCCTATGTTTGCTGTGGCACTATTTACAATAGCTAACATTTGGAAACAATCTATGTGTCTATCAACAGATACATGCATAAAGAAAATGTGGTACATATACACAATGGAGTACTATTCAGCCATTAAAAAAGAATGAGATCCAGTCATTTGCAACAACATGGATGGAACTGGGGATCATTATGTTAAGTGGAATAAGCCAGGCACAGAAAGAAAAAAAAAATTACATGTTCTGAGTTATTTGTGGGACCTAAAAATGAAAACAATTAAACTCATGGACATAGAGAGTAGAGGGATGGTTACCAGAGGCTGGGAAGGGTCATAGGGGGTGGATGCAGGTTTGTTATTGGATAAAAAATATATAAAAAATAAATCAGGCCTATTATTTAACAGTATAATAGCATGACTATAGTCAACAGTAACTTAATTGTACATTTTAAAATAACTGAAAAACTGTAATTGGATTATTTGTAACTCAAAGGATAAATGCCTGAGGGGATGGATACCCCATTCTCCAGGATGCACTCATTTCACAATGCATGCCTGTACCAAAAGATTTCATGTACTCCATAAATACATACACTTATTGTGTAGCCACAAAAATTTAAATAGTAAAAAAATTAAAAAAGAATTCCTATATATTTAAGTAACAATTACAGTTTATGAATGACCCTCTAAACATACAGCTTAAATCCCTATAGGATTGTTATTTCAGTCAGTATGTCCCTTATCTCTGCAGATGTGGCTTTGTGTGGAAAAAATAGAATCATTTCATATTCTTCCTGCTAAAATTTTTTTAACAACAAAGAAAATTAGTACATTTATTAGTACCCCTCATATTTGTAAATAAAAGATATGCATGTACATAATCATAGAAAAATTGTAAAGGGATAAGCCATAAATAAAGGTGTGAATAATCTTGGAACAGTGAGATTAACAGTGAATTTCATATTATCTTCTTGCTTACTTAAAGTTTTAATCTTTTCTATACTATAAAAACAATGATTTTGCTTTTGATTTTAGTCTGATTTTCTCCTTAATTTGTGGGAATTTTGGGTATACAAATTGAGAATGCTTCCCTTTGGAAAGAATTTGCATTTGCTTCTTCTTACATGAAAATGCAGCTACTAAACTAGTAGCTCTTTAGCCTCTTTATAAGTCCTGGCTTTGAAAAGAAGTCTTAAATTGAGTATCCTCATGTACTGCTGGCTAAAATCTTTGCTTCATTTGCTGACTTGCTTGTTAATGAAGTAGAAACACAGGGATTTTTCCCCATGGATCATAACACCTGTGAGAACAATTTAATGACTCAACAAATGATGGAAGTCTCCTAACACTCTGTTACAAACTTTCCCTGGATCAAGGATGGTGGCTGACCATAGTCTCCACTCACTGTGATCTGAATCCATTAAACCCTCTCTGTGGCAGAGTTCCATTAGACCAGAAATAATCTATAAGTATCCTTCTAAATAGATTAGGGAGGCCGAGCAATTGAAAAAATTTCAGAAGAATTTCCAAAAAAGTAACTTTAATCATGAGCATTGCTTACCCTTTATGTATATTTTTCCAATTGTAGTATGTGGCCAGCCTTAAAAGAAAATGGTGGCATTGACTTTGGCTTCCTTTGGTTAAAAGCAAGAATCATAATCTATAAATCTCACATGTTCTGACAAAAAAGAAAAATAAATAGCTATTGCAGTGTCAGGGGACTTTCAGGTCCCATTTATACATTTTTCAAATTTCCTTACCAGATTTGTAGACCTGAACGTACACATCTCTCTCAATATTTCATTTGGAAAATTACACATGTAATACATGAAAAAATTTTTCATGTAAAACATTAAAAATACGGTCGGGCGCGGTGGTTCACTCCTGTAATCCCAGCTCTTTGGGAGGCTGAGACGGGCAGATCACCTGAGGTCAGGAGTTCGAGACCAGTCTGACCAACATGGTGAAACCCCATCTCTACTAAAAATACAAAATTAGCCAGGCATGGTGGCACATACCTGTGATGCCAGTTGCTTGGGAGCCTAAGGCAGGAGAATTGCTTGAACCTGGGAGGCAGATGTTGCAGTGAGCTGAGATCATGTTATTGCACTTCAACCTGGGTGACAGAGAAACTCCGTTTTAAAGAAAAAAAACATGGATACCTCTGACTTTACCGTTATCCAATCTCATGCCTCTCATGAGGAGGGCCACTGTTTTGAATTTAGAAGGTAAACCTCAGCCATTGCTTTTTTCTTTCCCTTTATATTTGCTATAATTTCCTTGAATTATATTTACCTTGTCATTCACCACAATTTCCCTATAGATGCTTAATTTTTAATATAAATAATAGTATATTGAAAAACCACATTTTTACTCAAGTTCCCTCTGGCTCTCTCTTCTTCTTCACCAATTTATTCTTTAATAACAACTGTCTGCTTTATCATTTGGCTCTTCCTTAGATTACTTATTTTAAAAATTTTTCTAAACTTTCTGTTCTTCATAGATAAATATCCTTTTGCTTTTGTATAAAAATTTTGAATACATACAGGCTTGCCTTGACTAGCAACACATTCTTAGTCATTATAAATTCTGTGATGGATATGGGACCGATCAGGGGGCCATCTCCTTTTGACATATATTTTGTTCCATTTTGTATATTGGTGTACAAATGAGACACGTTTAAAAATCTACTATTAATGAAGGGGAAATAGCTTCTGAAATCCTTGCAAACACATAAATAAACTCAGTAAAATCAAATATTTTCATTCAAACTTTATTCATTAAGTACCTATTAACGTTAGTAACTGTGTTAGGCATGAGTGTACTAAAAAATTATAGTAAATGCCATTAATTCTCCAATTCATTAATTTATTCATTTAACGAATATTTACTGAAAGCTACTACATGCCAAACCTGATCTATGTGTCAAGATTAGATCTTGATGTTGATCACAAGATCAGCAGGGCCACTATGGATAATTGTCCCGTGAATGATTTTGTAACTTATCAGGCGTTGTGAAGCAATGTAAGTAATGTGTGTAAAGTGATTGAACAATACTGAATCGTTGAGCTAGATGGTGAAATCTGATAACTTTCTGGAAAGGTAACAATTGAGGTAAACCTTAATAACGTAAAGGAGCCAACCAATGAAAGACCTGGGGAAATAGCATTTCATTCAGAGGAAAATTTAGGGAAAGTCTTCATGGGAAAAATGAGTTTAGGGTGTTTAGTGAGTAGGAATAGGATATTGTGATTAAAGTACAATGAGCAAGTGGGAGATGTATGTAATGACTCCTCGATCACGTGTATGTGGTAGACTACAGTAAGGAGTTTGTCTTCTTTTTCATTTCTTTTTTTAAAGTTCAGTAGGAAGCTGTTAGAGGGTGATGTGGAGCAAAACGTATGGTCTGAACTCATATTTTAAAGCTTACTCTCTGCTTATATGGAGAATGGGCTATAGAACTGCAAAGAGGGGAAATAGAAAGTCTGTTGAAGTAGTGCTGGTGGTACTTGATAGTGGCTTGGAGTAAGGAGATGGAAAAATGGATGCATATATTTAAAAGTTAGGATTAAAAGCACTATAGATATTTTAGATATAAAAGAAGGGGAGGACATAGATGACTCGAAGATGAATTCACCATAGCAGGGGATAGCTAATACATTTCGAAATTCTCATAGGAAGAGCTATTTTAGCTGGAGTACTAAAGGATGAGTTAGAGCTAGCCCAGTGTTAGCAGAAGGTGGGAGAACATCGACAGCCAGCCATGTAAAATGCTTTATCTTTATTCTGAGAATAAAGGGGAATAAATGAAAATTTTAACTGAGAGGTAACATCATCATATTTTTCACATCAGAATGATGGATTATAAAAATCACCTGGCTCCCATCTCTGTAATTTCAGACATTTTGTGGGACAGATGCAACTTTGATATTTAGCTTATTCCAAATTTGGGTGAAACAATATAAATTTTCAATTTCTTGAAATTCTGGTAGTATATGACACTGAGGAAGGGTTTTATGCCCAGAATGGAGACTCTCTAAGATCTCAGAAATTTGGCAGGAAGAAAATTTGGATGTCTATATTCTCCATCCTGAACCATCTTGAAGATTTTGCAAGGAATTTTGCAGAGGCTGTTAGAAAAGCTGTAAAAGGAATAGATACTTGTGATAATGCAAAGTGAGAAATAAATCTTCCAATCTGTATATAGATGATTTAAATACCCTGTGAATCACTGTAACTCATTTTATCAAGTAACAAAATCCTCTTCTTTCCAATTGGATGTTTGATATGTGAAGAAATCTGAAACAATACTAAAAGTGCTACATTATTTTAAAACAATATTTTTTATATTGCTTGCTTTTCAATATTTTTATTGTTAAGTTTTCCAAAAGCTGGAAGTGGAGATTTAAAAAAATCCATTAAGAAACTGCTTTTCTCAGAATGAAGCCATGATCTTTGTGTGTAGTGAACAGATCTAATTTTTTACACTATTTGGCAGCACAGATGGTTCAAGAAATACTACAACCACTGACACTCTTCAGCTTTTTATTCCTAGTCATGTTATGGCAAGTGCAGAATTAGCAAGTGCCTTGCAATCTAATTATGGTGATGGGATATGTTCTTTGTTGTATATCGGGAAAGGAGAGTTTTGCAAAGTTGGATACTGATTTTGGGGAATTATCAAACATTGTTCTTTTTAGATTGTAAAATAATTTCAGGATTTGCATCTTTGATTACATTTTCTTTTCCTCCTTCTATTGCCAGCCAGTTTCCTAGAAATGCAACAAAAATAAATTTGGCAAAGCAGGTGATAAGAGCAAGTTTTGATTGGTACCATTGTTACTCTGTTGTGTCAGACATCATGTTAAACAATTTGCTCAACTACTACAAAGAGATAAACTATACTTTTGGGGTATACTCTAATGTATGCAATTCTTAACTGCTGATCTACACTCACATTTTACATTTGTAGTAAGATCCCTATAATATCAAACTTCAAACCTACATAATTAAATCATGACATTGAATCATGAAAGCCAAACATATTCTATCATGGGTATCAAGGAGTTGAGGAAATTTTTACCGGTAAGCCTTGGGTTGCTTTTCTCCTTATTTCCTAGTGTTTCTGTTATCTTTGAACTGATGCCTCTTATATTGGAATTTTATTTTCTAACATGGATTAGGAGTGCTTATAAATGTTATCTTAGTAACTCACATCTTTACTGGTAGTAATCTTACCTCACTTATATTTTTTCATGCTGATTGGCACTTCCCTGTCTGTTCAGATGCTCCTTCCTGGAATTTCTTACCTGTCTCTTTCTATCACTATGCAAAGATAAAATTAGAGAAACAACAGAAATGTAAAGAAAAACAACAACAGCAAGATCATAAGAGAAGATCATGGACTGTTGTAGATTGTTCTTGGACACAAAGATTTACTTTCTAGGTAAATATTGTCTTATGTAAGTCTCAGCCAAAGACAACAACTGAATGTACCTCAAGTAAGTTTTTGTCTAAGCAAGTATTATTTAAAAAATATTTCCAAAGTTTTTTTAATGTCAGTTAGACTGCACCAGAATGTTATCTTAGAAATATAAAATCATTGGTTATGCTTAGCAATTATCAGTGGTATTTTGGTTTGAGTTCTCCCAAAGTTAGAGTCTGATACAATGATTTTGATCTGAGTAATTTATTTGGGATGTGCTCTCAGGAAGTGCTGTAGGAGAGTGGCAGCAAAATGAATGAAGAGTGTGTTATTGAGTGAGCAGCTGACAGTCAATCTTTCATACATAAAATATATGAAAAGTACCTCCAAACTGTCTCAATTGGGGATGACCCAACTGACATGCAAGGCTTACATCCCTCACTGTGTGAAGGTTGTTTTGTGGCATAGCTTTTTGGTATGTCTGACCTGTTTCACTAACGAGATTGCTTTTGAATCCAGAGAACAGGCTATTGTCTCTGTTTGATATTTGAGAGTATGCAAGGAGATATGAGCAGGGTACCAGCACCATCTGTTTCACAAGGTACAGGCCTGTGTTTCAGACCATTGCAATAAAGTGAATATTGAAATAAAACAAGTCACAATTGTTGCGGCTTCTTAGTGCAGATAAAAGTTATGTTTATACTATACTATAGCCTATTAAGTGTGCAGTAGCATTATGTCTAAAAAATCATACATCACTTAATTAAAGAGCTTATAGCTAAAAAAATGCTAATGATTATCTGAACCTGCTGTGAGTCATAATCTTTTTGCTGGTGGAGGCTCCTGCCTCAAGGTTGATGGCTGCTGACTAATCATGGTGGTAGTTGCTGAAGGTTGGGGTGCCTGTGGCAATTTCTTAAAATTAGACAAAATGAAGCATTCACATTTTTTGACTCTTTCACAAAAGGTTTCTCTGTAGCAAAAAAATACTGTTGGATACCATTTTACCCACAATAGTACTTTCAAAATAGGGGTCAGTCCTTCCAACCACTGAAGTTGCTTTATCAGCTAAGTTTATGTATTATTTTAAATACTTTGTTGTCATGTCAACAGTGTTCACTGCATCTTCACCAGGAGTGGATTCCACCTTGACAAACCACTTTCTTTGCTCATCCATAAAAAGTAGCTCTTTAATTATTGAAGTGTTATCATGAGATTGCATCGATTCAGTCACATCTTAAGGTTCCACTTCTAATTCCACATCTCTTGCTATTTCCAACCCATATACAGTTCCTTTCTCCACTGAAGTCTTGAGTCCCCGAAGGGCATTTATGAGAGCTGGAATCAACTTCTAAACTGCTATTCATGTTATTTTGACCTCCGACCGTGAATCTTGAATGTTCTTAATGACATCTAGAATGATGAATCCTTTTTAGAAGGTTTTCAATTTACTTTGCCCAAATCCATCAGAGGAATAGTGATCTGTGGCAGCCATGGACACACAAAATATATTTTTAAATAATAAGACATAAAAGTTGACATTACTCCTTGACACATGGGCTGCAGAATGGATGTGAGGTTAGCAGGCATGAAAACAACATTAATGACATCTCCATCAGACTTCTTGTCTTGGGTTACTAGGTGCATTGCCAATGAGCAGTAATATTTTGAAAGAAATCTTTTTTTCTAAGCAGTAGGTTTCAACAATGAGCTCAAAATATTCACTAAACCATGCTGTAAACAAATATACTGTTTTCCAGGCTTTGTTGTTTCACTTATCAGGCACAAGCAGAGCAGATTTATTATAATTCTTAAGGCTCCTAGGATTTTTGGAATGATAAATGAGAATTGGCTTCAACCTATACTGATTAGCTGCATTAGCCCCTAGGAAGCTAGCCAGTCTGACATTTGAAGCTTTGAAGCCAAACACTGACTTCTCCCTACTTACGAAATTCCTAGATTACATCGTTTTATCACAGAAGACTTCCTCCGTTGAAAATCCATTGTTTAGTGGAGCCAACTTTATCAATGTTCTTAGCTACATCTTCTTGATAATGTGCTATAGAAGCTACATCAGCACTTGCTGCTTTACCTTGCACTTTCATGTTATGGAGACAGCTTCTTTCCTTAAACCTTATGAAGTAACCTCTGCTAGCTTCTAACTTTTCTTTTTTTTTGAGACGGAGTCTCGCTCTGTCGCCCAGGCCGGACTGCGGACTGCAGTGGCGCAATCTCGGCTCACTGCAAGCTCCGCTTCCCGGGTTCACGCCATTCTCCTGCCTCAGCCTCCCGAGTAGCTGGGACTACAGGCGCCCGCCACCGCGCCCGGCTAATTTTTTGTATTTTTAGTAGAGACGGGGTTTCACCTTGTTAGCCAGGATGGTCTCGATCTCCTGACCTCATGATCCACCCGCCTCGGCCTCCCAAAGTGCTGGGATTACAGGCGTGAGCCACCGCGCCCGGCCAGCTTCTAACTTTTCTTCTGCATCTTCTACACTCTCTCAGCCTTCATAAAATTGAAGAAGTTAGGGTCTTGCTTCGGATGAGACTTTGGTTTCAGAGAACGTTGTAGTCGATTTGATCTATCCAGACTAAACTTTTCCATATCAGCAATAAGTTTGTTTCATTTGTCATTCGTGTGTTCACTGGAGTAACACTGAATTTTCTTCAGAAACTTGTCCTTTGCATTCACAACTTGGTTATCTGACACAAGAGGTATAACTTTCAAGTGAGTTTTGCTTTTGACAGGCCTTCCTGATTAGTCTTAATCATTTTTAGCTTTCTATTTAAAGTTGGAGATGTGCAACTCTTTCTTTCACGTGAATGCCTAGAGTCCATTGAAATGCTATTAAGTGACATAATTTTACTGTTGTTCTGTCTCTGGAATTAGAAAGGCCTGAGACGGACAGAAATGAGGGAATAGCTGGTTGGTGGAGCTGTCAGAACACATACAACATTTATCAATTCAGTTTGCTGTCTTATATGGACACAGCTCGTGGCATCTCAAACCTTTGCAATAGTAGTGTCAAAGATCACCGAACACAGATCACTGTAAGAGATATCATAATAATGAAAAAGTCTAACATATTGTGAGAATTGCCAAAATGCGACTCAGAGACACAAAGTGAACACGTTGATGAAAAACATGGTGCAGATAGATTTGCTCTAGGTAGCTTTGCCACAAACCTTCTTTTTGTAAAAAAAAATGCAGTGTCTACAAAGTGCAATAAAACAAAGTACAATAAAATGACGTATGCTTGTGTATGCAAGAAATATTATGCATCTAAGTGCTCCCTTTCCTCTCATGGAAAACAAAAACTTGTAATCTTTTAAAATTAGTAGGCAAAGTTAAACTTATTTTTTTTTTCAATAAATGCCCATTCTTAAATCAGTTTAGCTGCCATATCGAGGTATTATCTGTCTGTAATATTATTTCACAGCCTTGTTGCAGTCTCTTTTTTTCCAGGAGAAAAAAATCTCTAGAATGGTGGCTCTTTTAATGTGATACCCCTTATGGAAAGTGCTTTGAGACATCCCTACAGAAATATGCAAGCAATGATAAGTCCTAAGTGACCAGACATAAAAGGCTTTATTGAAATATTGTCAAGAAAGAAAAGAGCGTCTATACAGTCCACTGTTACTATTTCTTTTTATTATTTTATTTTATTATTATTATACTTTAAGCTTTAGGGTACATGTGCACAACGTGCAGGTTTGTTACATATATATACATGTGCCATGTTGGTGTGCTGCACCCATTAACTCATCATTTAGCATTAGGTGTATCTCCTAATGCTATCCCTCCCGCCTCCCCCCACCCCACAACAGTCCCCGGTGTGTGGTGTTCCCCTTCCTGTGTCCATGTGTTCTCATTGTTCAATTCCCACCTATGAGTGAGAACATGCGGAGTTTGTTTTTTTTGTCCTTGCACTGTTACTATTTCTAACTCTAGATGAATGCTTATGCAGCTTTGGAATACCTAAAAACAAATTGACTCTCTTTTTCCAAGTTTTGTGTAATTCTGTGGCTATAGCGAAAAAATGGAAAGACTTGGACTTAGCTGGGGGAGTATCATCTTTGCAGATACAGTATACCTGCTAAGTTGGTTGATTCTTGCTACATCAAAACATTTCTGAAACTCTCCTTACTTTTTCAACCTCTTTTAGACAGGGAAAGGAAACAGCCTCTCTAACTATTTCCTCTGGGTTATGGACAGTGGCCAGGTTTGGTTAAAAAAAAAAAGAAAAAAGAAAAATCCCTCAGCAAGCATTTGTGAATCATTGGTAAATGATTTAAATAGCACAGGATTTTCTGACTCGGCTCAGTACTTCATTATTTATAAAAACGAGATGGTTGTGCTAAAAAGTAGAACAAAAACCACAGTTGCCTCTTCTGCCTTTGCTCTCAGACTGATTTCTGGGAAAAAATCCAAACTTTCTACCGTCTGTGGTTTCTTAGCAATATGTAAAAGAAAAGAGTTTGATTATTAATTGAGCTGAGTTAGCTATCCCCCAGAGATTTACACTGTGATAAGTCCCTACTTGACCAGTTGGCTTGCTTCTTTTATCTCTGATGAAGCAGGAGCCTGAATCGTTCAACCATTTCAAAACATCCACGTTTCTCCTCCAGCAATAATAGTAGCTATAAACTCAGAGTGTAGCATAGGATCTTACTATTACCGGATTAGAAAGTTATGAGCATTCTCCCCCACACACAACATACAGTCAGCTTAGAGTTGAACAGACAAGAAAATAAGAACATAAATTTTACTCAGACAGCTGCATTAATAATGTGTTATGTTCATCTGTTTTCCAGCCATTAAGAAAGAATAATGTGTAGATAAAAATAAAACGATCCATTCTCAGGAAGCATCTGACCTAAATTGACTCTCATCCCCACAGTCTTCAGTGAATGTAAAGATATTTTCAAATCCTTCTTTTGAATAGTCTATTTGAAATTTTGAGGTACCTTAAATAACTATTTCTTTATTTTTCAAATTATTCATAAGACTTTTACCTAATACATTTTCTATCAATGTAAAGGTTAGAATAAGAAAGATAAGCCTAGGCATGAAGGATAACTTCATTATTATTGAGGTTGTGAAAATAGAAGATATTACCAAAACCTTCTAAATATTTATGTATTATCTATCGTTTATACCATGTAATGTCTATTAATTTTATGTCTTAACATCTTAACCTGCAAATGTTTTTTATGTTTTCTGATGTGTTATATTCTCATAAGTAAATTTCTTTTTGAAGAAATTCTCTTCTTTTTTAAATACTGCAAAGCTACTCTCTCATCTTTTGGTGTCTTCCATTTGTTCAAAGACCTTCATGATCCTGTTTTGGCATCATCTACAGACTTGCCCTTCCCTTCTTACCCTGCTTCTGGGACTTCTTGCAAGCTTTGAATACAACTTGCTCCTTTTTGCTGCTGGGTTCTGTATTCTGTCTGAAATACTCTTTCTTTAGTTAAATATTAATTTGTCTAGTTAAATATTATAAATTCTATAAGTCTTCTCTTCAACATATTCTTCCTTGAGGCATGCATGACTCTCCAAAGTAAGGTCAATGCACTTACTATACATTCCCATAGAACCAACCACTCTCATTTGCTAGTTTTTAATGCTTATCTTGCTGGTAATGCCTTTTTTGTTGTTTGTCTTTCACCACTAGATGGTGAGTTTCACAGGGCAGAATTCATGTTTTTCTTATTTTCTGATACATTATTAGTGTCTAGCAAATATTCTACATAGTAGGTGATGAATAAAAATTTATTGAATATTTATTTTATGTTTGTTACTGACAGTAGGAAGCATTTTATCCTGGGAGAAAAATATTTATGGACAGTTCAAGAAATGAGAATAAGATAACTCTCCTACATTTGTAGTAAAATGTAGTGCAAGCATGCACACATTATTAATAGTTTGTAGATATACACATATAAACAAAGAGACTAACACATATCAATGTCTAGCTGTTAAGTTATATTTAGTCTTTGGACTATCCAGTAAATGTGGAAGTGGGTTGAACAAGTGTGGTTTTTGTTAGTAGAAAAGAGGCTAAAAATAATCTACGTTCAAATAATTATAATTAAACTACATGCAAGGTGTAGCTCAAATTCAAGTCATTTTAATATGAAATACAATTTGAATGCTTTATATATGTATACATTTCCATGTTTAGAGATGCCTCTGCTTTGCATTCTTAAAAATATTTCCATCATTTTTAATGACCTCTAAAATTTCAAGGTCCCGTCTCTTATCAAACATTTCATTCAGATATTACAGAATTCTCTGAATGTTTAAAAGCTTAATGAAGTAAATGGGCTTTTCATTTTCTTCCAAATATGGTCACTACCATTCAATATATCATTTGTTGCTTAAAAATGTATGTTTGTTGTACCGCCAAAGGAGAGCATGTGAAAGAAAGTAAGGGTTGGGTGCAAATAAAGGAAGGTAGGTGACTTTTATACATTTTTAGAATATTAAATCATGGCAGATACATTTACTTATTATTTAAAAAGGCATAACTATGGGTAATTTGATGTAACATTCTCAAAAATATGTTGGCAAATTATTTAAACAAGTCTAATTGCTCTAGTATATAAATTGCTCCCAGAGAGCAAATTAGATGCTTCTACAACTATGCTAAGTCTTTAAAATAAGACAGAATGCACCAGAGCAGTTATTCATCCATGTTCTTCTAATATTAAAAAATGACTTTTAAGGATTCCCTCAAAAATGTTTCAAAAGTAGAGCACAGTAACAACATGTTTGATTATCTGTAAGTTTTTCTTAGACACTCAGTAACAGGTGAAACTTCTTAAAAGATTTTTAAGTGATAACATACTAAAACTAATTGCTATTTACTTATTTCTCTGGACAAATTGTTCTTATTGCATAGCCATATTACATCAACTTATTTTATCCTTTTGTTGTTTCAATATTTAATATGAGTGATAGTGTTCATCGGTGCCCTAGCTCAGAGGTCTATTTCTCACCATTTGGAGAGCAAGCCTGCCATTTATTGAAACAATCCCATGCACAAGCTGTTTAACCAATCTCTGTTTTGGGGTCTTATGAGTGCTCAGATTCCTAAGCAAAATCTAAATTTAATCATTTAGTTTTACTACTTTAAGTAAAAAGTAAGCATGGGCTAAATTTGGGGGTTTATGTAGCACTGAAGAGTTTGTGAAAGAGTAAGGAATGGAACCCATTCTCTTAGATGTAGTCTATTTTACTTCCATTGCAGTATGCTGGATTTGGAATATGCATTCATTCTCTTTACAAATATTTCCTCCATATCTATAGTGTAAAGGCCCTTGGGAATACACTGGTAAACGGTCGGAAAATAGTGTGCACCCTCATAGATAATAAATCCTAGTCGGAAATTATGATGTTCGATGTATTTTACATTTTCTACCTTCTGTCTCTATATATTACGTAGTATTTATTTTATATTATTTGGTTACGTAAAAATGGTACATTCTTTGTGAATAATTCAATCTTTATAGAACAGTTTATGCTAGTATCACTTGCATAATTACTATGATGAACATCCTCCCAGATATCTTCTGTATCTGTGGGCACAGCTTTCCATAAATACAATTATACTATTTGTCAACATTTTCCTCTTCATGAAATTGCTTTTTAAAGACATTGCTTATGAATATTTACCCTGGATATTTTACATCAAAATCTCCCTGCACCATTGTTTCCTAATAATTCTATATCCTGGTCCCCCAAAATTTCATTAGAATTTGATGAATGGCAGGTTAAAATGGAAATATTAAAAACATAAATATGAAATATTTATATTTTATATGAACTTATAATATAAAATATTAAAAACACATAAAACTTATGGCGCCTTCTTTATGGAAGGGTGGAGATAAATCATATAGTGATCTCAGATAAGTGGACCAGGCAGGTAACAGCAAGGAAATTAATGAAGACAGCTGGATACAAATGTATTAGTGTGCTTGTCTGCCACAACAAAATAGTGGGTGGCTTAAACAAAAGACATTTTAAACAACAGGCATAGTTGGGTCACTTAAACAATAGGCATATTTGGGTAGCTTAAACAATAGACATTTATTTTCTCATAGTTCTAGAGGCTAGAAGCTCAAGATCAAAGTGTTGGCAGAGTTGGTTTCTGGTGAGGCCTCTCTTGGCTTGCAGACATCCAGCCACCTTCTTGCTAAGTCCCTACAAGGCCTTTCCTCTATGTTTTGCAGAGAAAGAGAGATGTCTGGTATCTCTCACTCTTCTTATAAGGACACCAGTGCAATAAGATTAGGACCCCACTCTCATGACTTCATTTTATCTTTACCTTCTTAAAGACTCCATCTATAAACATAATTATATTGGGGGTTAGGTATTCAACATATGAATTTGAAGACACAATTCAGTCCATAACAATAAGTAAGAACAGACCTGCAAGCATATCTCTTCCAACATCAGTGAAAGGGTTGTAGAAGGAATTGGGGAAACTGTTTTGAAGCCTTGCCCTAAGTAAGGGGCATAACCACTGTTAAGCTCCATTTGGCTGTTGACAAGCAGAAATGCCAACTTTTTCATTTTTATGTAAAATTACTGGCTTTTTACAAGTTTGGCAAATAATTCTAAATTGTTGCAAATAATTACGTAGGCCAAAGAAAGCTGTCTGTGGATCATACTTGGCCCTCAGGCTGTCAAATTATGATTGCTGGTGGTGTCAAAAGAGCATATTTTTAGCACCATATAGAGCTGGATTCAAATATTCGTCCAGCCACTTGTTCATCCTATAATGTAGCAAATGTTCACTCCCAAACCCCACCCCTTATACCTTAGATTCTCAATCTCCAAAATGAGAATAACAAAAAATCTAATGACCAATATAATATTTAAATTACATTAAATTATTAAAGTACTTGGGACATGGTGTTACATATCCCCAAACACTGAGGTGCCTTGAATTCACTGAAAGGAATTTTCTAATACACTGAACAATTTAGGGGTTAATAGGAAGAGAGTTGCTTCTCTTCCCTTTTCTGAAACATACAGCTATGTAAATATATGAAAAGAAGTCATCCTCTCTTACTGTCTGTTGTTATCTTGTGTAGTTTTACACCTCTGCCCTTGGAAGTTAAGCAGGAAATAGCATTTCTTTTCCCCAATTCTGCATTAGCTTTGCTGTCTTGTACTGAAAAGACATAACAAACCAGTAATGGCAGTTGCCAATTGTTTTTTGTCTCCAGGAAAGTAATTCCTTTCTCAAGTAGGCCAAGCAGAAAAGGATAATGTTGTAAAGGACTTTCCCTAGAAATCAAGCTGCTTCTAGTCTTCAGAGCTAAAGGAGGAGATTCAAGCTCTGCAGGAATCCAAGGACCTTGACATTTGCTTTCCCCATCATCTTTCAGGGACATTTGAGTTTTGGTGAAGACTATGAATTTATTCTGTAAATGAACAACTAAGAAGCTGCTCCTTGAGCATAGATCTTTAATTTGGTGAAAGTTCAATAACATTTGGATGAAAGCATCTATAATATTTTAATTCTTGTGAAATTTGACATGCATATACTTGTAATAATTCAATAAGCTCTACTACTCACACTTACTGTAAATTTGAATTTCTTTTCCAAAATTATTGGGTGCTAAGTAGTTAGCATAGTTGATGTCATGGTTCTAGTGACCTTCTGTTTACAGTAAAACTAAGCCAGTTAGTTGTGAGAAAATAATTCGGAAACAATGTTTCAAAAGCAGAAAAATTCTGTGCACATTTTTTTTATCAGTAATACATTTCGTTTGGTTAATGTAGTGTTAGTATAATTGTTGCTATTATATTCAAAGTAGAGATAATTTACATGAAAAAATGTGTTTATATTTTTGAAATATTGAAAAGTAAAAACTCATTAGATTAATGGAGAACTGCACACCCTTTTGAAATGGTAAATATTCTGATTTCAAAGTGTAGGTTTAGAGACAGCAGTATAGTATTGGAAAAATATTTAATATAATTCAAAATAGGCTTGAATATTTATAAAATAAAACACACCAGGTATATATTTAAAAAATAAATACATTTACTTACAGGTGGTATTATGCAGTTGATAATACGTTAAGTTGTGTTTCTACATTATAGATAAATAAAATGTTTCTTTAATAGGTAAATAGTTATTGATAACCTTACTTAACCTCTCCTCCTCAGGAAGTTAACTTATGAAATGGAAATATACATTTTAAATAATTATAGCATATATTTATAAGATTTTCTATGACCAGGGAAAGGGGGCAGAAGGCTTAATTTTGTGTTTATTTTCTTTAAAGCTTCTTAGAGCTCAATCATTAGCTTGTAGTAGACTCTATGGTGTGGCATTCAGCCATTATTCCAGAGGTAAGTCACCCATTCCTTTATCTTCCAGCAATGATAAAGGCTAAAGGCTCACAGCCAAGTCTCTCTTCAGGAGTTGTCCTCAGCAGGAGGAAGCTGTCTCACGCAAGATTATGCTTCCTTTAGAGTGGGGATGTCCAATCTTTTGGCTTTCTTGGGCCACATTGAAAGAATAATTGTCTTGGGCCACACATAAAATACACTGACACTAAGGATAGCTGATGAGCCAAAGAAAAATTGCAAAAAAAAAAATCTCATAATGTTTTAAGAAACTTTACAAATTTGTGTTGGGCTGCATTCAAAGCCATCCTGGGCCACATGCAGCCCGCAGGCTGTGGGTTGGACAGACAAGCTTGCTTTAGAGGATCAGTCTGTATCTAGTGATTGGTCCATTTTACTTTAATCAGGAGCATCTCTGAAAACCTCAGCTTCTGATCTTGCTGTGTAATGAGCTGAGACCTCTATGGCAATCAATCCATTTCAGTTCAAGTTCGTCCTCTACACAGTTCTACTTTTCTCACACTCTCACAAGTGTTATTTTAACGGCACTTTCCAACAAACTCTCTGAACACAAATCTTCATCTCAGACTTTCCAGACTTGCTAGAATTCCATCCTAGTACAACAACTTGGAGAATTTCAAAGGCATTATTATGTCGAGCTAAAAACACCAATCTCAAATGGTTATATATGGCAATATTCCATTTTTATAACATACTGAAAATTACAGTTACAGAGATGGAGAATGGTTGGGTGGTTGATGAGGGTTAGGGATGGTGGGGAAAAGGTGGTTAGTGTGGCAGTCCAGAAGTAACTCAAGGGAGATCTTTATGCTGAAAGGATAGTTTTGTATCTTGTTTCCAGTATTGATTAGTCTATACATATGAAAAATAATGACATAGAACTATTCACAAGTATTGTACTAATGTCACTTTCCTGATTTTGAAATTGTTACTATAATTATGTAAGGTGTTGTTATTGGAGGAAATTGAGTGAAACTTATATACTTAGAACCTCTCTAGACTATATTTTTATTTATATTTATTTAAGAATAAAAGTTTTAAAAACCTCCAAACAATTGAATGTAGTGAGTGGATTAAAAAGTAGGAGAGTAAGAGAACAACCACAGGACCAAGTCTAGAAAAAATGAAGTCTAAGGGAATAGTAAAACACATGAAGCTTGTTTTATTTATTGCTTGCTGTTTTTATAGGTTGAAGGACACCAGTAGTCATCTTTCTCTTTACTAAAGATATAACTAAGGAAATGGAGTTCAAATTACAATTAAGAAGGTTTAGACAAACAATTGGGAGACTTTCAGGGATAAAAGTTAATAATAGACTAAAAGTTTCAGTCAATATTAAAAGATTGTAATTTTTGTACCTAGTGATCTTATAAAATTAAAATTTCCAGGGGAGTTTGGAGACAGAAGACAGCATAATTGGGTAATAGATAATACTCTAATAGATCATGTATAATTATATTTTGTGGTCCTCTAAGATTATCCAATCCAAGGGCATGTTATTTTCTGAAATGTAGCTGGTAAATCAACTGATAATTTTTCTACTACTTTTTTCCTTTCTCTTTTTTTCTTTTTATACCCTATGGCTATACCTCCAGATTACCATTTTTTTTTCTTTTTCATTCATACCACAACATTTTTTAATTAAAAAAACCAAATACGGAATTTTTTATTGCAATGAATATTAAAATAATAACAATGGTGAAGAAAAAGATTTCATTCATTGGTCACTCAGTTAATGTGATTATCAATATGCTATTAGAAACTTGTGCTAATTCATTGTTTAAGAACTAGTAGTCTACCAGAGATGTGACAGCTGAGAATTATTTTTAATATTTGAGAAGTTCACAATGGTGACCCAATATCCAATAGGAAAAAAAATGGCAAAGAACATTAGCAACTCACAGCAGAGGAGCAACGAGTCAATTCTAAACATTCAAAAATGCAGACTTTCATTAGTAACAAAATAAATGCAAGCTAAAACATTGATGTGCTAACATTTCTGTCTTGTCATATTAGCAAAGAGTCAAAGACCTTTTATCTGTTTTAGCTGAGCCACTACCTCATAATTATGCAGAGTTCTGGAAAGGTCCACACATCCAGAGCTCTTCTGCGAGTACAGGATTGATGGTTCACCCATCTGCCCACTCTCCAATAACTTCTTGGGGAGATTCAGATTTAAGAATCATGATAAGTTAGTGTTTTTGTCTATTTTATATTGCTATAAAATAATACCTAAGGTTGGGTAATTTGTAAAGAAAAGGGGTTTATTTGGATCACAGTTTTCCAGGCATGGTACTGGTATTTGCTTGGCTTCTGGCGAAGGTTTTCGTCTGCATCAAAACATAGTGGAGAAAGTCAAAGGGAAGTGGGCATATGTAAAGAGGGGCCAAATCTGAGGGGTGTCCTGGCTTTATAACAGTCCACTTTGTGGGGAACCAACCCATTGCCCTGAGAACCAGTCTATTCTTGGAAGAGCAAGAACTCACTACTATGATAATAGCAACAAGCCATTAATGAAAAATCCATCCCCACGAGTCACACACTTCCCACTAGGATCCACTTCCCAACACCATCACACTAGGGTTTAAATTTCAACATAAGAAGTTTAATATTGGTGGGGACAAACAAGAAAAATCGAAATCATAGCAGTAAAGAAGGCTCTAATCAAGGTCAGTGCCGGGGAAAGGTAGAAGGGTAGAAAGAAAGAGAATAAAGAAATAAAGAGGGAGAAAAAAAGAAGAAGAAAGGAAGGAAGGAAGGGAAGAAAGGAAGGAAGGAAGGAACCAAGGAACCAAGGAACAAAGGAAAGGAAGAACATGGGAGCAGTGGGTTTGCCCCTATCCTTGTGACAGGAGGGAGGGAAAGAGAGAGAAAAGTATGTGGAGGCCTATGTGACAGCTGATTGTGAAAATGGTCCTGATTTAGCCTTCTGCTCCTGGCGTCTTTGTTTTTCTACCACTGCCATTGAAACATAACCTTGTCTTACAAGAAGAGTTTTATTTAAGCATGAAGGAAGGGTGGCTTATCTATTTCAGTTTATATTTCTTCCTCATCACTTGCCTTGTGAGTCTTTTGATCTCATCTTGAGAGTGTCACTTTTAAGGAAGCTGACAATGATGTAGAAATGACTAGAAGATAGAAATCAAAGAATTTTTACCCAAAGGCTCTTTAACAATTTCACAAGGACTTTCTTTTCTAAGCAAATGCTTGGAACTGGAATATCTTAGCTTAAAACATTGCTACAAAATAGATAAGATTTTAACTAAGCATCCACAGTAGCTACTGAAGCATGTGATTTATGCCACACACTGTGTTTTAAATGTTGCATATAGTGACCAGTTCTCTATTATACTTGTGCAGACTCAGCAATAAGCTGTTCATAAGATAGACTCAAACACAATTGAACACCTTTTCTTCCTGGACCCAAGTAACCACAAGAGAATCGGTAGACCAGCAGGGATAAGCCTTGAAGCCTTGACTGAAAAGAGCATTAGTGATATGGCGAATAATTTGCCATTTGTTCCCTAATCTATTTACAGAAAGAGACATCCCAGTTACATTTCCTACGCAGAGTTTTACAATGATCAGTGAATTATACCGGGCTTCAGTCTCGAATTAACCTAAGCTTTCAGTTTCAGTACTTTGCATTACTTTCTCTGATTAAGAAGGTCACACACAAAAAGGTGTCCACATTACCTGAAAGCAGGAGATTAAATACAAAAAATATGATTTTCTATTATATAGGCCATGCAAATGAAGTATTACAATTCAGTATATTGGAGGAAAAGCCAATTGAGTGGGTGGCCTATAATCAGTCTTTGAGCAGTAACTGTGAGAGACAAATTATTTCTGTGAGTGAAGAAACAGAAATCCTTTCACAAAAAATTATATAACTAATAAATGAATTCAGAAATGTTACAGGATATAAAATCAACAAACAAAAATAAGTTGCTTTGTTATATACAATGAACAATCTGAAAGGGAAATTAAGAAAGAATCTTATTTACAATAGCCTCAAAAACAATGAAATAATAAACTTAATAATAAACTTAATCAAGGAGGTGAAAGACTTGAACATTGAAAACTATAAAATATCTACCCTCCCCCACCCCTCCCCTTACCAAAAAAAGAAAGAAAGAAAGGAAACTATAAAATATTGCCGAATGAAATTAAAGACACAAATAAGTGACAAGGCATCCCACATTTATGGATTGGGAGGCAATATTATTTAAATGTCCATATTTCTCAAAGCAAATCCAGTGTAATCCCTATCAAAATTCCAGTAGCATTGCTTGCAGAAATAGAAAAATAGCACTATAATTAATATGGAATCTCAAAAGATACATAATATTCAAAACAATCTTGAAAAAGAAGAATAAACTTGAGGGCCATACACATATTCCAGATTTCAAAACACATTACAAAGCTATAATAAACAAGTATTGTATATACTGTCATAGCATACTGATATAGTAAGGTAGTGGCATAAAGATAGACATATAGACCACTGGAATATAACAGATTCCAGAAATAAACCATTGCATAAATGGTCAAATAATCTCCAATAAGAATGCCAAGATCACACAATGGAAAAGGACAACCTCTTAAACAAATATTTTTGAGAAAATTGGATATCCATATGCAAAAGAAAAAGATTGGATTCTCTTAAATAATTTTAAGAAAATTGGATATCCATATGCAGAAAAAAACGATTGGATTCTTACTTTACATCATACACAAAAATTACCACAAAATAGATTAAGATCATATTTAAGACCTAAAACTATAAAACATCTAGAATAAAATAGGGGAAAAGATTTATGACATTGAATTTGGCAATTATTTCTTTGATACTACATTCAAAGCACAGGCAATAAAAACAGACAAACAGGATTAAATCAAACTTAGAAAATATACTAATAGCAAAGGAGACAATCAACAGAGTGAAAACCTACAGAATGGGAGAGAATATTTGCAAATCATGTATCTGATAAGGGGTCACTATGCAGAATATATAAAGAACTCCTACAACTCAACAGCAAAGAAATATAATCATACAAAATATGCAAAGAACTCTTAAAACTCAATAATAAGAAAACAAATAATCCAATTTAAAAATGAGCCAGAGACCTCAACAGACCCCCCACAAAAAAGACATACAGATGACAGATGAGCATGTGATAAGTAGTTGCACATCACATGCTATCAGGGAAATGAAAATTAAAACAAGATACCACTACATATATATTAGATGACCAAAATCCAGAACACTGACCAAAGCAGGCAGGAGAATATGAAAAAGCAGACTTGCTGAGTCCTCTGGCCATCATCTTTCTCCTGTGCTGGATGCTTCCTTCCCTCAAACATCAGACTCCAAGTTGTTCATACGGGAATTTCTGTACCTTCTGCTCAACTTTTTGTGAACCTAAATATGCAATTGTGTGTATATACATTTAATATAATATTTATTCAGCTCTACAAAAGAAAATCCTGACACATAATACAACACGAATGAACCTTGAGGACATTATGCTAAATGAAATAAACCAGTCATAGGATGTTAAATACTGTATGCTTCTACTTTTATAAGATATTTAAAGTAACCCAAGTAATAGATAGAGAAAGTAGAAGGGTGGTTGCCAGAGGCCAGGGAGAGAGAAAAATGTAGGTTTATTGTTCAATGAATAGAGTTTCAATTTGATAAGATGAAAAAGTTCTAGATATTTGTTGCGTAAGATAGTGAATGTAGTTAATGCCACTGAACTGTACACTTATAAATGTCTAAGAGAGTTTTATGTTATTTTTCTTTAACCATAATTAAATGATAACTATCTGAGTAAGAGCAAGAGACAAGTGGACACAAATTTAATTAGCTGATATTTTGCTTTTTAAATTTCAAGGTTATGCTTGAATATTAGTTTTACTGAGAATGTTTCAAAGTTATTCTGGAAGAAAGAAAAGGAATTAAAGAAGAATGGAGAGAAGAATGGAGGGAAGGGAAATTTAAATAGGGCCTTCTTTTAAAGTATGTTCCAATTCAGTTCATGAGTCAAGAAAAATATTTGGATTAAAAATTTGGAAATTATTCACTTTGATGTATTATATTTTATAATAAGCAATTTATTGAAACAAAGAACAATAACCATAATTAATGAGATTTGAGAAGAAAAAAAAACACGGCAAAATATCTGGTACCAAGCATGTACATATAGACCTTGAAGAATAAGTATAAATTTAAGGCTTATGTTCAGATGTTCTTTCCCATTTTAAGTCCAGAAAGGAATTCTCATGGCTAGTTCAAAGCTATCTCTAGCAGAAGGTTTTAATCAACCAACTGTAAAAATAAATAGCCAGCATAAAAATAGTTACAATTGCTCTGAGTTGTGCTATTTACAGTACAGACCTTAAAATGTTCAGTTAATTAAAGTGATTGCACACCCATTTATGTAAAGTACTTTGTACACATTAAGTGCCTCTGAATTTTTCCTTGGCATCCACTAAGAAATGGCTACTATGTGGTAGGCATAGCTGGAAAGGGAGAATTGTAATGTGAGGGCAAATTCACTGGCAGCCTCACGCACTTTTCCAAAGGTGAACACCTTTCCTGCTTGGTCAAGAGATCAAAACAAAAATGTTGATCGAATAACATATTAAATTTATATTTATAGCTTATCTGTCTACTTTAAATATTGTTATGGTTTTGTAAGTAAAGAGCATGATGTAAATTTGGTTCAAACCTCTAGAAAAAGTTAGGTTGCCTTCACTGAATTTCAACATCAGAAGGTAGTGTAATAAATTACTCATGTAACACTCATCACACTAATTATTTATCATAATACTAATTATTTCACCTTAGGGTTTTACCATGTTTGCTAGTTGCAACAACTGTTCCTTGTGTTGCTTTTTTCAAGAAAATTGTCTATTCATCTAAAGTAACAAAGGTATTGAAAAACTGTTGCTAATAGTATCTTTAAAGTCTTTGCCATTTATCTACCTGTGTTCTCCTTTTCTCTGCCTTATTGGTTTATTTTCTCCGTTTTCTTTTATTGGTTTTGCTAAAAGTTCGTCTTTCAAGTTTTCCAAAATAATTAGTTTTGGTTGTAATTGTTAAAAATAATTTCTAAATTTTCTAATAAATTTTAAACCTTTTCATTTGTCTTCATTATTGTCTTTCTTATATTTTTCTTATTATATAATTATTAGTTGCATTTTGCTGCCTTGAAATTCATTTGTGGATGTCCTATCCCCAGTACTTCAAAATGTAACTATACTTGGAGACAGGGTCCTTAAAGAGGTCACAAAGATAAAGAGTAGAAGGGTGGTTACCAACCAAAGACTGGGAAGGTGGGAAGGGTAGTGGCAGGGGGAGTGAGCGGAAGTGGGGATGGTTCATGGGTACAAAAAAATAAAAAGAATGAACACCAACTAGTATTTGCTAGCACAGCAGAGTGACTATAGTAAAAAATAATTTAATTGTACATTTTAAAATAACTAAAAGAGTATAACTGGATTATTTATAACACAAAGTATAAATGCTCGAGGTGATGGATACCCCAATTACCCTGATGTGACTACTACTCATTGCATATCTGTATCAAGATATCTCATGTAACCCATAAATATATACACCTACTATGTGTCTATATAATTTAAAAATTAAAATAAAATAATGGAATTAACAAAAGTTAAATGAGCTCATTAGGTTGGACCCTAATCCAATAAGACTGTGTCCTTGTGAGAAGAGATTAGAACACAGACATACATGGAAGAAAGACCATGTGAAGAAACAGGGAGAAGACTGCTATTCACAATCCCAGGAAAGCGGCCTCAGAAGAAATCAACCCTGTGGACATCTTGATCTCACACGGCTAGCCTCCATAACTGTCAGAAAATAAATTTCTGTTGTTTAAGCTACCTATTTTGATACTTTGTTAAGAAAGCCCTAGCAAACAAATACATTAATGCTTAACTGGGGAGGGGGTGGGTGGGTGGTTGGTGGGGAAAACATTCTGAGCAATGTGTTGTCAGGTAATTTTGTCATTGTGTGTTTACTTAGACACACCTAGATAGTATAGCCTACTATAAACCTAGGCTATAATTGCTCTTAGGCTATAAGCCTGTATAGAATGTGACTGTACTTAATACTGTAGGAAATTGCAACACAACAGTAAGTATTTATGTATCTAAACATATCTAAACATAGAAAAGGAAATATATTACATTATAACATTACCACCACTATAAAATCTCTTGCCAAGAGAAATTTTTCAGCTCAATTATAATCTTAAGAGCTCACCATTCTATATGTGTTCCATCGTTGACAAAAATGTCATTGTGCAGTGTATGACTACGTATTTTAACTTGTTGATTAATGTTTATTGTACAACATCATGGGTTATAAGTAAATATATGATGAATTTTCATAAACAGAACACAATCATGTAACCAAATATGCTGACCAAGTAATTGATCAGTACCAGCATCCCAGACGCTTGTCTTGTGTCCTATTCTAGGCTTAATGCTCTCTCCTCACCAGTCCTGACCAAGGATAAAGTTCAACGTAATTTTAACAACATAACCTAGTTTTGTCTATTTTTGGCCTACTACCAATGAAAAAAATACATTATACCTTCTTTTGTGTGTTTTTCATTTGAGATTATGTTTGTTAGACTCATTTCATGTTGTTCCATGCAGTCATAGATTGCTCATTCTCATTTCTGTATAGTATACCATTGGGCAAATACATCATAAACTGTCTCTTCTATTGTTGTATTTAAGTTTTGTCTATTATGGATATATTTATACTATGTACTCTAGTAGATGTCTTTTGATAAACATATGCACATGTTTCTCTTGAGTATAACTTAGAGTTGAATATTTGTGCCACAATGTATACATATATTCAGTTTTAGTAGATTTTGCTAGACCATTTTTCAAATGGGTTCACCAATTTACATCCTACCAGCAGTGCATGACTTGGTCAATATTCTCACCAACTCAGTATTTTTCATCCTTTCATGACTCTTTTCTGGTGCATGTGTATAGTGGTCTTTTATGGAGCATTGTATTTGCATTTCCCTGATAATTAGTGAAATTGAGCACATTGTTGTGTGCTATTGGGCACTTGAATATTCTCTTTTTTGAAGTGCCTGTTGACGTCTTTTGCACACTTTTCAACTGAGTTTTCAGCCTTTTTCTTGGCCCATTTCTATTCTTTTTCTGGTCCTTAAAGGTCAGTTATGGTTGTTTGTTTATTTTTAGTCTATCATTATGCACTGTATTTCTCTTTCAAAATGTTATATATTATACATTTTGTCTGGTAGTTTTGCTATAACATGTTCCATCTGTATCTGGAAGTATTTTTTAAAATTTCTTTCTGCCTCAAAGATAAGCAATCATATCTCTGTACTTAGAAAATATAGGATCTAAATTCATAAGAATGGGATAATTATTTCCAAAAGTTTTATAATATGTATCTATTTATCTTAAGCCAATTTCATTTTATCAGGAATTTAAATGGAGAGTATGATGATAATATTTTTAGTATTTACCTGAAAAGATTAAATTATGAATATATTTTCTGTGTACTAAAAATGATTTTATAGATTTTTATACACTTTTTATGTTAAAAAACACACAGTAAAATAATCAATCATTACAAAATGGGTCACTATGTATTTGTCTATTATTCAAAACTAATATCTAATATACTGTCAACAAAAATCTGTGTTAATGTAAACTAAATAGCATTGGTTTATATATATGAGTTAACCCACTCATCCCATGGAATGAATGCTACTAAGGCAATGTGAATAAATAAGTTCACTCAGTCATCTAGAAAATGTAGGAGATAAGGAAAATAGAGTTGAATACCCATTTTATAAGATAATGAGTATATTTAGGAAATTTAGTAAATAGTAAAGCCAAAACATATTGTTAGATCTCCTGAGGAAGATATTTGGAAATGGATTTAGCCTATGCTTCGTAGATTGCCTATTCCAGTAATCCCTAACCTTCCTGTACATTTTAATAAATTATGTATTTTCAATAATGCATCCTTAAAAACAAAAATTGCCTTCATTATTCAATGTCGAAATTAAAAAGTAAAAACATAAATGATACTTGTTATCTGGTTTTCTTCTTAACAGTTCTTCAATCTGGGCCTTAGAATAAAAAATGATTATAGTCCACGACAAAATTCTCTTATAAAGACTGTTCCCCATATGCACACATTTCTCTTGAGTATAACTTAGAGTTGAATATTTGGGTTTATGGCTTGGTTGTATGGATCCCAGTCTTTCTCAGCATGGAAAAATGTTGAGTTATGCCATAATCCATAATCAAAATAGTAATCTCCTAATAAGATGTTATAGGGATCCTCAACTCTTTTTTTAGAAAGACAAATTAATATTTTAAAACAAATTTCTGGCTAGGTAATGCTGATTGCTAGAAAATTAACTTTGATAGTCAAGCCAAAACAAACTCACTATGTGAACTCTGAATATTAATATTCCTTATTTTCCAAATGAAATAAAAATATAGAATGTATGCCAGAGACTTAACCCAGAGACTTAACTCCAGGATACTTCAAACCTCTACTTTCATACAATTAATTTTGCTTCTATTTGCTAAATCACACTTGTTTTTTCCTTTCCTTACATTTTTCAATTAATGCTATATTTGGAGAATTGGCTCAATTTATTATTTCACTTTCTTTCCAGATCTTTCCCTCACTCACACTCTGTGATAAACCCTGCTCATAAGACATTCAGGGCTCTGCCAAATCTCCAAGACTATTATTCCAGTCTAGGCACAGCATGCCAGTCTTCATTTTTCCTATATGGGAAAATTTATCAGGAAATTAGAAAAACATGACATGGATGAGATTAGCCCCTGAGGTGGGAAGAAATTATTATGAGGCTAAAAAGTGTGAAAAATTTATATAATTAAGAAGATTAGACTATACATTTTGGGAAACCAGGACTTAGAAATACTTGTTTTTGATCAGTGAGTTGAAAGGTCTCAACTGTGTTGTAGCTTAGCAGAGAGAGGATTTATTAAGAGAAGGGAGATAGCCTGTGGAATCTTTAATGAAAAAGAGGAGGACTTAAAATTAGAAATTCAACAAACTTTGAGGAAAGAGATCTTAGCTCTCAGGGGCATATGTATATTAATAGTTAGAGATTTGTATAATACTTTAAGCAGAAAAGGTTATAAATCTTTTACATAGTTGGTGAACAATTCTGATTCTTTAACCTATAGTCTGTCTCCTTTTAGCTGCTCCTAGACAAGAAAGGCAGGTTAGTGCTTGCTGGTAGGAGAAAGTTTCTAAAATGTCAGGGACAAGTGTGGGGGTGGTGGGTGGGTGGTGGGGATTAATTTCAGGCAAACTGCTGTGTGTGGCACCATCAGGACTTCTGAAGGACACTGCATGACTACCTCAGAGAAGCATCATGATCATAGAGCCAGGCTGAGAGAGATGATTTCAGGACAGAGGAAAGCAAAAGACAAAGTATGAAGTAGAGAGTGGGAGACAGAAGCACAGCTTAATTTTCATAGCTAGGAGAATGTGGCTTCAGAGTTTGTTATTTGTTTACTTTCGGTTGGTATCTTCTGTCTGCTGTAGAGGTCAGAAAGGAACCTACCAAGGAAACCTGTGACTTCTAACTGAGCATTCCAGGCACATGGCTCAGGAAGGCAATGTCCTGAGAAGAAGGAAAGAGAACTCAAAGTACTAGAAAATGTATTCAGCAATAAATTTACATTTTTATTTATACACTGTTCTTTGGTAGTTTTGATTGCCCTGATTCAACACCTGAGAACTTAGTAGAAATGGATATAATTATAAAATTGAAATGCTGGACTATAAAAGCTGAGGGTAAGGTTATAGAACATGACAATTATTTTAATCACAGACCATTCTACAAGTCTTCACTTGGGTGAGTAGGGGAGTAGGGGGAGTCTTTTATTTTCCTTTTAGAATACATTTTAGGCCATTGCTCTTTAACTGCACAGGCATATGAATTGAGAAATTGTAAGAGACAGCAATTATTTGCAGCAGAAGTGCTTTAATCTAACCACATCCTATATCTAGAAAAGAAAATTAATGTAGATATTGGTATTCAAATTGTGTGTAAAGGTGTTTATGTGCATGCAAATACTTAATTTAATGTTACGTTGTGGGTTAATAATAGCCAGTTTCCTTAGTATGGATGTTTTCAACATTTTTTTCCAATGTGAATTAATATAATCACGTTGTAACTATTTACGAACAGCTGCCTCATTACAAAAGTGCTGACATACCATTTACTGTATTGCTGTTGATTAGTGGGTGGAAACCAGCTCACTACATTCCAGAGTATAGAAGGTTTATGCTTCTTAGAAGTATTTTTATACCCCATGGAAACTTGATTTTTTTTAATGAGGGGTAAAACTACTAACATATCATCTTTATCAGACTTTGTAATTTTTCTTCTCAAGCCTTCAAATTTTAAAAGAATACACTTTCAATTTGTTAATAAGAATGAATTTCACATTGAAAAACTGCTGTTAATTTCAACCCCATTTATGGAAATGCATTAATCAGTTTCTATATCCTATATATAAACCAATTCTTATGCATGATTCTGTTCCCGGCACTCTGTTATGGGCTGAAGACATAATGATGAAATATATAGTATTTTCCCTCAATACTTGTAGCAAACACACTTGTAAACAGATTGTTAAAAATAAGTATTAGGATATCCAATGATTGATATATACAAGATGTAGAATTAGTAATGAGAAGAGGGTAATCATTATATTGTGTATTTAGAGAGAAATGAAAGACTTTCTAGAAGAGGTGCCATGTGAACAAAGTTTCAAAGAATGAATAAACGTATGCCAAATAGGGAAGGAAAAACATTTCCACCAGTACATACTGTCCCTGTGTTCCATTCTTACAGCGGCTCTACAGGCATGGATAACTCAAAAATAATTCAATATTGTTGGATTAAGAATCTAGAAGGAAAAAACTGTGGGAGGTGAGACTGAAGTTGTAAGAACTTACCAGCTTATAAAGGGTGTTTTCTGCCTTGCTGAGGAAGTTCGACTTCATCCTATAATGAATGGGAAACCACTAATTGGTGTGAAGCAGAGTAATGATGTCTTTATATTTATGTTGTGGCAAAATCACTTTAATGGCAAATCTAGGGGTGAGTGAGGGAGAGAAAGCTTGGAATCAGGAAGCAATACTCCATGCATATGAAGACAAGGATATATATTTAGACAGAAGCAGTGGGGAAGAAGATAATTTAAAATTGAAAGTTATTTCAGAGCAAAATTATGCAGTAGGCATGAATAAAACTGCCAAGGTCAAATGTACAGTGTATTGTGAAAGAAAAAAGTGCTACAAACAATTTCACAAAAGATCCACATGTAGGCTGTGGAAAAAAAGAAATAACCAGCATAAGAGATTGAAACAAGAGTGAAGCAGGAAGAGAACCTTGAGAAGTATAAGGTGATTGTATTGGTCCATTCTTGAACAGCTATAAAGAACTACCTGAGACTGGATAATTCATAAGAAAAGAGGTTTAATCAGCTCACAATTCTGTGGGTTGTACAGGAAGCATGGCTGGTAAGGTCTTAGGAAACTTACAATCATGGTGGAAGGCAAAAGAGGAGCAAGCATGTCTACGTGGCGGGAGCAGGAGGAAGAGAGAGGAGTGGGAAGTGATACACACTTTTAAGCAAGCAAGTCTCAGGAGAACTCTATCACAAGACAGCACCAGGGGGATGGTGCTAAACCATTAGAAACTGCCCTCATTATCCAATCACCTCCTACCAGGCCCCTTCTCTAACAATGGGGATTACAATTTGACATGAGATTTGGGTGGGGACACAGAGCCAAACCATATCATTCTACTCCTGGCCCCTCCGAAATCTCTTGTCTTTCTCACATTGCAAAATACAATCATCCCTTCTAAATAGTTCTTGAAAGTCTTAACTCATTTCAGCGTTAACTCAAAAGTCCACAGTCAAAAGTCTCACCTGAGACAAGGCAAGTCTTACCTGAGACAAGGCAAGTCTTTTCCACATTTTAGCCTGTAAAATATAAAGCAAGTTAGTTACTTCCAGATACAATGCGGGGACAGGCATTGGGTAAATGCTCCCATTTCAAAGGAAGAACTTGGCCAAAACAAAGGAGCTACAGGCCCCATGCATATCCAAAATCCAGCAGAGCAGTTATTAAATCTTAAAGCTCCACAATAATCTCACTTGACTCCATGTCTTACATCCAGGCCACACTCATGCAAAGGATGAGCTCCCATGGACTTGGGCAGCTCCAACCTTGTGGCTCTGCAGGGTACAGCTCTCATGGCTGCTTTCACAGACTGGCATTGAATGCCTGTGGCTCTTCCAGTGCACAGTGCAAGCTGCTGGTGGATCTACCTTTCTGGGGTCTGGACGGTGGCCTTCTTCTCACAGCTGCACGAGGCCATTCCCCAGGGGCACTCTGTGTGAGGGTTCCAACCCCACATTTCCCCTCCATGCTGCCCTAGTAGAGCTTCTCCATGAGGGCTCTGACCCTGCAGCAGACTTCTGCCTGGAAATCCCAGGTGTTTCCATGCATCCTCTGAAATCTAGGTGCAGTCTCCCAAGCTTCAACTGTTGCCCTCTGTGCATCCACAGACTTAACAATATGTGGAAGCTGCCAAGCCTTGGCTTGGGGTTTGCTCCCTCTGAAGCAACAGCTTAAGCTGTGCGTTGGCCCATTTTAGCTGTGGCTAGAGCTGAAGTGGCCACAATGCAGGCATCAAGTCCCGAGGCTGCACAGAGCAGCAGGGCCCTGGGCATTGCTCATAACATCATCCTTCCCTCCTAGGCCACCAGGTCTGTAATGAGAAGGGCTGCTGTAAAGGTTTCTGAAATGTCTTGGAGGCATTTTTCCCATTGTCTTGGCTATTAACATTGGGCTCCTTTTTACTTATGCAAATTTCTGCAGCCAGGTTGAATTGTTCCACAGAAAATAGGTTTTTCTTTTGTACCACATGGTCAGGCTGCAAAGTTTCCAAACATTTATGCTCTGCTTCCCTTCTAAATGTAAGATTCAGTTTCAGATAATCTCTTTGTGCATGCATATGAGTGTCTGTTGTTAGAAGCTCCCAGACAACATCTCGAATATTTTGGTGCTTAGCATTCAATTTGAAATTCAAAAAATTTGTGGAAATTTATTCCACGAGATATACTAAATCATCTCCCTCAAGTCCAAAAGTTCCACAGATCCCTAGAGAAGGGGCACAATGCTGCCAGTCTCTTTGTTAAAGCATAGCAAGAGTGACCTTACTCCAGTTTCCAAGAAGTTACTCGTCTTCATCTCAGACCACCTCAGCCTGGAGTTGATTGTTTATATCAGTATCAGCATTTTGGTCACAACTGTTTAACAAATATCTAGAAAGTTTTAAACTTTCCCTCATCGGCCTGTCTTCTTCTGAGCCCTCCAAACTGCCCCACCCTCTGCCTGTTACCCAATTCCAAGGTTGCTTCCACATTTTCACGTATCTTTATAGCAATGCCCCGCTTCTCTGGCACCAATTTTTTGTATTAATTTGTTCTTGCACTGCTATAAAGAACTACCTGAGACTGGGTAATTTATAAGAAAAGAGTTTTAATTAGCTTATGGTTCTGTGGGCTGTACAGGAATCATGGCTGGGGAGGTCTTATGAAATTTACAATCATGGTGGAAGGCAAAGGGGAAGCAAGCTTGTCTACATGGCAGGAGAGAGAGGAGTGGGCGGTGCCACACACTTTTAAACAAGCAGGCATCAGGGGAACTCTATCATAAGACAGCACCAGGGGGATGTTGTCAAACCATTTTTGTTTGTTTGTTTTTGTATTTTAAGAAGGATTTAATGAAAAGACAACCAGCAGAGTTATGGGCAGGTTTTTTTTTTAATTATATTTTAAGTTATGGGATACATGTGCAGAAAGTGCAGGTTTGTTACACAGGTATACATGAGCCATGGTGGTTTGCTGCACCCATCAACCTGTCATCTGCATTAAACCATGATCCAATCACCTCCCTCTAGACCCCTCCTCCAACACTGGAGTTTCCAATTCAACATGAGTATGGAAAAATTCAGTTCTATTCTGCTGAGAGGGTTGACAAAGGGGCTTAATTTTCCTTAATGTATTAAAATTTTTCTCACTATAGGATTCCTTAACTTCATTTGTTGCTCCTTTGTCAATGTCCTTATACCATGGAAGTCCTGGTGAATTATCACATACTCCTAATGTGCTGAGAAATACCACTTTCAGGACACTGAGATATAAAACCACTTAAAAGTAAGTACTCATTTTTTCAAATAAGCCAGGAGCTTTTTAAACCAATGATAATAGAACTGGTATTCTTAAGAGTAGTCCCTTATAGCATTGACATGTTTTATTTACCGACAATTTTAGAAGAAGTGCTTCATAAATGTTGGAGACTGCTGTTATCTCAAATGTATATCAAACATGGTTGGAAGGCATTTTTTTACATAAGCGTATATAGTCTCTGTCATTTTTTTTTAAGGATATAAACTGAATGTACATCATTTTGGCACTCATACTTTAAGGTGGCCCTGTAAACCCTGCCTCATGGTGTTGAGGCTTTTGTGGGATCTGTTACTTGATTCTGACCAACGAAACATCAAATGAAAGGGATAGGTAGATAGGTTTGTTGTGATTACAAGTACTTGAATAAATAAGAGTGTAGAGCTGATCTTGGTGCAATCTTCTTCTCAATTCCAGGCGTTGAAGAAGGAAGGATTCATGAATTCTATAACTGTAAGAGAATGAGTTCTGCCAAAAATCTAAGGGAGCTTGAAAGCATATCTTTCCTTAGTTCAGCCTCTGCATGAGAACCCAGCTTTGCCTGACACCTTGATTGCAGCCTTGATAAGACCGTAAGAAAGACCGTAAGAAAACCCAAGCAGATGTGCCTATAGACTCCTCACCCACAACTGCGATATCACAGATGTGTCCAGACTTCTTACCCACAACTGCGATATCACAGATGTGTCGAGACTCCCTACCCACAACTGCAATATCACAGATATGTCGAGACTCCCTACCCACAACTGCAGTATCACTGATGTGTCGAGACTCCCTACCCACACCTGCGATATCACAGATGTGTCGAGACTCCCTACCCACAACTGCGATATCACAGATGTGTCGAGACTCCCTACCCACAACTGCGATATCACAGATGTGTCGAGACTCCCTACCCACAACTGTGATATCACAGATGTGTCCAGTCTCCTTACCCACAACTGCGATATCACAGATGTGTCGAGACTCCTCACCCACAACTGTGATATCACAAATGTGTCTTGGTCTTGCTTTAAGCGACTAAATTTGCGGTATTTTTTTCCATAGCAATAGAAAATCACTATAGTACTATTCACTCATGTGGACAGTGAAGTTGTTTTACTTTGTTTAAAATTAAGAAATAACAGTAAAATCCACATATCTTAAGTATTAATCTCAATGGATTTTTATATATACATTCCCTTGATAAAGAAACAAATAATTTTGTTAAACAGTTTTTAATATTGCTATTGTTTTCTTCCTAAAATTTTCATAATAATTTAACATTAAAGTCCTATGCAACTAGAGTGTTCTTTGTGGGAAAGTTTTGAATTATGTGTTCATTTTAATAAACAAATATAGGACTATTTAATTTTCTACCTCTTGTTTTGTCCATTACAGTACATTGTGTTTTTCAACCATTTTTAAATATAGATTTAAAAATGTATTGGTATAAAGTAATTCATAATATTCTGTCATTAAAAGAATGTCTTGTGATCTGTAGTTATCTCCCTTGTTCTTTTTAGGCATTTATAATTTGTGTTTCCTCCATTTTATTTCTTGCTCTGTATTGCTAAATATTTATTGATTCTAATAGTCTTTATGAAAAACATATTTTTGGCTTTGTGGAATTTTTCTATTATATATGTTTTAAATTTCATTAATTTATTGCCCTATATTATTTCTTTCTTGATGGTATTTTCTATAGCTTTTAGCAATGGAAGCTTAGAAAATTGACCTTCAAATTTTATCTAGCATATGTGCTTAAAGTTAAATTTCCTTCTAATTACTCTGTGGTGTCTATGTTAGGGTGAGTCTTCAGATTTGCTCCTTGAATGTAGCCTTAATTTCTTACTTTTGGGCATGGTTTTGGGGGGTATCGCCTAACCCTGAAATGCTTATCTATGTCTAACCTCTCTGACTACCAATGAAATCAAATGTTTATTCAGAACTGACAAGGCCTCTGAAATCTCTACTCAGTATGTGTCTAAGTAGTTATCCTCTCCTAGTCCTTCTGGAGGACCCACAGACCTGCAGCTTAAGCATTGAACTAAGAGAAATCTTACACAATTTCTTCTTAGCAGCTTCTCCTTAGCATTAGTACCCTGGTCCCAAACCCTAGCAGCTTTGGCAGCCCTAAACTTTGATCTGTGTTTCTTTCACCCAGTATGATTTCCAAACTCTGTGTGGCCTCTGTTTCCTCACACTGTATTTTCAGTATAATTTACTGTGATATCCACTTTTAGTATGAGAATTATATCAGCTACCCCTTTAAGTCAAGTATCACATGCTTGTTTTGGTTGCTGTCCAATGCCCAAAGAGAGTTGTTTTATATTTGTTGTCAGATTTTTATAGTTATTTATGGTAAGAGAGCAGTATGATTCAAGTTACTTTGCCATAACTGTAAATGGAAGTCTTCATATCGTTTTGAATTCGAATAAGGTATACTTGTATTGATTCTTCATTTTTTTTAAGATCCAATTTTTACTGCATAGCAAGCTACCCCACATTTAGTGGATTAAAACGATAATATGTTGTTATTTTTCATGTTTCTATGAGTTAAGTGGACTCAGGTGGATGGTTCTTGCCAGGAATCTCAGGCAGTTGCAGTAACATGTTGGTTTGGACTGCTAGGATCTGAAGGCTCAAATGCATAGGACATCAAAGATGGCTCATTTGCATGGCTGGCAGGTCATGTTAGCTGTTAGCTGGGAGTCCAGCTGGGGCCGTAGACCTAAATGCCATCTCCATGTGGCTTGATATTTTCACCACATGACATCTAGATTTGGAAAGGAAGCATTGCTACTGTGAACAATTTAAGAGGTACAGGCAGAAGCTACATGGCTTTTTTTAAAATGTTTTTGCCTTGGAAGTCCAGAATATCACTTATGCCATATTCTATTCATGAAGCAGGTCAAAAAGGCCAGCAGAGAATGAAGGGGAGGTGAATTCAGCCTATGACATAATGGGAGGACAGTCAAAGATCATGTAGCCATCTTTGGTTCTCTTCCCTCTGGCCATTTATTATTTACATAATTCTCACATGCAAAAGACACTCTTCCCTTTCAAGACCCTGGAAATATTTATCCCTTTAAAATGTTACACTGAGAAATGAGGTCCAGGATCTTGTTATTTAAATAAGGTATAGATAGATATAAGGGAGGTTCCTTAGGTACAGTTGCTTGAGCAAGTGAAGCTGAAGACTTACGACCTAAAAATAAATGTTCTCTAAAATTCAACATACATGGCAAAAAGAGATAGAATACTCACAGCACTTACTCCTAACCATAAAGGGAGGAAAAGAAGGGAAAGTATGGAACTGTCCCTGGTCCAGAGCAATTTTAAATCCAGATAGGCATATCAGCTCCTTGATTAAATCGTAGTTCTACTGTCTGAAAATTATTTCTTGTGATTTAATTTTTTTCCTTTTAAGTTGACAGGTAATAATTATATGTATTTAAGGGATACAGAGAGATATTTTCATAGATGTATACAATGTGTAATGATCAAATCAGAGAAAAAATAGCATATTCATCACCTCAAACATGTATCATTTTTTTGTGTTGTGAACACTCAAAATCCTCTCTTCTAGCTTTTTCAAAATACACAATCACCTATGGTTAACCACTGTAGGGTGCTGTAGAACCAGAACTCATCCCTCCTATCTAGCTGTAATTTCATGCCCGTTAACCAACCTGTTCCCATACTCCCCTTCTCCCACCTTTTCCAGCCTCTAGTAACCACAGTTCTACTCTCTACTTCCAACAGCTTAAACTTTTTCTTAGCTCTTATATATGAATAAGAACATGTGATATTTATCTTTATGTGCTTGACGTATTTTGCTTAACATAACGTTCTCCACGCTCATCCATGTTGCTGCAAATTACAGGATGTCATTCTTTTTGATGACTGAGTAGTATTTTCTTTATTCATTTGCTGATGGATATTTAGGTGGATACCATATTTTAGGTATTGTGAATAGTGCTGCAATAAACATGGGAAAGGAGTACCCTATCGACATGTTAATGCCATATCCTTTGAATTAATACCCAGTAGTGGGATTGCTGGATCATATGGTAGTTCTATGTGTAGTTTTTGGGAAACCACCATACTGTTTACCAAAATGGCTATACTAGTTTACATTCCCAACAACAGTATACGAGTTCCCTTTTCTCTGTACCTTGGCCAGCATTTGAAATTTTTTGTCTTTTTCATAATAGCCATTCTAGATGGAGTGACATGATATGTCATTATGGTTTTGATTTGCATCTCCCTGATGATTATTGATGTTGAGCATTTTTTCATATATTGTAGGCCATTTGTATGCCTTCTTTTGAGAAATATCTGTTCAGGACCTTTGCCCACTTTTTAATTGAATAATTTGTGGGTTATTCATCTTTTTCTATTAAAAAGGGAAGGTCAAGGCTTGCAACTGAGAAACTTCTTAGCCTATTGTCTGACTACCGAAGGTCGCAGCCTTCAGGCATTTTAAAATTTTGTACCACTTTGTCTCTTTAAATCTGCACTGTTATTATTTCATTAAAACGATTGTGAGCTTCAGTGTATCAACTATATTTGACAAAAGCCATACCCACATTTCCTTGTTAAACAGTGTGCTAAGAAACAGTGTCACTCAGAATTCTGAAAATATTTTGTTTGAGGAAAGTTTATATGGGGCATACATTTGAGATTCTTAGAAACCCTTTTTTTTCTGACTAAGCAGGTTTCACATCATTGACATTCTTTGAAAACTATTAATTATGCTGTTAAATCTTAATAAGGGCATACAAAGGATCTTATAATTACACCATTGTGATGTATACCCTGGAGCTCTAATTTCCTGGTATCACCTGACCCTATATTTGCTCTGAGGCCATTTTTTTTTCCTTTAGGTCTTTTGCAGGAAAAGAGTGTGGAGAAGAAGCTGTTTTATTTTTAAACCTAGCAATTTCTGTCTCGTTTCCATTTCCTCCAAATGGTGCCCAAAACTAAGTAATTATCTCTTTAGTATTTTTCTGCCTTTTCGCAAGCCAATTGGCACTTTTAATATCTGCCTGGAGATCTCTATAACCAGATCATGGAGATCATTATGTACTCATTCTGTGTTCCTTATTATATAAATCAACAGTTTTACTAACTCTTCTGTCATTATATAACTTGGGTGACTTTTTTTCTAGTCACAGATAATCTTTTCCTTACTAGCAATTTCCTCAAGCAATAATCTTCAAGTCCTTACTAGCAATTTCCTCAAGGCCCTTCTAGCTTCTGCCCCTCATGTGGTCTCAAAGCCAATATCATATATTTTAAATTTTTGTCATGATAACATCACATTTCCAGGTCACCCATTTTGACCTGGTTACCTATACCCATGTAACAAAACACATCAAAGTCTCATGATTCTGTGGGTTGATTAGGCTCTGTGGAGTAATTTTTATTTGGAATTTCTCATACAGTTGAAGTCAGTTGTTGGCTGCACCTGGAGTTACTAAAAGGCTTGGCTGACCTAAATGAGTGTTCAAGATGACTTGTTGCATGACTGTTGGTTAAGGCTGGCTGTTGTCTTGGAGTTCAGCGAGGGCTGTCTAACAAAGTGCCTGTACTTGGTTTATTCTCATGGGTTGAGTTTCTTACAGCATAGTTTCTAGTCTCTGGTAGGAATCATTCCCAAAGATTCAGGTAGAAGTTGCAAGGATTTTTATGACATAGCCTCGGAAATGTCTTCTGACATATTCTATTAGCAAAGCAATTCACAAAAGACAGTCTATGTCCAAAGAGAGAGAAATTAAACTCCTCTCTCCTTGACATGTATGTCAAAGAATCTGTGGCCATCTTTACTGTGCTAATTCAGTGAAAGACCAGACTTTCAGAAGTTCATGTGACTGTTTTAAAAACTCTTTTATACAAATTCTTATTTATATCTAAAATTCATATGTAATTTATACCAAAATCATGTTTGTGTCACCAAGTAGTCAGTTCGCAATAAGCTTTAAAGAACAATTCTAACCAGGAATGGAGAATGACAAATAATATATTTAGAATATTTCCCTTATACACAATAAGTAAATAAGTAAAATACTTCAAGTCAGGATTGAAATCACTGTTGAGTCAAATTATTTGATAAAATTATCCAGGACTTATTAAAATAACTCTTCCTCTTACTGTTGCCTAACTTAGCAATTTTCATTTTAATTTCAAATACTAAATACACATCACCTTCCTTGTTTCCATGTTCAGAAGGCTGTTCACACTCTATGAATCCTATATTAATAACACATCATTTAATGTTCCAGGTATAAAACTGAATTTATTGCAAAAAAGGAGATTAAAAATGCCTTAAACTTTAGACTATATACCAATTCAATGCTTTTAATTGAATTAATGAAAAAAGTTTGTTAAAATGCAGAAAAAAAATACATAAGCATGTTGCTAACCCACATAACAGAAAAAAATTGGTGGAACCCATAATGGAGTGAACCATATATATCAGGTCATTCTTCTGCTGCTATAAAGAACTGCCCGAGACTAGACAATTTATAAAGAAAAGAATTTAATTGACTCATGGTCAAGGGCTGTACAAGAAGAATGGCTGCGGAGGCCTCAGGAAACTTACAATCATGGTGTAAGAAAAAGGGAAGCAGGCACATCTTACGTGGCCAGAGAAGGGGAAAGAGAGTGAAGGGGCAGGGAGGTGCTACACATTTTCAAACAACCAGGTCTCATGAGAAATCGCTCACTATCATGAGAAAAGCAAGGGAAAAATCTGACCCCACCTCCCACCAGGCCCCTCCTCCAACATTGAGGATTATAATTTTACATGAGATTTGAGTGGGGACACAGAGCCAAACTGTATCTTCTGCCCCAGCCCCTCCCAAATATTGTGTCATTCTCACATTGCAAAAACAAATCATCCCTTCTCAATAGTCTCCCAAGCTTTGCTACTTAGAAATTTCTTCCACCATATACCCTAAATAATCACTCTCAAGTTCAAAAAGTTCCACAGATCCCTAAAGCAGGGGCACAATGTTGCCAGTCTCTTTGCTAAAGCATAGCAAGAGTGAACTTTCCTCCAGCTCCCAATAAGTTCCTTATCTCCATCAGAGACCTCCTCAGCCTAGACTTTATTGTCCATATCACTATCAGCATTTTGGTCACAACAATTTAGAAAGTCTCCAGGAAGTTCCAAACTTTCCCACATCTTCCTGTCTTCTTCTGAGCCATCCAAACTGTTCCCACCTCTGCTCATTACCCAGTTCCAAGGTCTCTTCCACATTTTCAGATATCTTTATAGCAATGCCCCACTCCTGGTACCAATTTTCTGTGTTAGTCCACTCTGGCATTGCTATAAAGAACTACCTGAAACTGAGTAATTTGTAAAGAAAAGAGGTTTAATTGACTCATACTTCCACAGGCTGTACAAAAAGTGTAGCTGGGGAGGCTTCAGGAAACTTATAATTATGGCAAAGAGCAAAGGGGAAGTAGGTGCGTCTTACATTGCCAGAGAAGGAGGAAGAGAGTGAAGGGAGACATGCCACACATATTTAAATAATCATATCACACGAGAACTCTGTCACTATCACAAGAACAGTAAGGGGGACATATGCCCCCATTATTCAGTCACCTCTCACCAAGCCCCTCCTCCAACATTAGGGATTAAAATTCAATATGAGATTTGGGCGGGGACACAAATGCAAATCATATCAGTATGGGAGGTGAGTATATAAGCTAGGTATTGGCCCTGAGTTAAGAATGAAAAAAAGAACAGGAAACTTGCCTGTTTTTATATTGGTATTGGGCAAAGGGGGCAGGGTGAACAAAATATTTGAAAAGATAATCACTTAGAATTTTACAATATTTTTGATAAACAATAACCTTGATGTTCTAGAAGCCTAGTGAAACCTAAATAGAATACATAAATTTAATCTTCACCTAGACATATCATAGTTGAAATGTAAACTGTCAAATAAAAAGAGAAACATTTTAAAAGCAGCCAGAAAAGAAATACAGATTAAAGAATACTAATTGATAATCAATTTATGTATAACAACAATTAATATCAGGAAACAGGCCAGGCGCAGTGGCTCATGCCTGTAATCCTAGCACCCTGGGAGGCAGAGGCAGGCAGATCACGAGATTAGGAGATCAAGACCATCCTGGCCAACATGGTGAAACCCTGTCTCTACCAAAATACAAAAAATTAGCCAGGCGTGGTGGTATGTGCTTATAGTCCCAGCTACTCGGGAGGCTGAGGCAGGGGAATCACTTGAACCCAGGAGGTGGAGACCGCAGCGAGCCAAGATCGCGCCACTGCACTCCAGCCTGGTGACAGAGCAAGACTCCATAAAAAATAAATAAATAAAATAAATAAATAAATAAATAAACAGGAGAAAATGGAATAATTTCTTTAACGTGTTGAGATAATGTGACTGTCAACTTAGAGATTAATACTTGAAACAAAAATTTTCCAATTGTGAAGGAAAAATAAAAATATCTTCAGAAAAACAAAAAGCTGGGGTTTACTATCCACAGACAAAGACTAAAAGAAACTGTATAAAGAACCAGCCTGGCCAATATGGTGAAATCCCATCTTTACTAAAAATACAAAAATTATCTGGGTGTGGGTGGCATGCGCCTGTACTCCCAGCTACCCAGGAGGCTGAGGCAGAAGAATAGCTTGAACCCAGAAGGCGGGGCTGCAGTAAGCCAAGATTGTGCCACTGCACTCCAGCCTGGGCAACAGAGTGAGACTCCATCTCAAAATAAATAAATAAATAAAAAGAAAGAAGCTGTAAAAAGAATACATTGAACAAAGAAAATTAGGAGGGGATGGCCAAGATGGCTGACCAGAAGCAGCTAGTGTGTGTGGCTCTCACGGAGAGGAACAAAAGTGACAAGTAAATACAGCACCTTCACTTGAAACATCCAGATATTCGCACTTATCAAGGGACTTATCAAGGAAGCTTATCAAGGAAACAACTTGATTCACAGAGAATGAAGAAAAGCAAAACGGGATGATGGCCCGCCCAGGAGTGACATGGAGCCAGGGAAATCTCACAGGGCCCACCTAGGAAAATGGTGAGTGAATGTGCTACCCCGAGAAACCAAGCTTCTCCCAGGGATCTTTGTAACCTTTGAGTCAGGAGATCTCCTTGTGAACCCATTCCACCAAGGCCTTCAGTCTGACACAGGGATATATGGAGTCTCAGCAGAGCAGCTGCTCAGACATGCAGGGAGACCCGCGAACTTTAGGTCCTCAGGCTCTTCAGGCTTCCCAGCCAAAGAAGCTTCAACTCCCACAAAGCAGGAGGTTAGACCCTCATATATACCCCTAGGCAAGAGGCTGAATCCAGGGGGTTGAGCAGCAACAGGGCCCAGTTTCATGGCATCTCACAGAATATGACCCACTGGCTTGAAATTCCAGCTAACCACCAGTAATGGTGTTGCATCTCCCTGAGACAGAGTTCCAAAAGGGAGAAGCAGGGTACCATCTTTGCTGTTTCACAGCCTTCACTGGTGATATCTCCAGGTACTGGAAAATTTGAGGTGACTAGGGAACGGAGTGGACCCCCAGCATACTACAGCAGTCCTATGGAGAAGTGGCCAGACTGCTATGTGGATGCCAGTTCCCATATCTCCTCACTGGGCAGGTCCTCCAGGCCTGGGCCTCCAGGAACCCCCTACCAGATCTGTCTAGCAGTAGCAATTCAGCAACTCTCTAAAGAGAGCCTCCAGAAGCAACTAAAAGCCTCTCTGCTACTGCTTCTGCAGTAGAACTGCCCTATCCCCCCTCAGACTAATGAAGGAGCAGACCCTAAGTGCCTTATCCACACCTCTAACAAGTTGCAACCCAAGGAGAGGAGGCCAGTCCATCTCCCACAGGTCCCACACACACCTCACTGCTCATCACCAGACAGGGAACCCCTGGCTTGGGCCCACAGCATAGACCCTCCATCCTGGGCTGACTGCACTGAGAGAATGCTGACCTGCATCTCTTTTGGGTGGAGCCAACAGGAGATAAGCAAATGAGCCTTGGTCACAACTACTATTAAGATTCCTTCCTCTGCTTCCTCCAAGATGGGAAAGGAACATAAACCCTGAGATCACCCCGGAGCTGCAGTCGGCAGCCTAGGAGTGACAAGTCATGATCTACAGCCAGCACTTGAGGAGAGGAACCTACACTTTCACGGCATTAAGAGTGAAGACAACTGCCACTGTGAGGATATACAGGGGAGACACACAACCAAACACAAGTCTACCAACTGACCAGTAAGCCTAAGTGCCACCTGCTGGATCATACCCCAAAGCTTCGACGCCAAAAATATCTCACTAACCCACTCCCTTCTGAAGCCAAAGACGAGAAGTCAGCTTAAAATACAGACCCTGTACAAAGCCTTGGCTTGGTGAAAATACCCAGAAAAGAAGTCTATTGACTGTGCTAAATCTACATTGTAGTTAAAGAAACACCCATAAACAGAGATGAGAAAGAACCAATATAAGAACATTGGTAACTAAAATGGCCAGAGTGTCAAATGTCCTCCAAACAACCACACCAGTTCTCCAACAAGAGTTCTTAACCAAGCTGAACTGGCTGGAATGACAGGAATAGAATTCAGAATACAAAGAGAAAAAAGATCATTGAGATTCAAGAGGAAAGCAAAACCCAAATCAAGTAAAATAAGAATCACAATAAAGTGATACAGAAGCTAAAGAACGAAATAGCTGGTATCAGAAAATCTAATGGGTCTGACAGAGTGGAATAACATGATACAAGGATTTCACAATGCAATCACATGTATTCACAGCAGAATAAACCAAGCTGAGGAAAGAATCTCAGAACTTGAAGATTGGTTCTCTGAAATAAGACAGTCAGATAAAAATAAAGAAAAAAGGATACAAATGAATGAACGAAAGCTCTGAGAAGTATGGGATTATGTAAACAGGCCAAATCTAAGAATCACTGGCATCCCTGAAAGGGAGGGGGAGAAAGAAAGCAAACAAATTGGAAAACATCTTTCAGGATATTGTCCATGAAAACTTCCTCACCCTTGCTAGAGAGGCCAACAGTCAAATTCAGGAAATATGGAGAACTCCTGCAAGATTCTATACAAGAAGATTATCCCCAAGACACATAATTATCAGATTTTCCAAGATTGAAACGAAATAAAGAATATTAAAAGCAGCTAGAAAGAGCAATTCACCCCATTAGACTAATAGCAGACCTGTCAGCAGAAACCCTACAAACCCAGAAGAGATTAGGGGCTTATATTTAACATTTTTAAAGAAAAAAATACTCAACCAAAAATTTCATATTAAGTCAAACTAAGCTTCCTAAGGGAAGAAGAAATAAAGTCATTTTCAGCAAATGTTGAGGAAATTCATTACCATCATATCTGCTGTCCAAGAGATCTTAAAAGAAGCACTAAATATAGAAAGGAAAGACCACTACCAGCTAACATAAAAAGCACACTTAAACACAGACCAGTGCCACTCTAAGGGAACCACACACACAAGCCAACATAGTAACCAGCTTAACAGCACAATGACAGGATCAAATTTATACATATCAATACTAACCTTGAATGTAAATGGGTTAAGTACCCTACTTGAAAGACACAGAGTGGCAAGATACATAAAAAAGCAAGACCAATGGTATGCTGTCTTCAAAAGATGCATCTCACATGTAATGACACCCACAGGGTCAACATAAAGGAATGGAGGAAAATCTAACAAGGAAATGGAAAACAAAAAATCAGGAGTTGCAATCCTAATTTCAGACAAAACAGATTTCAAACCAATAAAAATCAATAAAGATGAAGAAGAGCATTACATAATGGTAAAGGGTTCAATTCAACAAGCTAACTATCCTATATATAGATGCTTCCAACATAGGAGCACCAAGATTCATAAAGCAAGTTCTTAGAGATTTTCAAAGAGGCATAGACTCCCACACAATAATAGTGGGAGACTTCAAAACTCCACTGACAGTATTAGACATATCATTGAGGTAGAAAATTAACAAAGCTGTTAAGGACCTGAGCTCAACATTGGACCAAATGGATCTGATAGACCTTTACAGAGCTCCCCACCGTAAGCAACAGAATATACATTCTTCTCATGTCCACATGGCACATACTTTAAAATTGACCACACAATTGAACATAAAACAATCCTTAATAGATGCAAAACAACCAAAATCACAACAAACACACTCTTGGACCACAGTACAATAAAAATAAAAGTTAAGACTATGCAAATCTCTCAAAATTATGCAATTACATGGAAATTAAACAATAAACTTTCATGTTAAACATGCAATAAACTAGATTTTGAAGGAATGCAACTCAAAATAATAAGAGCCGTCCATGTCAGACCCACAGCCAACATCGTACTGAATGGACCAGAGCAATCAGACAAGAGAAAGAAATAAAGGGCATCCAAATAGGATATATCTCTGTTTGCAGATGACATGATTCTATATCTAGAAAACCCCACAGTCTTGGTCCAAAAGCTCCTTCAGCTGATAAACAACTTCAACAAAGTTTCAGGATACAAAATCAATGTACAAAAATCAATAGCATTCCTACACACCAAGAACAGCCAAACCAAGGTCCGAATCAGAAAAGCAATTCCATTTACAATAGACACAAAAAGAACAAAGTACCTAGATATACAGGTAAACAGGTAAGTGAAAGATCTCTACAATAAGAATTAAAAACATTGTTCAAAAAATCATGACACAAACAAGTGAAAACACATCCCATGCTCATGGATAGGAAGAATCAGTACCATTAAAATGACCATACTGCCCAAAGCAATTTACAGATTCAGTGCTATTCCTATCAAACTACCAACAACATTCTTCACGTAACTAGAAAAAACTATTTTAAAATTCATATGAAACCAAAAAGTAGCCCAAATAGCCAAGGCAATCCTAAGCGTAAAGAGCAAAGCAGGAGGCGTCATGCTACCTGACTTCAAACTATACTCCAGGACTACAGTAACCAAAACAGCATTGTACTGGTACAAAAACAGGCACATAGACCAATGAAAGAGAATGGAGAGCCCGGAAATAAGGCTGCACATCTATGATCATCTGATCTTCGACAAAGGGGACAAAAAGAAGCCATGGGGAAAAGACTCCCTATTCAATAAATGATTCTGTGATAACTGGCTAGCCATATGCAGAAAATTGAAATTAGACCCCTTTCTTACACCATACACAAAAATCAACTCAAGATGTTTTAAAGACTTAAATATAAAACCCAAAACTATAAACAACCTGGAAGACAACCTAGGCATTGTCATGCTGGACATAGGAAAGGGCTAAGATATAATGACAAAGACACCAAAAGCAATTACAACAAAAGCAACCATTGTCAAATGGAATCTAATTGAACTCAAGAGCTACTGCACAGCAAAAGGAACTATCAACAGAGTAAACAGACAACCTACTGAATGGGAGAAAATTTTGCAAACTATGGATCTGACAAAGGTCTAATATCCAGTATTTATAAGGAACTTAAATTTACAAGAGTAAAACAATTCCATTAAAAAGTAGGCAAAAGACATGAAAGACACTTCTCAAAAGAAGACATACATGTGACCGGCCAGGTGTGGTGGCTCATGCCTGTAATCCCAGCACTTTGGGAGGCTGAGGCGGGCGGGTCACGAGATCAGGAGATTGAGACTATCCTGGCTAACACGGTGAAACCCCATCTCTATTAAAAATACAAAAAATTAGCCAGGCGTTGTGGCGGGTGCCTGTAGTCCCAGCTACTTGGGAGGCTGAGGCAGGAGAATGGCTTGAACCCAGGGGGTGGAGCTTGCAGTGAGCCGTGATCATGCCACCACATTCCAGCCTGGGCAACAGAGCGAGATGTGACCAAAAAGCATATGGAAAAAAGGCTCAATATCACTGATCATTAGAGAAATGCAATCAAAACCACAATGTGATACCATCACACATCAGTCAGAATGGCTATTACTGAAAAAGTCTAAACATAACAGATGCTGGAGAAGTTGTTGGGAAAAGGGAACACTTATACACTGTTGGTGGAAGTGTAAATTAGTTCAAACATTGTGGAAAGCAGTATGGCGATTTCTCACAGAGCTGAAAGCAAAACTACCATTCTTCCCAGCAATCCCTTTACTGGGTACAAACCCAGAGAAGTGTATATCATAGCAAAATAATAAGTTAGCAAAAGAATAAAGTCAAATAAAAGAGAAAGAAATCATATAGCTAGAGGTAAAATAAAAGAAGTAAAAAGCTAATGTACAGTAATGTAGAGTCTTGCTTGAACCCAGGAGTTGAAGACCAGCCTGGGCAACATGGAAAAACCCCTCCTCTACAAAAAATACACAGATGAGATGTGCCTGTAAGATCACCTGCAGAGAGCTGTAATTGCGCCACTGCACTTCAGCCTGGATGACAAATGATAACCTGTTAAAAAAAAAAAAAAGCAAGGATTATAAAGGAAGAATACAATTGTTATTAACTGCCACAAATTGTACTTAATTGTTTCTACTTTACATGTCATTTTAGTTTATAGTTTTTTTCAGTTAACATTATTTCAAGAATGTTACATTCACAGAGTTAATATATTTTTTGTTTTTATGTAAGAAAAATTATGCCGTCGTATTAATATTCCATATCAGTCCTTTATTTGTGTTTCTGTAAGTCTGTTTTATATAATCAGGTCACACAGAATTCTGTTCCTGTTCTTAAATTTTGCTCACATAATCCAAACAAGTTTACTAAGGCAGTTATTCAACAATCATCAGATGGCAACATATCCCAAACTAATTCAATTTTAGCTATAATATATGAATATGATTGCTTTTCTCATTGTCAAGTCCTTGATTACACTTAGAAATTTATAATTTGTTAGTTTCCTTGATCTTACATTTTTTTCTTCACTTTTTAAAGCTTCACTGGATGCAATAAGATGCCTGTGCCAACATCTAAGAGCTGTTTCATTATATAATGATTGTAAGGATACCTTGGGTACTTCAAGGGTTGTTCAAAAATTCAAATACAATTATGGATGCAAATTTTTACTCAAATTGCAAGCCATATCACAATTTACAGTTTGATCTCAGATAACAAAGTAAAAATACAAATATAAATGTTTAAAAAATTCACAAAACTTGAATCAGCAAAAACAAATTTAGAAGTAGAAATCTCAATGCTGGCACAGCCTCTGTTAGAAAGATTGAGCTGTCAAGAGCAGCAGATGTTGGCTGAAAGCTTTCACTGCAAGGCTGTTATTGTAAGGCTAGCTGAACGCTCATGACATCAATTCATTCCTGTCACTTGTATGGTGTCCTTTGAAGCTTTGCTGTAGTGAAACTGTGAACCTTGCCCATTCTAATGACTGGATTGGGCTGAAACTTTCTGTATAATTTTTCTCATTAGCGCATTAGCTAATGATAAAGAAAATAGGTAGAGATTCTCTGGCGTACCATAAAAGACTGGTGCTCAGCATAATGGTAATTTCTTATTTGATGCCAGTAGTTCTTCACCACATCCATGGCTTTGACTGCCATTTTATGCTGATATTATTAACATAATAAACATTCAGCTAATGTGCATCAGTAAGGATAAACACTTTGGTGGTATATTTAAATGATCACCTTCCCCCAGTGCTATGGTCAGGATGTGCTCTGGTTAGCCATGTGTGTGTGTGTGTGTGTGTGTGTGTGTGTGTGTGTGTGTGTTCATCTCAAATTTGTCTCCTCAGCTTCAGATCCATTTATCCAACTGTTTACTGGACATATGTGTCTGATTATACAATGTATTACAGGCATATACATTTTTTCAACAAAACTTCCTTTTCATTTTTTATGCACAGTTCATGCTGAATGGCTCTGACATTTACTTGGTTGTCTAAGCTAGAACTTGAAGGTCAAGTTCTTTTTTTTTTCTTCACCTCTATCTCCTAATCAGTGATAACATTTCCCTGTTCCTTCACTTTAGTAACTCCTATACTCACTCATTTCTTTATAATATCTCCATTGTCATTGTTTCAGTTACCATTACCTCTCACTTGGATTAATGGAGCAGACTCTTGACAGGTACCCCTGCCTCCTATATTCTTCCCACCCCTCTATCACAGCCCATTTTATTATTGAAAAGAAAAATACATAATTTAAAAAATGGCAAATAGTCTAAGATTCACCTTCTAAATGCTCTCTATGCCTCCACCTTTGACCTCTCCTATTCAGCAGGAATAGTGGTCTTGATCATTTTTAAAAATAAGTTAAATCATGAGCAAATTGTTCAATGGCTTTCCATTTTTAATAGAAAAACATGCTAACTCTTTTGCTTACTGATGAAATTTTACAGTATTTTGATCTACTCTCCCCCTGCAGCCTCCTTTTGTATTACACCATTTGCTATACTTCATATATTCTGGCATTATTTCTCTTCTTCATATAAGCCATGATCTTTCCAGCCTCAATTCGTTTTTTTTCTTGCTGTTTCAATTCTGTTTCCTTACCCACCTTTACTTATGGCTTATGTAAGCACTGGAGGTTAATGCTGTGGCTCAGGTTAAGAAATTGTGTGATTTCAAAAGTAACTCTTGGAGCATGCAGGGTTTTCAGTAGTCCTGAAAGATAATATATATATATGTATATAATTACCCATTGCTCTAGTTTTCTTTTTTGTGCTAAAGAAGACAATATCATGATAATGAAAACAATATAGAAATGTAAGATATTTGTTTATGTAGTGTTATGGAAATATTAATGCCAAAGCTCATGCAGAGGATTTAACTATAATTCTGAATACATACGCCACATCCTCTTGCTTTTCAGTAAATAAAATAACAGGCGACATTTTAGTTAATTTCTTAGTCAATCTTTATATTCTGTTTTATTGTGTTTTTACACCTAAAAGAGAAAGGAAAACTTTTTGCTTTATTGAAAGTATCAATCTTTAGATACTATTATCCTTCTTATTTGTCTTTTAGTGTCCTATGGTGATCATAACCTCTGACTGTGAACCCTCACCAAAATTACTGTGTGCAGTTGCTCCATGTAAATGAAAATATATCTGAAGAAAGACTTCCACATTATTATTAATCTTTCCTGCTCCAGGCATTTGCCTATGCCTTACATACTCTTTGAGATGGCCTTTTCTACTTGCTTTGCCTTTTATAAGCTAATTACCTCTTGGCTCTCATATCCAAAGTTGGGTTGGGTGCCCTTGTATGCGCTTCCCTCCACTCTTTATCCCTTTCTCGTCTCTGTGGTGGCATTGACTGTAGTGCATTACATTCTTCTACAATAGAATTCTGAGAAACACAACTGTGTCTGTTATATTAGTGAAGTCCAAGGACACAATACAGAACTGAACATTAAATGGGCAATACATAACAATTTGATAACTTAATAAATAAACGGTGCTGGAATATTTACAGAGGAGGAGAGTGCCATCTCCAATAATTAGAATTTGATTGACTGAAAAGTTAGAGGCTGAAGTGAGCTTGATTAAATGTGAAAACATCTGGAAGTAACAGACACAGAATTAATACCCAAACCACTGCATTTAGCAAATTAAAAGAGAAAATTTAAAATAAAATAGTACAGTGGCCAATTATTATTTGACAGCATTATCAATACAAATCTTCTTAATAGTAGTAACTCCCATTTATTAAATACTTATCCAATGCTGTGGTAAGTGTTGTTTTGAATCCTCTACACAATCTGAAATGCCAGTTCACAACTTCCTTTTAACAGATACCCTCAAATTTCAAAAAAAAAAAAAAAAAATGTGGGTCTAAGGACTGAGGGAATTGGAATGAAAGACAAGGGCTGATAATGAGAATGGAAAAAGTTAAATATGTGGCATTTCTTAGTACTGGTAGTGATTTCATCTTGATTTCCTTTTTATATATGAAAGATAATAAATGTATCAATTTACTGATAATGCTAAAGTTTCAAGAGGAGAAGTAATTTTCAGTAAAAAAACTGAAGATGTGAGATTTCTTAAAAATAGCTCTTCATTTATTAGTTTTTTTAGAATTAAACCACAATGTTTTTAGAACACCTTCATTTTATTTATTTTCAATGCTTGTTAGTTGTTAGTATTCATTAAAATGCTAAGAATTTTTAGGTTCATTAATGATATGACAAACCTCACACATAAGATGTAAATAGGCATGTAGTACAATTTGAGCATGCTTCACTTATGGAGCACACACATTCAGTGTGCCACAACACATTTTGTTTTTTTCCTTCAAAAAATAACTCTGATTTCACTTAGTCCCATGTGAGCTTTAATTAGAAAGCTCACATGCACAAAGCAAGTAAAGGCATTTTTCCTCGGCCTGATGATGTTCATAAGGGTAAAGAATCAGGTTGTTTATTCACCTCCTCTTACATGTTGATCTAGAGTCAAAGCTGTCATCCATTTGATGAGTAGCATCTACAGCTTTTCAGTTTGTGTGACAGACCTCTGTGCGGCCAGAAGACATGCATAAATCCTAATAGAGAGGGTGGATGATAGAATGGTTCTTAAAGCAGTAAGTGGCTAAAAAATGACCATCCTTGGTTGAAAAATGAGGTCATGAAGTTTTAAATGTGGCAAGAAAGAAGAAGGTCACGTCTGTGCAGGAAAGATACTTACTGAGAACCCATCTGTGGTAATAGATTAATTGCCTCCATTAGCAAAGATGTATATCTCACACCAACCATCAATAAATGTTTCAGATCCACTCATGAGTGATTGCTATGTTGATATAGAAGGTAAAACTTACTCCCTAAAAAAAGTAAATATTTTTCAAAAATTTTCCATAATCTGAAACATAATTCCATAATAATGTATATCAAGTAAAGAAATAGAGAGGAGAAAAGAGTTGCTTTAATAAACTACATTACCTCTAATGAATACTTTTTATAAACCTTACAATAGTCTGAGAAATAGCTCTGCTGGAGGAAATAAAACTATTTTAACTGGGCTTGCTTTTGCTTCAGTCTTTAAGAGAATCAGACTTTAAAGAAAAATGATTTATTTAAGTTAAGCACTATCTTAACTCATAGTTTTCCCATCCTCAATTCAAAGAGATGACTCCTGCACTTCATTCTTCCATTAAATATCATTATTATGTGTGATATTCAGTGGAGAACAATACTCTGGCTCAAAAAGATTTTCATTTTTCCTTAAAGGATACCGGGGTAGGTGGATTAAGAAACCAATTAGGGAATAATATCTACATAGTTCATGAAATATTTTAGGTAACTTATAGGTTTAAAACTAATGGAAAATGAGACAATTATTGATATATAATGACTTTCAATTTAAAGCAGTCAGAGGGAGAAGACTATCAGGTTAACAGTAATTGGATATTGGGCATAACTTTAGGTTGCTTAATATATAAAGTAAAAGAAGAAAAGTATAAGTTTTACTTTATACCAAATGAAAACACCCAATTTTTGTAAAAATAACTGATATTCAGGACAAAATATAACATGAGAACTTTTAAATGAGTCTCTACCTATATACGGGACATTAGCTAAAAATATTTAACAGCTTTCATGGGGATCACACAAAAGGCACTGTAGTATATGATATCAAGTATTTCAAACACACTCAAATCAATCAAACCAGGTTGATTTAGCTATTTGTTCTTCTGTGTTTCCACTAATTGCAAATATCTTGCATCTCATAAACTTTTATTGTAACCTGAGAGGGACTTAGTAGCGGTCAAGGAAAGAGAAGCTGTCTCTTCGGTATATTGTGTCTTACCATAAGAAAATAAGAAAAGAGAGGGAAGGAGTATTACCTTAATCCATGGCATAGAAAGGGCTCTGTAATTTATTCATTTATTCATTAATCCAAAAATATTTATTGAGCCCTTACTATGTCTTAGGTAATGCACACATTCTGGGGACAAATCTAAGAATGAAATGGACAAACATTTCTTCTCTAATATAATTTATATTCTAGTTGGAGGAAAAAAAACAAAATTAAAATGTAACATATAAAATGTTAGAAAGTGATATATATGTGATGGAAAATGGAACAGTGTTAAGAAGATTGAGAAAGGATTTGATAGGGAGAGGCAGAGTGTCTCCCTATAAAAGCAATAAAGACTGTCAGAGGTAAGGAAGTGTGCCATTTGGGTATGTGAGTAAAGATCATTCCAAACAGAAGGAACAGCCAATGCAAAGACTGGCAAGTGGAGGTGTATGAATCATATTCAATAAATACGAAGGCGGCCCCTCTGGCGAAGCAGAGTTAATAATGGGGCAGGTGCTCTAGAAACATGTGCCCTTTACATTAGACTTTGGTCTTATTTATGTTTGTTCTGCCTCACTTAAGGACAGTTTCACACATACATTTCATACATGTACATAACACACACATTGTTGGCTTTTAATTAACTTACAGGTAAACATCCTAATTGTGTCTAAAAAACAGTAAAATAAAATGAGGATATTTTGAATAAATTTCTCTTAGTGAATTCACAGGACCTATTTTTAGGACACTGGTTTCCCTTTATGCTATTATTTTAAGTATTTTTCAAAAAACATTGTTTCAATAATATGATTTTAATGGTTTTTAGAATTTCATCTCACCATTTCTTCTTTGTTGTTTTGGAATTCACAAATACATTCGTTTGTCATAAATGCCAAAAAGATGCTCCTGAAACACTATAAGTTCATATCCCATTTTCTGTTTCAGAAGCCCTCAAATTGTCAAGGCCTGTCTATATTTTAAGACATTGAAACCACCTTTTATATGCGTCTGTTTTCTGAAAAGGATAAAACAGTAAATAAGCATTACTAAAATAGCTTGAACTGATCAGATAGCAGCACTTTGATTTTAAAGAACTTTATAAAACTTTAAAGTGTTTTCACATAGTTAAAATATTTTAGTCTTTCGGGGTGTTATTATTCCTATTTTCTAGATCAAGAAAGTGAAGCTCAGGTCTTTCGCCTACTTTTTAATGGAGTTTTTTGTTTTTTTCTTGTAAATTGACACTTTCAAAAGAAAACACTCATGCAGCCAATAATTGTATAAAAAAGCTCTACTGCACTGATTATTAGGAAATGCAAATCAAAACTATAGTGAGATACCATCTCACACCAGTCAGAATACCTGTTATTAAAAATTCAAAAAATAACAGATGCTGGTGATGTTGTGAATAAAAAGGAATGCTTATCCACTGTTGGCAAGAGTGTAAATTTGATCAACCTTTGTAGAAGACAGTGTGGTGATTCCTCAAAGACCTGGAGACAGAAATACCATTAAACTCAGCAATCTCATTACTGGGTATATACCCAAAGGAATATAAATTTCTTTTACCATAAAGATACATGCATGTGAACATTCATTGTAGCACTTTTTACAATAGTAAAGACATGGAATTAACCTAAATGCCCATCATTGATAGACTGGATAAAAAAAATGTACATATACACCATGGAATACTATGCAGCCATAAAAAAGAACTAGATCATATCCTTTGCATGGACATGGATGGAGCTGGAGGCCATTATCCTTAGCAAGATAATGCAGGAACAGAAAAGCAAATACCACATGTTCTCATGTATAAGTGGGAGCTAAATGAAGAGAAGACATGGACACATAGAGGGAAACAACACACACTAGGGCATATTGGAGGGTGGAGGGTGGGAGATGGGAGAGGATCAGGAAAAATAACAAGTGGGTACTAGGCTTAATACCTGGCTGAGGAAATAATCTGTACAGCAAACCCCTACGACAAAAATTTTCCTGTGTAACAAATCTGCACATGCACCCCTGTACTTAAAATAAAAGTTAAAAAAAAGAAAGTGAAGCTTTTAGAAATTAGTGACATGCACATAATCATATAAGCTAGTAAAAAGGAAAGCCCAATCTACCAGCTACCCTTTAGATATTCTGATCCCAAATGGGAAAAGAAATCAATTAACAAGGACCAAATTTTAGTCATGCCCTTCTGAACTATTTTCTTGACTAGGCCTTGTCCTTGGCCTGCAATACTTGATTTGCTTAGTCCAGTTCAGAAAGAATACTGCCAAACCAATTTGGTGAGGATCCCCCTCCTTTGATACCTAAGTTTCATTTAGTAATTTTTTAATCTGTTTACTCTTTTACACTGACATTTGGCTATAAATCATCCTATTACCTCTTCTATATACAGAGCTAAATTTATTTTCTCTCCTCTATTGCAATAGTCTTAAAATAAAATTATCCTTGCCTGTTTAATTCCATTTGGTGAAAATTTTCCTTGACGTAACACAGGACACACAGTGTTCTACACAGAGAACACAAGCCACGATGAGCAATTCTGGGCATTTATTTCAAAGCAACAAAGTGGCTGAACATAATATCAATTACTAGCGATTTTATTGAACTTATTGTTATTATACATTTTTTATCTTAGTTTCAAATATGCAATTTCTTATATAATTAATTAGAGAACACAACTGGGAATTTTCCTGATGAGTTATAACTTTTACAAAAATGTCCTCTAAACTTAAGATATTACAGAAATATGTTGAATGTAAGACCCTCACGAAATTCACCAAACTTGACTTTTTCAGGAGTTTAAATATGAACGAAATGGCAATTTTTTCTTCCTTATTCTCTTCAGTGTTAAAGGACTTAAAAAATTACTAGGAATAAAAAAAGCTTGGGAAACAAAATAAACTTCAGTTGATTAGAGTGGTTTTTATAAATTGATGATTGTATTTGTTCTCCTTATTAAATTTTAATAATGTGCAGAAGTCCACGCATTAAAAAAGTTTTCCATAAACTCCTATGGAATAAAAACAACCCTGGATCGACAGGGTTTATTCTTCAATATTAAAAATAAATTATATTGATGACATTGTTAATGAAAATTTACAAGCCACAAATTATGATTTCAGAGGAGGTGATTTACAACCTTTTTGCCTTGGACTCATGAATTTTACTGAGTTGTGACTATAATTATAGCTGCAGAATAATGCAGCTTATCCTATTAGAGCATTTTATACATGTTAAAAGACAAAAATCTGTAATCCACCAATAAGAATTTTAGAGGATATATCAATATAAAATATCCCTCTATGATGTAAGTTATAATGATTACAAAACCAAACCAAACCTTATTGGGTCACAGTTCTGAATAAGATTGCATATCCGTAATATCCTCCTATGGCACTCAAGAAAAAACTAGGACTTGAATTTTATTGTAAGTATAGGGAACTTTGGGTAAATTAAATCAGTTACACCTTAGGTAGTATTTGCTACCTACAAATCAATTCAGCTACATTAAGTAAAAGGAATGTGAATATGATACAAATAACAGGCTTGACTGACTTTTCCATTTCCAACTCTTTCTTAGGATAGTTATTAAAGGAGCCTACTTCTCAGCAAGAAAGTAAGGAATCTTAGATCCTTAAGATCATTAAGTTATGGTAAAGGTTTGGTTAATTATTTCATGGAGATAGAAAGTAACAGATGTCCTATTTTAAAGTAGCTAAGTGTAAGAAATGCTTAAGATATACCTATACCAGAAAGAGTTTGAGAAATTAGGAGTATAGAAAGAACAATTGAAACTAATATCAATTGCTTTTCTCTTTCCAAACTAAGATATCTGGCATATATGTTGGTATGGTAAAAATTTCACACAATTAATAAATATTTATCCATCGAGCCAGACACTGACACTGTGGATATACCTGCAAACAACAACAATGACAAAAACATAAAATTCTGACCTCATGAAGCTTTTATCCTAGTAATGGAAATAGACAATAGGTAAGATTAAAAAAAGTGAAATGTATCTTGTGTTAGATAACATAAGTATACTAGTATGTGATCAATGCCCAGAGGAAAAAAATAAAGTAGGAAAGAGAACTAGGAAGAGGTATCTGTATGTGTGTGTGAGTATGGGATGATCTGAGGGTGTTATTTTAGGCAGAGTGGCCAAGGAAGACCTGCCAAGGAAGGCAAAATTTGAATTGGACCCCAAGGAAATAAATGAGTTGAACCATGTAAGTCTCCAGGAATAGCATATTCTTCATAAAGGAATGAAAATATGTAAAAATCTTGAAGCAGGAGCTTGACTAGATTGTTTGTGATTAAGGAGTAGCAAGGAAACCGTATGACTGGCACCACAGAGTGATTAAAGGGAGAGAGGTAGGAAATGAGATCAGAACACCTGTGCTGATTCTCTCCTTTCCTTTCTCTCCACATGTAGCAGGTTTTGTCTTCTCTGATCACAATACTGAAAGTAGGTATTGCCTGTTAAGCTTTATCTTGGTGCCCTAGTTGTTATTTATTATCATCAATAATTACTTGTGATTGTCTAAGTAGATTACAAATACCATGAAGTCAGGGACTGTGATGTCTTATTTGTCACACTAGCATTATATACTAGCTAGTACGTAGCACAGTGCCTAACTGGTAGGCACTCAAAGTGCCTACATCGAATGAATGAATGCCTGTTCTGTGAGGCAGTTACTGGAACATGCTCACTTGCCAAAAAGTTATCAAGCTGTGACTTCAGATTTGTGAACTTTTCTATATGTACTTCAATAAAAATTAGTTCCCTTAAAAGTAGCATCATGAAAATATATATATAAACTAAGAAATTAATTTATATTAATATAAATTAATTGTTATTAATATATTAATATACACAACTGTATAGTATAGCTGTATATATGATTATATATATTTATGTAGGTAAAGTTTAACACAATCTCAACACATTCTAAAAGTTATAATTTTTTTTTTTTTAAAAAAGGCCACTCTCTCAACACCTTCTCTGTTGTCTCTGAAGAATGGACCTTCTACTCTTGGTGCTGTGTCCCAGGGAAGCAATGGACATGAAATCCTCCTATGTAGGCTGAGAACTTATCCCCTAGAAATTATTTCCCCAGAAAAGCAAATATACTTTTGACGGAGCTCTTTAACACTACTATCATTCAGTAACATTTTCAATGAAACCATCTTTTGTTAACTCTCTGGGGTACTGACACCATTTAATTCACTGAGAACAGATAATAAACAGAACATTTAATTCACTGGGAGAAAATAAACAGAAAGCCTAATTCCACTTGGCTGAATCTGCCTAAGTCCAACTTTTGCATATAATAAATGTTTAAAATAACGAACTAGTGTAAGGTATTTATTATTTTATTCACTGAATATTAAAAATTAGTGATAACACAAATTTAATGAACTTTCTAATACCAGCTGAAGTTATGTGTATAGTCTAGATGCAAGTTATGCGAAGTGTGAAAAATCCTGTGGCTTGTCACTCCTGGGAAATATGTAAAACCTCCCTCTCCCCTTCACCCTACTCTCCAGTAGCTTGTGACCAAGTATCTTCAAAAATAGACAATCGTTTAGCAATTGCCAGAGGTACATAAATGCACCACTATTTTTCTTCCTGATTTTGTAAGCTTTTAAAAAGAAAACCTGATTAAATTTTAAGGGAGACTGTGCATTTTTCATACATATCAGCCCTTCTCGTTGACTGATTGCCTGAACCCAGTTATTGCTATATATACTTCATATACTACATGAGAAGAAACAAAACTTGAATTAACATCTGTCTGCTTTCTTGTTTACTGAGAGAATAGCTTTGTTCCAATGGCTGAGCTTTTTTCTTGAAGAGCTAAAGCCTATTATCATTTGTTGATTAATCTGCAAGATTGACTAATCTCTTGCACAGATCTTCTCAATCATTAAAGGCTTAATTGACTTGCTGCTTGCTAAATGGACCAGCTTTCTCAGTGTCATCCTGAGCCTGGAATGATGAAGTGTTCTTAGCCCACCATCACACTTCGGTATGACTATTAAAAAGATGGTATGTTCCAATAAGTTTAGACATAGCTCCGAGGTTTCAAAAATAAATATTTCTAAGAAAGTCCTGTTTTGTACATTTACATTTATTAGTCAGGACATTTTTATTCTTCATCATGTTTGACATATATTTTGGTATGGCATTCATTCACTGGCTTCTCTAAAATATCCTGACTCTAAAATGGTCAATTAAGGTAAATAGTATAAAGGTGGGTGTCCATTAACTGCATATATTAATTTAATCTCTTTCTTACTCTCGTTTTTTCATTTAACTAATATTTATTGAGCAAAAACTTGTGTCTAAGGTTAAAGGCCAGACATTTGAAATGCAGCCATGAAAAAAGATATGGCTTTGGAAATCTGGAAGCTTTTTATTTAGCTGCAAAGAAAGATTCAGACAAAGTACGAATATGGAGCTGTAAGAAGAAAAGCCCGTAAATGACCAAATTGCTTTTAATTTATAAAAACGTTAGATATTTTTAACTTCAGTAAAATTCAATCTCATGTAACTAATATGGTTTATATTATTTTATTATAAAATGCTATTTTATAAATTATTTGTACTGTACATCATCCTACAAAATTAAAATGTGTTTTCATTAAGTGACACTTAAAAAATATTAAGGAACACAAATGTTTAAGTAATGAAGTATGATTATTCTCCCTACTTTTCAGATAAGTAAACTTAGATATAGAAAGATTAAATAATTTACACAAAGTCCTACAGCTAGTAGAGGTAAGAACTAAGATTCAGACCCAGAGGGTCCAGCAAAGCCACTTGTTAACGTAACCACTAAATCATCTTGAAAAGGTAGAAAATCCATTTGGTCAGGATACCTTTGTTTTATGCTCAGAAATTTTCCAAATGCTAGAATGCTGCTTGACTCATTGTATGTGTTTGCTATATATTTTCAAAGTTAGTACTTTCCCTTTTTCTCTTTCCAATGCATATTATTATATCTGTGATTCTTTTGTCCATAATTCTATTCCTCAGTATATTATATTATTTATAATTTTAGTATAACCTCATTGACCACTTTTTACTGAATGATTTGACATGGGTATAAGAAAATATATGCTTTCTCTTCCTAAACTTTTAGGATTAAGTTCCTGTATACAGGAAGTAACAACTGTACATAGGAAGTAACAAGCTGTACACAGGAAGAAGATAAAGTCTTATGAGAAATATAAGTTAAAATAATTAAGGTCATGAGTAATTATAAAACCTGTGAAAATATCTTATGTTTATTAAAATACCAAGAAACTAATCCAATTTCATTTCTTTCATTTATATTATCTCAATATATTTGGCCTCCACAATTTTAATAAGATGCTTGGAATTTTTTTTTTTTTTTTGCTTTGTTAAAGCTACACAACAAGAAGCATTTGTCCCTCATGCGTAATCCTCATGAATTCAATTCTGATTTTATGGGTTAGAATTTTTTTTTCTTTTTTTTTATTATTATACTTTTAAGTTTTAGGGTATATGTGTACAACGTACAGGTTTGTTACATATATATACATGGGCCATGTTCGTGTGCTGCATCCATTAACTCGTCATTTAACATTAGGTATATCTCCAAATGCTATCCCTCCCCGCTCCCCCTACCCCAAAACAGGCCCCAGTGTGTGATGTTCCCCTTCCTGTGTCCGTGTGTTCTCATTGTTCAGTTCCCACCTATGAGCGAGAACATGTGGTGTTTGGTTTTTTGTCCTTGCAATAGTTTGTTGAGAATGATGGTTTCCAGCTTCATCCATGTCCCTACAAAGGACATAAACTCATCCATTTTTATGGCTGCATAGTATTCCATGGTGTATATGTGCCACATTTTCTTAATCCAGTCTATCATTGGTGGACATTTGGGTTGGTTCCAAGTATTTGCTATTGTGAATAGTGCTGCAGTAAACATACATGTGCATGTGTCTTTATAGCAGCATGATTTATAATCCTTTGGGTATATACCCAGTAATGGGATGGCTGGGTCAAATGGTATTTCTAGTTCTAGATCCCTGAGGAATCGCCACACTGAATTTTTGACTCTGGTCTTAGAGAACCTAGCTGAAGACCTTGGGATTCAGAATATCTTAATAGCTAAACAAGAATATTCAGAAAAGATTATTTATTTGCTCAAATCAACATAAATAACAAATTATGTTGAAACTCTCCCTTCATAGGATGGTTACAGAGTTTAATTCTATCTGTGATAACTGAATTCCAGCATGCATGAATATATGAGGATGTACTAAAACACTTGACTTTAAAAATAATTGTTTATTGGATACATATATAAACACACATATAAATTTACATTTCGTCTGTGTTGCTCACATTTTACATGTTTATTTTCCACTTGCATAATGTTTTCTGAAGTGTTTTCTCCTTTCTTTTGCCAGTCTGTCAGTTTAAAAGAAATATATTCTATACATGAATCCTTTATCAGATGTATATATTGCAAATACTTCTTTTACTCCATTGGTTGCTTTTTCACTCTAACTTTTGATAAGCAAAAATCTATAATTTCAATATATTACAATGTATTTTTTATTTTTATGATTAGCATTTTATTTGTGTCTTATTTAAGAAAACGTTGTCCCGCTTAAAATCACAAGGATATTCTCCTATATTTTCATCCAGAAGTTATTGTTTTGCCTGTCACACATTTAGATCTTCAATCTGTCTGTGATTGATTTTTATATCTGGTGTAAACTGGGGTCAAAATACAATTTTGTTTTCTATATGGACATCCAACTGACTCAGCACCATTTATTGAAAATACCACCTTTTCCCAACTGCCACTCTGACTTAATTTTATCTTATCTCTTCTCTTCCTAACAGGCATGCTTTCCATTTTATACCCTTGTCCTTTTCTCAGCACCTTTCTTTGTTACTTTTTAAAAATTATTATTATACTTTAAGTTTTAGGGTACATGTGCACAATGTGCAGGTTAGTTACATATGTATACATGTGCCATGCTGGTATGCTGCACCCATTAACTCGTCATTTAGCATTAGGTATATCTCCTAATGCTATCCCTCCCCCCTCCCCCCTCCGCCCACCCCACAACAGTCCCCAGAGTGTGATGTTCCCCTTCCTGTGTCCATGTGTTCTCATTGTTCAATTCCCACCTATGAGTGAGAAGATGTGGTGTTTGGTTTTTTGTTCTTGCGATAGTTTACTGAGAATGATAATTTTCAATTTCATCCATGTCCCTAAAAAGGACGTGAACTCATCATTTTTTATGGCTGCGTAGTATTCCATGGTGTGTATGTGCCACATTTTCTTAATCCAGTCTATCATTGTTGAACATTTGGGTCGTTTCCAAGTCTTTGCTATTGTGAATAGACCTGCAATAAACATACGTGTGCATGTGTCTTTATAGCAGCATGATTTATAGTCCTTTGGGTATATACCCAGTAATGGGATGGCTGGATCAAATGGTATTTCTAGTTCTAGATCCATGAGGAATCGCCACACTGACTTCCACAATGGTTGAACTAGTTTACAGTCCCACCAACAGTGTAAAAGTGTTCCTATTTCTCCATATCCTCTCCAGCACCTGTTGTTTCCTGACTTTTGAATGATTGCCATTCTAACTGGTGTGAGATGGTATCTCATTGTGGTTTTTATTTGCATTTCTCTGATGGCCAGTGATGGTGAGCATTTTTATTATAGGTATGTGTGATTTAAGCCAGTTTATCTCCAGTTTTAAAGAATAGATATAAATATGAATCTTCCAAAAACACTAAAATTTTCAAAAATAGGTGTTTGCAGAGAAAATGAAACACTATAATTACCACACTCACTAATTAACCAATTGTCTCAATAACACCTAGCATAGGCAGGTCTGTAGTAGGTAGAGTGGAGCTGGTGAACAGAAAATAACACCCTCTCCATCCTCCTTGCATGTCTTCCTGTTCTGTGGAGTCTGAGAGTGTAAAAATAAAATAAAAACGAGAAACTTTGTTTGCTAGCTCCCCTTGTAAAGTCCTGTGCATTAATTAGCTGTGCTCATACAAGATTTGAATGACTGAAAAAGCAGAGGATATTTTTCTTCCTTTTCCTTTTTAATATACTTCAAGTTCTAGGGTACATGTGCACAACATGCAGGTTTGTTACATATGTATACGTAAGCAGAGGATATTTTTCTACAGCTTTAATTTTTTATTCTGATGTGGAGTAGCTTACTTTTTCTTTTTCTTTCTTTTCTTTTCTTTTTTTTTTTTTTTTTTTGTTTTGAGACAGAGTTTCACTGTATCGCCCAGGCTGGAGTACCGTGGTGCGATCTCAGCTCACTGCAACCTCCACCTCCTGGGTTCAAGAGCAGTTCTCCTGCCTCAGTCTCCTGAGTAGCTGGGATTACAGGTATGTGCCACCATGCCTGGCTAGTTTTTTGTATTTTTAGTAGAGATGGGGTTTCACCATTTTGGCCAGGCTGGTCTTGAACTCCTGACCTCCAGTGATCCGCCTGCCTTGGCCTCCCAAAGTGCTGGGATTACAGGTGTGAGCCACTGCGCCCGGCCAGAGTAGCTCACTTTTTCTACAGCAGTGCTCTGTGTCCTGTCTTAATTTGGGAATATTGAAAAGTAGTTATGGCTAATTACTGATTCCTAGACTACAGCTATAGGTGTCCTTATAGACTGAAGTCTTGTTTTCCAATATTCTATTTGTGATAGGAGCAATAGTTTCTGCAAACAATCTTACCTGTAGTTAATTCTGGAAGCTTTGCCTGGAGACCTAACATAGAGTACACCTTTTCACTATGTATAGCAATGGTGTAGGCATATAATTTTCCATAATAAATCTCTTTGTTCCTAAGTAAGCGGGGGAGGGTAGAGGGTAGAATTCTGTAAAATTCTACAAAATTTTATAGAAGGATGGGAGTACTTAAGGGAAGAGTATGTCTTGGTCTTTTTGAGTTGCTCTAACAAATTACAATATAGCAGGTGGTTTATAAATAATAGAAATTTATTTCTCACAGATCTGGATGCTAGTTAAGTCCTAGGCAAATCATTGACAGATATCTCATGAGAGCCTGATTATGATTTATAAACTGTCATCCTTTGGCTGTGTCCTCATGTGCTGAAAGTGTCAAGGAAGCTCTCTGGGGTTTCTTCTATAAAGGAACTAATCCCACTCATGATTGCCCCATTCATATGATCTAATCACTCCCAAAGGTCCCACCTCCAAATACCATCACATTGAGTAGTATGTTTCAACATATAAATTTGGGGGACACAAACATTTATTCTATACTGTTCCACCCATGGCCTCCCTAAATCCAGGTCCTTCTCACATGCAAACTATATTCATGCCATCTCAACAGCCCCAAAAGTCTTAACTCATTGCAGCATCAAATCTGAAGTCTAAAGTTCAACAACTCATTCAAATATCATCTAAATAAGATATTGGTGAGAGTAGAGGGATAGAAGGGATAGGAGAGACATTCTCATTCCAACAGGAAGAAATAGAAAAACATATAGAGGTAACAGATCCCAAGCAAGTCCAGAGTATGGGACAAACTCCGTGAGTTCTTACAGCTCAAGAATAATCCTCTTTGGCTTGATGGTCTGCCCTCCAGGCCTATCAGGGTGGTGATTTCACAACCCCCGCCACCCCTGGCTCACTGGGAAGGTCCACAGTGGTTTTCTTTCTTTTTTCTGAAACAGGGTCTTGCTCTGTCACCTATACTGGAGAGCAGTGGCATGATCTTGGCTCACTGCAACTTCCACCTCCAAGGGTCAAGTGATTCTTGTGCCTCAGCATCCCAAGCAGCTGGGACTACAGGTGTGCACCACCGTGCCTGGCTAATTTTTGTATTTTTAGTAGAGATGGGGTTTTGTCATGTTGGCCAGCCTGGTCTCAAATTCCTGGCCCCAAGTTGTCTTCCTGCTTCAGCCTCCCAAAGAGCTGGGATTACAGGCACGAGCCACAGAGGCTGGCCCCCACATTGGCTTTTTGCCTGGGCCCCACAGTTTTGTCAGTCAGGGATAGGTCCCCTAAAGCTCTGGATGACCCTGCTCCCACTTTTCTGGGAAGAGGCCATCTGGCCTGTTGAAATTGACATAATGGTTCTCACTTTTGGAAATAAAGGAACAGGCCTGATAATCTCTGAATCACCTTTGGAGTCATTCTACTTTTGTCTTGAAAAATAATAACTGGCTTCTGTTGAGATGGATGATTAGACTTGTGGTTCACACCATACTAATTACATTATCAAATCAGTCTTGGCCACACCCTCACTGTTCTCTTTGTAATGTTCTTTCTCATTTTTGGAATATGGATAGACTGAGAATTACCCAAATCTTCAGGTTTGATTTCCTTTTAGCATAACAATTTTATCTGTAAGTCATTTCTTTCTTCTCACATTTTACTACCAAACATCAGGAAGAGCCAAGCTGCACCTTTAACACTGTCCTTAGAAATAACATAAGCTAAATATCCAGTTTTATTCTACCTTCCATAAAACACTAGAACACAAACATATTATAATTCAGCCAAGTTCTTTGTCACTATATAACAAAAATAGCATTTTCTCCTATTTCCAATAAAATGTTTATCATTTTTGCCTGAGATCTCCTCATAATGGCCTTTACCATCCATATTACTCTCAACAGTCTGTTCATGATTCATTCAGCATTCTCTAAGAAGGTTGATGCTTTCTCTAGAGCTCCTGCGTTTTTTTCTGAGCCCTCACCAAAATTACCGTACTGATCCCATGCATAACAATGTAGGCTTTTTCTAGCATGTTCCTCAAAACTTGTCTAGCCTCTACTCAGTATTCAGCTCCATAGCCACTTCCATGTTTTTAGGCGTTTGTGAGAGCAGCACTCTTACTTCTTGGTACCAATTTTCAGCTTTAGTTCATAACAAATTACCATAGACTGGGTGGCTTATAAATAACAGACATTTCTCATAGTTCTAGAGGGCATCAAGTTCTATATCAAAGTGCAGTCAGGTTCAGTATCTGGTGAGGGCTTACTTCCAGGTTCATAGACTGTCATCTTGTGCTTTAATTACTTAGTGAGCTCCCCAAGGCCCCACTTCCAAATACCATCATATTGGGGATTAGGTTTCAACATAGGAATGGGATATAAACATTTAGTCGATAACAGAGAAAAAGTTGCAGGTTGTGACAGCTGATTCCAGAAGAGGACTCTGGCCCGCAGAGGTGAGGTTAAATAATTGAAACATATATTGAGGAATATGAGGGCAATGTAGTTAAGATATGATAGTTACAAATTTTGCACAGAAGCAAAATATACTATTAAGTAATCATATATTACAATTCGTTACAGACCTTCAATGAACAGAAAGCGTGTGTCACCTTATTGTCAACTTCATTCATGAATTCACTAATTGATCTTCCCTGTTTGCCAGTAACTAATTCAGGGTTAGCTTATAATTAACAAATTTAGGGCCGGGTGCGGTGGCTTAGGCCTGTAATCCCAGCACTTTGGGAGGCTGAGGCGGGTGGATCACCTGAGGTCAGGAGTTTGAGACCAGCCTGGCCAACATGAAGAAACCCCATCTCTACTAAAAATGCAAAAATTAGCCAGGTGTGGTGGTGGGTGCCTGTAATCTTAGCTACTCAGGAGGCTAAGGCAGGAGAATCGCTTGACCCTGGGAGGTGGAGGTTGCAGTGAGCCAAGATCGCGCCATTGCACTCCAGCCTGGGCAACAAGAGCAAAACTCCATCTCAAAAAAAAAAAAAAAAAAGAAAAGAAAAAAGAAAGAAAAATTAACAAATTTAGAACTCTGAGCTTCTGAAAATCATCCTTGCTCCATGATGCATTTTATTTATCTAAATTCATAATTTTATTATTTCTAATAGATACAATTTCTCAGAGGAAAGAAAAAGACAAGTAGTTGATTTATTTTCCTTTGTTATTTATAATACATTGAAATCAATGTAAGAGCTGAGGTACTTTATACAATAAATCATTAAAATGAAGCTAAAAGAGGAAGATTCATATTAAATCAAGGATATACTTGTGCCAAAAAAATATAGACAGAGGCTAAAAGCAGCAATTGAGTACCAAGGTTGACTTTAAGCTTTTTAGAAACCAAGATAAAATGAATTTTTTTTTCTATTATGTAGACATTATTGTCTAAGAAAAGGCACAACTCTAGACTATTAGAATAAAGATTTTATAAATGTAAACTGTAAAAAATATTTAGAGAAATTGCAAAAGTCTGTTAAAATGTGATAAAATTTATAATTATAATAAAATTTAAAGCGTAAAATAAAACTAAATGCATTTCTCAATTTGAGAAAGATTAATAGTATATATACTAACATATTAAAATATACAACATACTATTCTGGGTTTCTAATGACACCCGATATTAATCATTTTTAAAAAATAAATCATGAACACTAAACTCAATAAGGATGTTTTTTTAAAAAAACTATTGAATTGCATTATGTCTAGAAACTTAATGAGAAATGATTTATTACATTTTCATAAGCCATCTTATCACTTTGCTGACATATGGTGATTTATATGAAAATAAATATACATTTTAAAAATATAAAAGCCAAGTTAAAACTAAACATAAGTATAAAACAAAATCTTCATTAGTCTTTAATTTTGATTTTCTTAGCTATTTTTTCAAGAAATTTTTACTGAGACTCTACCTTGTTTTGCGGACTATAGGAAACATCAGTCATATCAATACATTTATGACATCATACTTGTACAATCCAGTTTTGATTCAAATGCTCTGATTTTTTAACACAGATGAGAAAAACCAATTGAATACTTTGAACATACATAATCTTGAAAATAAGACCCTCTTCTGTTGGATGCAATAGTAAAATACCAAAGCTTATTATGGTTCTCTCATTCCCTTTCTATATCCTTCACTTCCAGAAACTGAGTATTTCCTATAGGAAGGAGTTCCTCACAGTGGTAATCTCGTCACCACACCACACAGGAATAATTGGATGCCCTGGATTAAGCCCTCTTGGACTCATAACTGACTATCAGTATATTGCTATGCTCCCAGGGTTTTCAGAACCAGGGAAGTATGGAAACTTTGGGTGGATTTGTTGTCAGTAGAAATACTGGGTTCTTACTTGTGATGGCCCTGCCCACTAGACTAAGGCTGTGTTCCTTCACATCCAAGTTGCATAAAAGTGAGTCACCAATAATTTCTTCATTAATACTGAGTTCAGAGATGGGGCCAGGTGTTAGGAACATCTTGTTCCCTAGCTCTTCAGGTTATATCCCTCTACTGCCATTCTAGTCTTGCTGTGCATCCTGATGATTGCACGTACCTTGATGTTTAAGTGCAACCAGTGGTCTCTATTATTATGAGATCCTTATCAGCTTCATTGCTCCCAGGGAACCCATTCCTGAAACAGCATCTCCACCACTGAACCTGACCTACAAAAGACAGTTACCCTTGTGGTTTGCTATGATGTTGGCATTGCTGTGTTTTGTAATTCTTTTTGTGGAATAGTCAGATAGGTGTGATCAAAAGAGGAGACAGAGGAGAGGCTCAGGAAAAAAACAAAGTTTATTATACTCCCAGATCCTAGAGACAGAAGACAAAGCATGCCCTGTGGTGCCATATGGGGAAAGACACCAGTGTGGTCAGGGGACAGAAGATAGGAGCAAGGGGAAGGATTAGGCCATTGACTTCATTGGTGTTTCTAAGAAAAACACAAGTCAGGGCAGGGTGAACAGTTTAGGATTGGCTAGCCTGAATAATTTTAGCCGGCTTTAGGCTGTGGCAGTGTTTCCTGTTGCCTGGTCCTGGGGTGATTAAGACTGAGAAATATTACCCTCTAGTGTGTACAGGCCACATAGAGAAGACATGGCTCTGGGTTGCTGAGTTTGCATATTAATGACATGGTCCTGGTTGTGCCTTTTGTTATTTTTAAGAATTGGCTACCAAGTCTCTCAACAGCTAGAAAGGTTCTTAAAGATGTTAAAACATCAATGCATGGAAAAATTAAAAATATATACATATTTACAATACATCTTCTCACCAGGGAATTTCTTATTAAGTTTGTGAAGCATGTCCTCTGGGCCCTCTTTTGAAGCACAGTGTGTTAGTGGGTTTTCCAGCCTTACGTACACACTCTACCATGGCCACTTCTCTGGCCCTGTTAATGTTTTCTTTGCTGTTGGCCATGATGGTTCTGACATTTCTATTTCACTTATTCGGAGCCATGTTTTGTTTGTTTTTGTTTGTTTGTTTTCAAGTTCCAACAGCCAACCTAGCAGTGTTTATGTTCTGTATTATGGGGTTCTTAACAGTCTTTTAAAGCTTTATGGTAGGATACCACTACTACTACTATATATTAAAAAACTAATGTATCAAATTTATGTTATAACCCCTTAGGTTCCAGCCTCATGCATATTCTCGTAGTTCCTGTAAATATATGTTTTCTAGGTCTTATAGCTATTATGGTGTATGTGTTCTTTTTCTCACTGTGAAGCTGAACTGTACTGGGATTTAACCCTCATTGTCTGTTGGAATGTTAGGAGGAAATGATCCTATAAAGGTACCTGCCTCATTTGAAGCCTCTGTATTGTCTTCAGGCAGGAGCAGTATGATCTTTTAACAAAAAGGGTCAGGTCACTTCTGTAGGCCCAGTGGGTACAGGGGAATCTGGAATTTCAGATTTCAGGATGGTACTTAACCAGATCCACCCCCACCCCCGATTTTTTTTTTAACTTTTATTTTAGGTTTAGGGTTATATGTACAGGTTCGTTATGTAGAAAAACTGCGTGTTTGGTGACCGGATTATTTCATCAACTAGGTAATAAGGATAGTACTCGACAGGTAGTTTTTTGATGCTTACCCTCCTCTTGACCTCCACCCTCAAGTAGGCCCTGGTGTCTCTTGTTCTCTTCTTTGTGTCCATATGTACTCAATGTTTAGCTTCCATTTATAAGTGAGAACATGTGGTATTTGGTTTTGTGTTCTTGTGTTAGTTTGCTGAGCATAATGGCCTCCAGCTGCATCCATGTTGCTGCAAGGGACACAATCTCATTCTTTTTTATGGCTGTGGAGTATTCCATGGTGTATCTGTACCACATTTTCTTTATCTTGTCAACTGTTGATGAGTATTTAGGTTGATTGCATGTCTTTCCTATTGGGAACAGTGCTGCAATGAACATATGTATGCATGTGTGGTTTTTAAAAAAACCTTTATTTTAGGTTCGGGGGCTCATGTGCAGGTTTGTTATATAGGTGAATTGTATGTCATGGGGGTTTGGTGTACAGATTATTTCATCACCCTGGTAGTAAGCATAATACTTGATAGATAGTTATCCAATCCTTGACTGAGTACAAATTCCCTTATTTCAACAAAAAGTTCCCACTTCTTTCCTACTATGGCCTTGATGTTAATTTAGGAGATCTCTTAAGATTGATGATTCAACGTTTTCTGAAATTTTCTGCTATAGTTTCGTCCTAAGCCTTGTTCACTGCTCTCTGACTTTCAGATGCAAAATATCTGGGTTTCCATAAATCATGCCTAGAAGCCACTCTGGGTTTCACACTTTGCTTTGATTTGGTGATTAATCACCCTGACCCTGTCATTACCTCTCTTCAACAAACAATGGAAGTCAGTAGCACTCACCCAATGCCATAGTATTTATAATTACCAATCCTGTCGTATTTCTCTAGTGGCAAGGATATCATACCAGTTTAGGATGTCCCTTTCTACTGATACCACATTCCAGTTAACCATTAGTGGGATCTTAACAATTGCATTGCTACAGCATGGCAGAGACTAGCCATACTCCAGTTAACTACCAATTATGGCTTCTCAATGCAAGCTAACTGACAATTGATTCATTTCCAAAATTTTATGTAAGAGTATGTTTTTTAGAACTGACCTTCATAGAAGCTCTCTTAAGATGTGTTCTTCAGAAGCAAAATCTGATCTAGAAATTGTAACAGAAGATTTATTGAGGATTGTTTTTGAGTAATACACTGTAGGGAACTGAGGAAATCAAGATTGGTCAAAGAAAGAACGTATGTTACAACATGGCTGGAAGTGAATCTTCAACCAATTCTACAGAAATCTCTGGAGCTAAATAGTCTTTCAGAATTATTATTAATGGAGATAAGGAAACTGGAACTTGTATCTTTACATCTTCCAGTCATTGACTGCAGACAGTTTAGGCAAGGATGGTTCCTGTGGCCAATGGCAATTCCCAGTGAAGGGCACACAGTATGAGCCCATCATCTACCAATACTTCCAGTAGCTGGGAGATGGGTGCTTGACCCTAGAGAGGTGATCTAGAGAGAACACCATAGTTCATAGGATATCAACATAATATCATGAAAAAAGTATAGGATATAATTTACAATTTATTGTCCTTAGAAAATTGCAATCTATTAGAAAGAAGCTAACATTTTTGAAACAGCTAAAAGGACACTGATGTATTTAATTATATTGTGATGTATTTACTGTAAGTCCTATCAACCTATACATTTTCTTATTGTGAGAAAGTGAGAATCTGGCATCCATATTGGGTTCCTGAGGCCTGTTGGGCATGATGGATTTTGCTCCTGCAGGACCTGGCCTCTTGGCACCTGTGTTTTCTTTTACAACTTTCTGTCCTCAAATGGGCATGTCCTGCACACTGAATTCCTCACTCACCAGCAACTTGAGATAGCATTACCAAAAACATGCCTCACAGAAACCATCACTGGCTGTTCCAAGTTCTACTCTGGCTGCCTTATGGCTCTGAATTTATTTCCACACAGACAATCACACCTTCCCCTTTCCTCCCATAGTAATTTGGCATACCTCTTTTATCTGCCTACATTGAAATTATTCGTTCTCTTCTCTGATACCACTTGTTTTCCTCTTCCACAGCATACAATTCCTGCAGAAGGATGGCTATATCTTATTCACTTTTAAAATTCATTCATCAAATGGTCATTGTACTTAATTAGGCAGTTGGGGATACTGACATGCTTAAGACAAAGCCACTGCTTTCAGTGAAATAGCAATCTATTAAAGGAAACCAAAGTGTGTAAAATAAATTACAATGTAGCATGATAACTTACTACATTTTTATATATTTATGTACAAATATTGGGTTGGTAAATTTTGAACTATTTAGTGATTGTTCAACATAGCATCCTAGTATAGGCTTTTGCTTTTGCCCATGTAATTCTTTACATCTGAATTGCTCCTTCATTTACCTAAATCTTATTCTTTCAAGACTTAATTGGAATGGGTGGTCTGACTTTTATAGAGTCTCAAGAGACTATATTTAAGTCTGAGTTAGCTGAACTTAATTTATACTTTCATAGCAAATACATCTATAATAGCATTTATTATTAATGCAGCCATCATTTAATAATTATTCCTATTATTTTGTAATTGCTACTTTTTATTGACTACTGTATGTTGAACGCTGTCCTATGTATTTTGCATGCATTTTATATTAGTTTTCAATACTATCTTAAAAGTAAACATTATTGTATTCCTTTTACTACAGATATGATCGTAATCATTATGACTCAAAAGCAGCTTCTTGGTACCTCAGGATGGTTTAACTATTGTACATTGTTCATAACCAGGGAATCTTTATTTTTATTTTTACTTACTCTAAGAAAAAAACTAAAATTCTCTTATGTCTTATTTCTTGAGAGACATCCCCTATAGAGGTAAATAAAATAACAGTATATTTTACGACATCCACTAGTCCTTAGATACAGTATTATTTTTCCAGATACTAGCCTTATGTTCCTGGCCATCTAGATTGTCTCACTTTCTGGTGTTGATTTTTACAGGAACATTGTGAAATTTCATTAAAAGTATTCATTAGGATATGAGGATAATATTATACATTTTAGAAAAAGTTAGTTTTCTAGACAGAAAATGTGCATCAAGCCTGGGTAAATTATTCGCTCTTATTTACAAATCTTTTTCAAATCTATTTCCATCTTAACTTTCTGGAAGTATCATCCCAAGCCCTGAGGTAGTTTTATGCTCTTACATATGTTCTCCTACCTCATTTAATTTACCGATGAGGAAAGAAAACAAAAGTGGCCTGAAAGTTAAATTTCTTCTAGCAAGATAAAAATATGTTAGAGCAGAAATTCTGTGAATTACTATTCAGGCTTGTAGAACATTCTTAAATATGAATCCACACAGAAGACAAAAACGGAAAATGAACAATATATAATGGAAATATATATAGTTTGTAATTATATATAATTATGTATTAAATATATAAATATGTATTATATATATTGTTATATACAGTAAATGTATATATACACATGCAATGTTTATGTGCATATGTGTATGTGTATATATGTGTGCAGGTATATATGTAACATATATATATATATATATATATATATATATATATATTCACTTCTGTATTACCTGTATTGCATGAAAAAATAACCTAGATGTATATAACTTTCAAGCAAGAGTTATCTAAATTTTAAAGCAATTCTCTAAACATGTAGGCCTTCAAGTGTTCTCCTAGTTAAGAAAAAATACAAAAGTTTTTCAACCTTGAATCTTTATCTTTAGCATACCATGTATCCTTTATAAAAATAACTTACAGCTGTTCTCTTTTAAATATATATGTACATATATGGAGGCTTCGGTCATAGTGACTAATGCAAATAATTTCATGATCACTTTCACAGACTGAATACATTGCTCTCTTTACAGTCTTTTAATATCATAATGTAATTTTTCTGAATTTTCAGTAATTGTGGCTATTAGGTGATGAAAATCATTTCATGCTCAATGAAAAGCAAAATACATTTAATGCTCATAGAAGTCAAAGGAACCACTGAAAATGTATCTCAGTTTGCCTTTATAGCATCTGTTTCTCTTTGTGAGTTAAGAAAGTCACACTGGGAGAGAAACGGGTGCTGGAAGGCTGCTCTTACAAGAGACTATTAACCTCAGAATATGGTAAGCGTTGAGAAATATATTTTTTTCCTCGATTCACATTCAGTTGCAACTTTCTCTCCATTTAGCTTGTCAAATGCTTTTGTCTGCCCATATTCTATCTCTTTTCCTGATGTGTTGTAACTGAAAGACTGCTAACAGAATGCTAATATGCTAAGTGCTTTAGTTTAAGCTTATGAAAAAAACTTTTTGGTTGCTGTGCTGCTTTTCTTCTGAAGCATTATAGTTTCCTTTGTAAAAAGCAAATATCATGTTTTCAAGGTCACCAGTTAGTTTTTAGTAACGTCTGTTTAACATAGTGATTCCTTCTTTGTGGAATAAGGGTAGGAATGTTTTAAATCATTCCTTATTTGAAGAGACGTGAACAGAACTTGATGAAATTCTCATTTCTGAGAACAGTTGCCAAAGGAATGATGAAACTAAATGTTTTTTCTTTCAATTTTTTGTTATACTAATAATTAAAGTGGCATTATTATGGGGAAAGCTCAATCTGCCTGTAAATATCAAATATCCCATGAAACCATAATTATATGCCACTGAGGTATATTTAAAATAGAAACAGCTCTAGTGACTATACTCCAAAACAAGCTGTCATAAAAAGAATATTTTTATGTTTTACTTACCAGATTCAAAGATCTGTTTGAAACAAAATGCATACATGCCTCTAGTTTCGAGAAATAATTTAAAAGGTACCTCAGATAATGTGCCCAGCAAATATTTTCTCATGACTGGATTGTATTTGAATAGCAGTTGAATAGCACTGACCAGTGGGAAAAATGGTCTATAATAGGGTTGCTATGCTTTTAGGATGTTTCTTCAAAACTCATTTTATTAAAAAAATTCAATTTAGAGTGATGATTCATAACAACTTGTTATTGAAAAAACTCGATGCATGCAAAATAAGAATGAGTTTCTTTTTTGCTTATTTGTCTTATATCCATTTACCAAAAAAAATGCACCTAGGCATGCCACCTGATCTGATTTTACTTAATTATGACTGTTTATAGAAGTTATCATTGGAATTGAAGAGCCAAACAGTCATGTTCATGGGGTGACTGTACTTAAAGATCATTTAGTTGGGACTAGGTTCTTTGGCAGGAGTATTTATGATGAATTTTAAAAATCTTTACATGATAGTTTTACAGGTACATTAATGTTTCATTCAAATTTAAAAACATCTGTTTATGTTTTAAAAACATCTGTTTCTGCCTTGCCTTAGCTTTACTGTCGTAAATAATTAATTCATGACTAAACCAATATTGGTTATTATACTTTTACTAATTTATTCTCTACTCTTAATAATTATGTTTGCTTTAGAAAGATTATTTTCACCTCCCTGTTTATAACCTAAAATATAGTCAAAAGGGTACTGTATTTGTTATTAGGAAACCTGTGTTCAAGGCTAGTTTGTCACAACAAATTGTAATTTTTAATGTCCCTTGGATTCAATTTTTCTACCTGTGTAACCAAAGAAACATCTAACATTATCTTATTTTTACTTCAAGGTGAAAAGAAAATCTTTGAGGTTTTGGTGCTTATATTTTATCCTATTTACCAATGTCAGCAAAGTAGACTAGAGACAAAATAAAGAGAATCTCCCATTTTTCTTATCTTTATTTTTCTGGTAATTTCATTTCCTTTGTGAAGTAGATTTGAATACAGTTGGAAGTTTCTGATTCCACCTATATTCTGTGACTTCCAAAACTACAATTCTGCTTCTACCTATAATCATCGATCTTGGGAATTTAAGAAAGCACAAATAAAAGTAGTGAAATCATGTAACAGAACAAATTTAATCTTTTCCGTTAGATGCTTCTTGAGCTAATACATCTTTCCCTTAACTGTCAGGGTTTTTTCTTCATATGATTAATAAACATAATGGAATAATGAGTACTCATTGAGCTCTAAGCTGTAGGAAATATGCTTTATTTTAGCAATATAAAGTCTAAAATTAAATTGATCTCTGTCTGTTTAACATTGTTGCAAATATTTAGTCATCTTTATTCAGTGTTACATCTTTTTTGCTTATCAATCTACTCCTCTTATTTGATTTTTGAAAGTAATACACTGCATATCTTAAACAATTGTTGCCTCGTCTTAAGCAACGATATTTGGTAAACATGAATTTGATTAAATCTCACCTATTTTTTTATGTAATGGGTACGTCTAAAAATGAGCTCTGTCACAAAGGATGAGAACTTTATTTCCTCTCAACTTTCAGAGATTCTCTATTATACTTCCATTTAATCAGAGTAAAAAAACAAACAATAAAACAACAACTACAAAATGATCCTCACTTCTATGGGTGTGAGATTTATTTGGGATGTGTTTGGTTTTTGTTTCTCTGGTTTGAGATACTTTAAAAATGTGAGAGAAAATATTAAGTACTGAATTATTTCAATTGCAGTAAGTAGTAAAAAAGGAGATAAATACTGTTTCCAGGTAACAAAAAATATTTCACAGTTATATCCGCCGGATCATACTGAACATCTACATAGATAACAGGGAGTATTGTGTGCACAGAGTGGTTTAGTTATCAGATAAATACCATCCACAACACCTAAATTTTTTCACAGCAGAAATAATTCATCCCAAGGCAGAGATTATGATATATGATATAGTATTAAAAAATGTAACCTAGGCCTTAGAAATTTTTTTTGAGATAGGTTAGTAACTCTAACTCTACTCAACTTTATGTTTTCTAAATTTAGCATTTGCATGTAGCTTTCAATCAATTTAGCACCAGGAAATACCCAGATTTTTGTTACAACATTCCAGATTTATTTAAAAATTTTTAATTCTAGAAGTGCTTTAATTTAAATATAATAATTAAAACAATAAGATAACCTCTCATTGAAAATGTAAATTATTGATAATTTAACCTGCCAGAGACACTTATTTAGACTTTCTAGAAATTAATATGTTTAGGTTCATAAATAATTTAGAACGTTTGCATGCTAAAGGCAAAGAATAATTTTCTATATTTATTATTTGTATACCAAATGCAAATATTCTCTGTATACCTCTGTAAAGAAAAATCTCAATGAAATGGAGATGCCCCTCCTGGCTCTGTTTTTTCTCCTTAGATTTTTACCTCAGCTATTTTCTTGTTAAATAAATCTCATCTCTGGACTATTTAAAAAAAACTTGTACTTTGATAAATCTTGGCTTGCTTTACCCAAGAAGCTTCCCTTCTATTTCTTCACATATAATACTCAAAGTCATTCTCCCAGAATCAACCCGAAACTTTTTGAAACTTATCCTTGTAAGTTTTTACTATCTCGTATTGCCATAAAATGATATTCGTATCTAGCAGTTGCAATTATTTTGTTTTTTGGTTTGCTGGTTTACATTTTTGAGTCTCTCATTTGCTTTTGCAGACTAAGGTGGAGAACACATCTTCTTCATTTTGTATCATTTATGTCTGGCATAATTCCTGGCTCATAATATGCAATGTTTTGAAAGAATGACCAGCAAGTCACATCTATATAAAACTAAAGAAATTAGTTAGTGTTTTATTCACTGGAAACAGAAGTTAAACAAGAAATGTTGATTGAATTTTTCCTTTGCAACTAACTATTGAATACCATGAAGACACTGCATTAAACAGTAGAGGAGATTACTGGGCTCAGTAAAATATTTTACCTTAACTTCAGTAAAATATTTATTTTGCAGTACTATGGAGGATAGACTAGAAGCAGGAAAAAGATTGGCACAAGAAATGAGTGAGGAAATCATGATGATAATGTAATTGCCAAAAGATACTGAAAAACTGAACTTCGGCAAAGACAGTTAGAGTGAAGGAAAATGCGAAACCTTTTAGAGTCAGAAAAACAAGATTTGGTGACAGCTGGTTATATGCAAGATAATGATGGGGAGATAGGAGTCTCAGATTATTTATTGTTTGAATGACAGTCACAGAAATATGAAATGAAGCAGTATGAAAAGATTATATTTATTCTTTTATGACTTGAAAAATGGGAGTAATAAAGATGATTATTTAAGTTTTAAAAATGGACTCATTGGAGTACTAATGCACAATTCAGATAGAGATATCCAGAAGATAAGAATAAAGTATAAGGGTCAAGCAACATTCCTGGACAAAAAAAACAACATCTTAGAGATCATAATCAGAAAAATGACAACTTAAGGCAACAGTTTACAAATGAGATTATGTAGAATTCTATGAGAATTGAACAGAAAACCCTAAGGACACTGCAAGGAAAAGGTTTGTACAAAAGGAGCTGAGAAAAAAATCTGAAGAGAAATCCTTTAAAGATAGGTATCAAAAAGTCAAGAGAGAAGGTAATTTCAAGAAGAGTGATGATACACAACACCAAATCTATGAAGATTAGAGCAAGCTAAAACCAACTTTATAAACATTAGTCTATTTTCTCATTAATAATTTTGATTTTATGCTCAATACAGATAAATTAGGAAAAAATTTCCTGAATAGTGAAACACGAAATGTAAATAGCAAAAATACATACAAATATGTTCACATATGAAAAGAACACTCATTTGAAATATAACCAAAGATTAAATTGTGTCACCTAATTTAAGGGGCATACAAAACTTTAATAAAAATCATATAAAATGTTAATGTGAAAATAAAGAATGTTTTAACAAATTAAATTGTTTACTCTCATCTGAGGAAGAAACCTAATGTATTAAACAGAAAATTATATTCCAAGTTGAATGCAGAATTTTTGCTTAATATTTATTATGTGCCATCATATGCTAACTATTATACTACTTGAAAGGCAAAGTTGAAAAATTTAATGGTCTAATAAGAAAATATGTTAACATGCTTGATATGGAAAAATAAGCAGGCAAGAAAACTATTGTGTAAAAAGAGTCACAATAGAACATATGTTCCACCAAACTTAAAACATATTGGTCAAGATGGCTGCCTAGAAGCAGCCAGTGTGTGTGTCTCTAATGAAGAGCACTGAAAAGTCAAGTAAATACCACACCTTCAATTGAAACATTCAATTGAAAAGAGGAAGTCAAACTATATCTGTTTGCAAATGACATGATTCTATATCTATAAACTCCACCGTCTCAGCCCAAAAGCTCCTTCAGCTGATAAACAACTTTAGCAAAATTGCAGAATACAAAATTGATGTACAAAACCACTAGCATTCCAACAACAACAGCAAAACCAAGAGCCAAATCAGAAAGGCAATTACATTCACAATTGCCAGAAAATGAATAAAATACCTAGGAATACAGCTAACCAGGGAGGTGAAAGATCTGTACAATGAGAATGACAAAACATGGCTCAAAGAAATCAGAGAAGACTCAAACAAATGGAAAAACATTCCATGCTCATGGCTAGGAAGAATTAATATTTAAATGGCTATACTGCCCAAAGCAATCTACAGATTCAATGCTATTCCTACCAAACTACTAAAGACATGCTCCACAAAACTAGAAAAACCCATTTTAAAATTCATATGGAACAAAAAAGAGCCCAAATGGCCAAGTCAGTTCTAAAAAAAAGAACAATGCTGTAGCCATCACGTACCTGACTTCAAACTGTACTACAGGGCTCCAGTAACCAAAACAGCATGGTACTGTTACAAAAACAGGCACATAGATCAATGGAACAGAATAGAGAGCCCAGACATAAGGCCACACATCTATGACCATCTGATCATCGACAAAGCTGACAAAAACAAGCAATGGGGAAAAGACTCCGTATTCAATAAATAGTGCTGGGATAACTGGCTAGCCATATGCAGAAAATTGAAGCTGGACCTCTTCCTTATAGCATACACACAGATCAACTCAAGATGGATTAAAGACAAATGTAACACCTCAAATTATAAAATCCCTGGAAGACAACCAAGGTAATACCGTGTTGGATATAGGAAGGGGCAAAGATTTCATGACAAAGACACCAAAAGCAATTGAAATAAAAGCAAAAAAAATGACAAATAGTATCTAATTAAATATAGTAGCTTCTGCATAGCAAAGGAAACTATCAACAGAGTAAGCAGACAGTCTACAGAATGGGGGAAAATTTTTGCAAACTATGCATCTGACAAAAGGCTAATAACCAGCTTCTATAAAGAACTTAAACAAATTTACAAAAGAAAAATAAACAACTCCATTAAAATGTGGGCAAAAGACATGAACAGACACTTCTCAAAAGAAGACATACATGCAGCTAGCAAGCATATGATAAAAAGCTCAATATTACTGATCATTAGAGAAATGCAAATCAAAACCACAGTGAGATACCATCTCACATCAGTCAGAATGGCTATTATAAAAAAAAGTAAAAAAAAAAAAAACAGATGCTGGCAAGGTTGTGGATAAAAGGAAACACATACACCGTTGGTGTGAGTGTAAATTAGTTCAACCATTGTATAAAAAGGTATGTCTATTCCTCAGAGAGCTAAAAGAAGAACTACCATTCGACTCAGCAGTCCCATTACTGGGTATATACCCAGAGGTATATAAATCATTCTGTCTTAAAGACACATGCATTGTGAATGTTCATTGCAGCCCTATTCACAATAGCAAAGATGTAGAATCAATCTAAATGCTTATCAATGATGGATTGGATAAAGAGAATTTGGTAAATGTATGCCATGGAATATTATGCATCCATAAAGAAGAACGAGATCATGCCTTTTGTTGGAACATGAATGGAGTTGGAGACTATTGTCCTTGGCAAACTAATGGGGAACAGAAAACCAAATACTGCATGTACCTACTTATAAGAGGGAGCTGAATGGTAAGAAGAGATGAACACAAAGAAGAAAACATCAGACACTGGGGCCTACTTGAGAGAGGAGGGTGGAGGAGGGAGAGGAGCAGAAAAGATCTCTGCTGGGTTATCTTTGAGATAACTATTGGGCTTAATACCTGAGTGATGAAATTATATGTACAAAAGCCCCTGTTACCCATTTTTACCTTTGTAACAAACCATTACACATACCCCCAAACCTAAAATAAAAGTTAAAAGATATTGTAAAAATTGTTGAAATTGTATGACAACTTGGTTTATATATGAATTAGTTAGTTGACAAAGAAATTTTAGAAACAGTAAAACTTATACAGTCATTTGGTGTGTGACACATAAGATGTCATATATTAGAAACAAAATGTTAAATATCATCATGAAGAAAAAATCAATTTATTTCTCACACCAAATAGAACACTAAAATTCTTGATGAGTTAGACTCTTTAAAATTAATAGGAAAATACAATTTGTAATATCTAAGGGTAAGTCTAAGGAGAAACATGAAGTATCAATAGGACTCTGAGTGAATATCTCTTTCTTGCAAGAAATTTTATTTATTCAACAACACTTATTGAAGCTCTATTGTGTAAGAGGAATTTGGTTAGGTGATGGGGGCACAATAATAAATGAAACCCATGGACTAGTCTGTTTTCATGCTGCTGATAAAGCCATATCTGAGACTGGGTAATATATACATATATATATATAATATAGTTTTAATGGACTCAACAGTTTCATGTGGCTAGGGAGGCCTCATAATCATCGTAGAAAGGGAAAGGCACATCTTATGTGGCAGCAGGCAAGATAGAATGGAAGCCAAGTGATAGGGGAAGCCCCTTATAAAACCATCTGATCTTGTCAGACTAATTCACTATCATGAGAACAGTATGGGGGAAATCACCGTTATGATTCAATTATTTACCACCAGGTCCCTCCCACAACAGGTTGGAATTATGGGTGCTACAATTCAAGATGAGATTTGGATGGGGATGCAGCCAAACCATATCAATCCATAATGTCCATAATGCTATAGGAGGGCAGAAGAGGTTTACGTACTCCATCTTGAAATACCTGGAAGGTAAAACATCATAGATTATCTTCCACATAAAGCGTTTCATAAATTGAGACCTGAAAGATGATTTTCCAGAGGAATAGAATCAGTTGAAGAATGGAAAAATTTCCAATAATCAAAAACAAGTGAAACGTTACAACATGAAAGAGTATGGCAGATTAGAAAAAAATAAAGTTACTTGAGTTTGGCTGACTGAGAAGATAGCAACAGTATGTCAGAGGAATTAAGAGCCTTAGAAAACTTGCTGAGGATCTTGGACTTTATTGTAAGTGTATTGGGAAACCATTGCATGATTAAAGTAGGAAGTTATACACTCATAAGTAAGAAACAATAACTGTGAAGATGAACAGATAAGTATATCTCTTTATTGATTTATTTTGAGTTGGAGGACTCAGTAATTAACTGAGCGTGGGGGATAAAGGAACGTGGGCACTCAAAAGTAACACGTACCTTGTGTTTTGAGCATGTTATGGTCTGAGTGTTTGTGTCCTCACAAAATCCCTATGTTGAAACCAAATAGACAATATAATGGCTCTTGGGAAGTGATTAGATTCTATCTTCACGGATTAGATTAATACCATTATAAATGAGGCCCCAATGGCTGCCTTTTTTCTCTTACCACATGAGGACAAAGCAAAAAGGTGCCATCTACAAAACAAAAACTGAGCCCCTTCTGACACCAAATTGGCTGGCACCTTGGTTATTGGATTTTACAATCTTCAGACCTTTGAGAAATACAGTTTTGTTGTTTAAAAATTATCTGGTCTTGGCATTTGTTACAGCATCTAAAATGGACTAAGACAGAGCACCTGGGTAGATAATGATGCCATTTGTTGAAACATGGCAGATTTCGTGAAAAGCAAATTAGGAGTAGAATAATTTTTAAATTCCATTTTGGAAGTGTTACATTTAAAATGCATGGTAAAATCCAAGAGAATATTTTAAATACATAGCTGGAGAGAGGTGAATATTAAAACATTAACCTTACAAGTTTGGGAAGCATTCAGTATATATGTAAAGTAAACTGGATTAGATCACCCATATAAGAGAAGAGACAAGGATATGAGAAGAAAGAAGAGTCACTTCTGGTAATGGTGAGCTAAGTAATTTAAAATAAACTTCCTGCTGAGTACAATTTGCAAAGATGGAGAAAACATCTGTAAATATCTGACTGATGTCACAGGAAAGCTAAAGAAGAATTATGGGGGCATTACCAGGAAATAGAAGCAAATCCAGAGAATTGAATCCAGGACCTGAGACTACTTTTCTTCTGCAGTGTCTGCCCGTTTTTATATATATACACATATGTATATATAAATACATGTTTATATATATATAAACAAAAACAAAACAAAAACAAAACCAAGAAACTAACCAGTGCTTTTAATGGCCTCACAGAGCTATGAGGAAAGAATTTAGACCCTCAAAATGTCTATGCTATAAATCAGGGTTTCCCAACTAATGTTTCACAGAATGCTTGACTTTGAGAGAAGACACAAGAGTCATGTGAGAAATTATTATTAAAAAATAAACATGGAGTTTAAAAGGTTGTATTCTTATCAGCCACTCAGCAATATCTTTATGGGTCTTTAAAACCTCTATCACAGAATACAATAGGAATGTATTCATTCGGTGGGTCCATTCCCAGTTTTGATGTGAGGTAGGTGTTACAACCCCCACCTTATGTACCAATGGCATGTAGAAGCAAAAAAGCTCTACCTACATAACAAAAAATTGGAAGGAAATTTTGCTCTGAAGAAGAAATTTGTATTTGCATTGACTCGGTTACCCTTTAATACTTTCCTATAATTGTAAAAGTTGTTAAACTTGAAATGTGTAGTTTATAAGTCAATTGCATTATTAACTATTTATAAATTTTGTAATTTTCTCATTAATTTTATGCTATACCTTTTAATTCGCATTTTAATTATTTTCTTTTTTTTTTTTACAAATATATCTGACTTGTTTAACTTGGTGATTTGTTAAGATAACATGAAAAATTGCAGAGAAAAATTCTAAGCCAAGGCCTATGAAAAATCCTGAATAGGTTAGCAATGGAGAGTTATAATTTTCTAAGTCATTTCACTATACTGATGTAACAGAGATCTAAAAAATTTTCATCTTTACAAAAAAGTTATCAATGGATTTTTACATTAGCTGGCAATCCAAATTATCCCTCCATTATGATAGTCTATGGCTCCAGAAAAATCGAAAAGATAGCTAAAGTAAAAAAACAAAAATTTGGTAAGTAAAGTTGATGTGTATCTCAAAACAAACAAAATGAATCTTTCGTTTCAAAGGCAGCATTCAGTAAAAGCGGTCTAGAAGTAAGTTATTGCCAAGAAAAGGGAAAAATCATAGTTCTTGAGAACCTACTATTGTCAGCATGCAAAATAATAGTGACTCAAATACTAAACAAGATTCAGTATAAGAAACCAAAAGTGTTCTAATTTTAAGTAGTATGATAAATTGACATACCGATGATATTCCCCATGATGTTTAAAAGATTTTGTGTGATAAACTGGAAAACGAGCTCTATAGCCAAATTGACGTTAACAAATTTCACCAACAAATGTCATGCTGTATCATTTGTAAAAACTATAAATTATAGTGATATTCAGGAAAATAGTTTCTTCTGCATAGTGTTTCCCACAAACAGACATAAGCCAAGACATATTTTATATTTTGTCTTAATATGTGGAAAAGCATTGATATTTTGGAAGGTTTCTATTGTAATCTGTTTTGGTTGCACCTAATCAAAGATAGACTACGTGAAATATTTTTGCCTCTCTTATAACAAAAAGAAAATCCTGAAATTATTAAAACACACTGTTTTCTCCACAGAGAGCTGCTAATATTAAATATTCTTAGAAATAAAATGGAAAAACTTCTGTGTAATGCTATAAAATAGTTAATTATATTAAACTCAGTCCAGTTCAGCTAGGAATGGCTTATTTAAAAAATTGTAATAATGCGAATAAAACTAATTTAATTTCCCTGTTAAATACAGAACTTTCATACCTCAATCAAAAGAAAGGTTCAACTCCGTGAGATGAAACCACACATCACAAAGAAGTTTCTCAGAAAGCTTCTGTCTAGTTTTTATGTGAAAATATTTCCTATTTCTTCACATAAAAACTGTGAAGAACTGAAAAGTGTTTGAACTGAAAAGTAAATTATTGGAATACTTTCAAGAATGCACTGGGTAGATTTCACTGAGTACCTTGAAGATGAATAATAGTTGTAGAGCCAGTCTACTTTGATGACATTTTTAATACATGAACCAATTGCATAAGACTACAAGATCCTAGAAAAATGTCTTAATTTTAAATAAAAATTTAATTGAATTAAAAATAAAACCAAATTTTTGGAAAATTTTATGTGCAAAAGAATAACAATAAAACACTTTCTCTGCTCTCTGGACTTGAGGGTGAGAAAGGATATTAGCAAATGTCAAGTACTATTGAAAACCACCTGGAGGGAATGCAGTACAAAATTGAACAGTGCTTTCCTTCCCTTTGAAAACAAGTGCATGATTTGGTGCAGGACATTTTATCTTAATCTTCTGCTCAGCCTGATCATTTGACTTTGAGAGAAGAGTTAGAACTTTTTGGGCTACAGCCTGATCATACACTCAGATAAGATTTAAACATCTGCCCCTAGATAAGTCCTAGATATCTGTGAACTAAGAGTTTTTTTGCAATTTAGTGGGAATTGGTGAATCTTTTGCTTCAGCTTTAGAATTCCTACATGTGTGAGCAAGTTTGTTCCTTTTTAACTAACAAGAACAAACTCATTATCTCATTGTAGTTGAAAAATAAAGGTCTGCTTATACTTAACTCAAGTTAGACCCCAAATTAAATGTGTGCCACAAAAGAACAAGCAGAATTTTCATATTGATATATAAATCATATTTTTGACTTTTAGTTTTAAAAGTGACAGTCTAGAATTCTACATGCACTCAACATATAATGTCAAAGACTTGATATACCCTCCCACATGGAATAAAAGAGAAGGAGGGATAAAATATGAAACAACAGTTTTCAAGACATTGTACATTGGTCAATAATCCCTAAGAGAGAAGAAACAAATGAGATGAGCTAAGTCCAGTCCTAAGAGAATTAGAAGACACAGTACTCAGCACTCTCACAAGGCCAGGAAAAGTGCCTCTTTGCAAGAGTCAGAGTGAAAAAAGTCAGAATTCACAGGACATTGTGTACAATACTCAAGAAGTATTGCCTCAATAGTAGGGAATAAATAGCCTGTATCGGAACGCTATTTTTGATCTTCCTAACAAATTATAAAAGCAAAATAAAAAGAATCAAATTATTTTCTAGTAACAAACTGAAGCCTAGATTAAAATGCAGGAATATTTACAATTATCCAGCACCCTACAAAGTCAAATTCAACAATATTTGTCATCTAATCAAAGATTACCAGACATTCTAGACATAGGATTATGTCATCTGCAAAGAGTAATATTTTGTCTTCCTCTCTTCCTATTTGGATGCCCTTTATTTCTTTCTCTTGCCTGATTGCCCTGGCCAGAACTTCCAATACTATGTTGAATAGGAATGATAAGAGGGGGAATCCTTGTTGTGTGACAGTTTTCAAGGGGAATATTTCCAGTTTTTCCCCATTCAGTATGATGTTGGCCACAAATTTGTCATATAAGGCTCTTTTAATTTTGAGGTATGTTCCTTCAATACCTTGTTTATTGAGAGTTTTTAACATGAAGGGATGTTGTATTTTATCAAAAGTCTTTTCTGCATCTGTTGAGGTAATCATGTGTTTTTTGTCTTTAGTTCTGTTTATATGATGACTCATTTATTGATTTGTGTATGTTGAACCAACTTTGTATCTTGGGGATGAAGCCTACTTGATCATGGTGGATTAGTTTTCTGATATGCTGCTGGATTCAGTTTGTCAGTATATTTTTTTGAGAATTTTTACATGGATGTTCATCAAGTTTATTGGCCTGAACTTTTCTTTTTTGTTGTATCTCTGCCAGGTTTCAGTGTCAGGATGATGCTGGCCCGATAGAGTTATGGAGGAGTCCCTCCTTTTTCAATTTTTGGGAATAGTTGCAGTAGGAGTGTTCCTGGCCCTTTGTACATCTGATAGAATTCAGCTGTGAATCCCTCTGGTCCTGAACTTTTTTTGGTTGGTGAGCTATTTATTACTGCCTCAGTTTCAGAACTTGTGATTAGTCTGTTCAGGGATTCAATTTCTTCCTTGCTCAGTCTTGGGAGCATGTTTGTGTCCAGGAATTCATCTATTTATTCTAGGTTTCCTAGTTTATGTGCACAGAGGTGTTTATAATATTCTCTGATGCTTGTCTGTATTTCTGTAGGATCAGTGGTAATATCCCTCTTACCATTTGTGACTGTATTTATTTGACTCGTCTATCTTCCTTATTAGTCTAGCTAACAGTCTATTTTTTTTTTTTTCAAAAAAACAGCTCCTGTATTCACTGATCTTTTAAATGTGTTTTTGTGTCTTTAGCTCTTTCAATTCAGCCCTGATTTTGGTTATTTCTTGTCTTCTGCTAAGTTTTGGGGTTTGTTTGCTTTTGGTTTTCTGATTCTTTTAGTTGTGATATCAGGTTTTTAACTAGAGATCTTTCTGACTTTTTGATGTGGGCATTTAGTATATAAATTTCCCTCTTAATACTGCCTTAGCTCTGTCCCAAAGATTCTGGTATGTTCTATCTTTGTTCTCATTATTTTCAAAGAACTTGATTTCTGCCTTAATTTCATTATATACACAAAAGTCATTCAGGAGCAGGTATTCAATTTCAATGTAATTGTAAGGTTTTGAGTGAATTTCTTAGTTTTGAGTACTAATTTGATTGGGGTCATGCCCCAAGACACTGTTTGTTATTAATTCAGTTCTTTTGCATTTGTTGAGGAGTGTTTTACTCCTGATATGTGATCGATTTTAAAGCAAGTGCTAAATGGCAATGAGAAGAATGGATATTCTGTTTTCGGATAAAAAGTTCTGCAAATATCTATCAGGTCCATTTGATCCAGAGCTGAGTTAAGGTCTTGAATAACTTCATTAATTTTCTGTCTCAATAATCTAATATTGTCAGTGGAATGATGTCTCTCATTATTATTATGTGGGAGTCCATGTCTCTTTGGAGCTCTCTAAGATCTTGCTTTATGAATCCGGGTGCTTCTGTGTTGGGTGCATATATGTTTAGGATAGTTAGATCTTCCTGTTGAATTGAACCCTTTGCCAATATGTAATGCCCTTCTTTGTCTGCATTTCCTGAATTTAAATGTTGGCTTGTCTTGCTATTTGGGGAACTTTTCATAGATGATATTTTGAAATATATTTTCCAAATTGGTTTCATTCTCCCCATCTTTTCCAGGTACACCAATCAGTCATAGATTTGGTCTTTTTACATAATTCCATATTTCTCAGAGGTTTTGTTCATTCTTTTTAATTCTTTTTTTTTCTCTATTTTTTCTGCCTGTCTTATTTTAGAAAGACAGTCTTTAAACTCTGAGATTCTTTCCTCCACTTGGTCTATTCTGCTATTAATACTTACAATTTCATTATGAAATTCTTGTAATGTGTTTTTCAGCTCGCTCAGGTTAGTTACATTCTTCTTTATATTGGTTACTTTGTTTGTCAGCTCCTGCAATGTTTCATCATGGTTTTTAGTTCCCTTGCATTGTGTTACAACACGGTCCTTTAGCTCATTGCAGTTCATTTTTATCCACATTCTGAATTCTACTTCTGTCATTGCAGCCATCTCAATCTCAGCCCAGTTCTGAACCTTGCTGGATAGCTGATGTGGTCATTTGAGGAAAGAGCGCACTCTGGCTTTTTGACTCTTCAGCATTCTTGTATTGATATTTTCTATTTCTTGTGGGCTTATCTACCATCAAACACTGGTGTTGTTGACCTTTAGTTTTTTTTTTTTAATTTTTATTTTTTTGTCTGGCTGCTTTTCTGAAGGGCTGCTGCAGCTTGCTGGGGAAAACTACAGACCACAGTTGCCTGGGATTTTCCAGTACCTGGAGGTATCACCAGTGGAGGCTATGAAACAACAAAGGTGGCAGCCTCCCCCACCCTCTGGGAGCTCAGTCCCAGGGGGGCTGGACCTGTTGCTGTACTGAACACAACTGTAGGAGGTAGCTGGAGTCCTGAATTGGGAGGTCTGAGCCCCAAAGCTTCTTGAGCTGATAAGCAACTTCAGCAATGTCTCAGGATACAAAATCGATGTGCAAAAATTACTAGCATTCCTATACACCAATAACATTCAAGCTGAGAGCCAAATCAGGAATGAGTTCTCATTCACAATTGCCACAAAAAGAATAAAATACCTATGAATACAGCTAACAAGGAAGGTGTAGAATCTCTACAAGGAGAGCTACAAAACACCCCTAAATGAAATCAGAGACAACACAAACAAATGCAAAAACATCCTGTGCTCATGGATAAAAAAATCAGTATTGCTAAAATGGCCATATGACCCAAAGCAATTTACAGATTTGATGTTATTCCTATCACAGTACCAATGACATTCTTCACATAACTAGGAGAACTTACTCTAAAATTCATATGAAATCAAAAAAGAGCTGGACTAATCAAGACAATCCTACAAAAAATATCATAGCTGGAACCATGATGTTATTTGACTTCAAACTGTACTATAGGGCTACAGTAACCACAACAGCATGGTACTGGTAGAACAAAAGACACATAGACCAATGGAACAGAATAGAGATATCAGAAATTAGACTACGCACCTACAACTATCTGATCTTCAACAAACCTGACAGAAACAAGCAATGGGGAAAGGATTCCCACTTCAATAAATGGTGCTGGGATAACTGGCTAGCCATATGCAGAAAATTGAAACTGGAACCCTTCCTTACACCATATACAAAAAGTAACTCAAGATGGATTAAAGACTTAAATGTAAATCCCAAAACTTTAAAAACCTTGGAAGACAACCTAGGCAACACCACTCATGACACAGAAATGGACAAAGATTTCATGATGAAGATGCCAAGAGCAATTGCAACAAAAGCAAAAATTGGCAAGTGGGATCTGATTAAACTAAAGATCACTGTACAGCAAAAGATACTATTGAGAGAGTAAGCAGACAACCTACACAATAGGAGAAAAGTTTTACAAACTAAGCATCTGACAAAAGTCTAATATCCAGCATCTATAAGAAATATAAACAAATTTACAAGCAAAATGCAAACAACCCCATTAAAAAGTGGGCAAAGAACATGAACAGACACTTCTCAAAAAAAGACATACATGGGTCCAACAATCATATGAAAAAAAGCTCAAAATCACTGATCATTAGAGAAATGCAAATCAAAACCACAATGAGGTACCATCTCATATGAGTCAGAATGGCTATTATTAAAAAGTCGGAAAATAACAGATGCTATTTAGGTTGTGGAGAAAAGGAATACTTTTACACCACTGGTGGGAGTATAAATTACTTCAACCATTGTGGAAGAGAGTGTGACGATTCCTCAAAGACCTGAAAACAGAAATACCATTCAACCTAGCAATCTCATTACTGGGTATGTACCCAAAGGAATATAAATCATTCTATTATAAAGACCCATGCATATATGTTTTTATTGCAGCACTATTTACAATAGCAAAATCATGGAATCAACTTAAATGCCCATCAATGATAAACTGGATAAAGAAGATGTGGTACATATACACCATATAATACTATGCATTCATAAAAAAGAATGAGATCATGTTTTTTTTTTTTCCTGGGGGCATGTATTGAGCTGGAGGCTATTATCCTTAGCAAACTAATGCAGGAACAGAAAACCAAATATGGCATATTCTCACTTATACGTGGGAGCTAAATTATGAGAACACAGGGACATATAGAGAGAAACAACACACACTGGGGCCTACTGGAGTGTGGAGGGTGGGAGGAAGGAGAAGATCAGGAAAAATCATGAATGGATACTCGGCTTAATATCTGGGTGGTGAAATAATCTGTATGACAAACCCCCATGACATATGTTTACTTATGTATCAAACCTGCATATTCTGCACATATACCCCTGGACTTAAAATAAAAGTTAAAAAAAAGGATTACCAGTCATTTAAAGAAGTAAATAAGCACAATTCATAGTGACCAGGATAATCCATTGGAACTGACTCAAAAATGAAACAGATGTCAGAATTAGCAGACAATAACATTAAAACAATTATTATTACAATATGCCATGTGTTCAAAACGTTAAGTAGAGACCTGCATATTGTATTTTTTAAAAAGACCCAAATTGATATTCTAAATAAAAAAATGGATAGAATTAATGAAAGATTAGACACTGCAGAATGGAAGATTGGTAAACTTGTAGCTATATCAATACAAACTACCTAAAATGAAAGAGTTAAATAAGAATTAATGAAAAAATAAGAACATCATGAATTATGCAAGGACTTCAAGTAAATTAATATGCTAGTAACTTCAAAGAAGAAGATAGAGAAGAAGCGCAGATGGACATTAAGTATAAAGCACCAAGAGATAAAAAAATACACTTCAAGATTTAATATATTAAATGTAGGAATAAAGGAAAGAGAGGGGGGAGGCAGAAAAATAGGGATACAGGAAGGAAAGTAGAGAAAAAAGACAAAAGAGGAAGAGGGGGAAACAGACTATATTAAAGATAAATTCTTATTACCTTTTAAGTAAATTCTCCATCAAGTTTCTTCACCAGTAAATTATATCAAGCATTAAAAAAATTCTATTTTGGCAGTCTCTCAGAGAATCACAGAAAAAAGAAAAACATCTATCAACCTCTGTGTGCGTGTGTGTGTGTGTGTGTGTGTGTAAAGTTAGGCATGACCTAGACAAGGACATTACATAAAGAAAAACTGATCTCATTCATGTTTCAATTTAGAGTTTGAAAGAAATTTTAGAAGACTTAAATAAATGAAAGGAAATGTCTTGTTCATGGATGGGAAAACTCAATATTGTAAAAATGTCAATTTCACCCAAAAATGATCTATACAGTCAATGTAATCTTATTCCAAATGCCAATGCAATTTATTGGAAATTTACAAACTAAATATAAAATTTATATGAATGTATAAGACCAAAATTAGCCAAAATAATCTTGAAGAACAGTATAAGAAGACATGCTTCATTATATATTGAAACTTACTGTAAAAGTACAGCGATAAAAGCATTGCTGTATTTCTGCAAGGATAGTCAAATAGACCAGGGAAGTGAGCTCTACAATTTATGTAAATCTGCTTTGACAAATCTTGCCTTTTACACTCATAAGTCTTTAAGGCTATGGCACATTTTTTTTTAGAATGGAAGGGGAGGAAAAGAACCAGAATTATCTGATTCAGGTATAACTAAATTCAAAAGAAATAGACCTGGAAAAATTAGCTAAATTGATATAAAAAGAATTCAAAACAGCAGAATAATCAACAAAAAGTACTATTTCCTGGCTGTTAATATTAATTCTGACGGAAATGGGACCACTTAAAAAGGAAATTAAAATATTGGCAGTGAATGAATTCAGTCAGATTTTTCTTTTTGCTGAAAGCCATCTTATGCTTCAATGGTGACTTTAGTTGACTTATCCCATGGAGAAGTAAATTACTGATAACAACTGCTTTTCTACAGGCCATAGAATACAGGGGTATTTGTTAAAGGCCATTTCATGAAGAAATAATGGAAAGCTGACAAATCCTTGCCAGCATGAATTCTTAGAATAGACCATTTGGGAGAGTCACATTGCTAATACTAGATAATACTGATTTAAAAAGGATTATCTGGGTTAGAAACAGATCCAAAATGGCCACAAGCTTTTGTGAGAGGACCATTGTGGAAGATATAAAAACTAATTAATCTGTTGCAGTGGGTAAAAAGAATTTACCACTCTTATCCTAAGACAGGAAACTGCCCTGCTCCATCTCTATCATTTAGAATCCACTTTATGAATAAGTTGAAGTATAACAGATGCTGGCAACCCTAAATTGGCCATATGAAGTTAAGGAAACAGATACGAATTAATACTGTTGACACTGACCATGATAAATGCTGTGATACAGCCAGCTCTCTGCTACCTCACCAATCTTGGTATTCTTGCGTAACCTTGCTAATAAGTGCCAAGAAAATATTTAAGAGACAGTGATTGATTTACTAGTTTAGTTACTCTGCATGTAACTGACTGATGGAAAATAATTATGTGCTATTCAAAGGACAAGTGGCCCTAAAGAAAACATGACCCCAAAAATGGGGGCAGTAGTGATTACTATTTAGCCAGGTGGAGACGTCAGAAAGCTACTGAAAAAATAAAAGGAAAAAATATTGGATTACATATAAAAAGCACATTATCAAAACTTAAAGACAGAGGTTTCTTTGAACTTCAGCTATTACATTCATACTTTTTTTTTTTTTTTTTAACAGTGTATCACTCTGCCATCCAGGCTGGAGTGCAATGGTGTGGTCTCGGCTCACTGCAACCTCTGCCTCCCAGGTTCAAGTGATTGTCCCGCCTCAGCCTCCTGAGTAGCTGGGACTGCAGGTGCATGCCACCGCTCCCGGCTAATTTTTGTACTTTTAGTAGAGACGGGGTTTCACTATGTTAGCCAAGCTGGTCTCTAACTCCTGACCTTGTGATCCGCCCGCCTCGGCCTCCCAAAGTGCTGGGATTACAGGCGTGAGCCACCGCACCCGGCCAACATTCATACTTCTTAAAGTGAACCACACTTAAAGTGACTCAATTCACTCTATATAGCCACATTTGTATGAATTTAAATTGTATTTTAAGAGTGGTGATTTAGAACAAAAAATACTTGAATATGAGGCTGAATTTACTGCCTCCGATAATAAACCACTATGTAAAATTTATTAACAGAAGGGCTGAGATCTACTCACTCAACCCTTAGCAGGGGATCCAAGGTCTTTCACGGTTCCACAAGCAAAATGGTCTTTGGGTTTTGTGTAATGTTTTTGGAACTACTAGCAGGAAATGATTCCCACAGGAGAGAAAGAGAGTACTTTCACAGGTCCAGATGTGAAACCTAGGGCACATATATGGTACTTAGGTTATAACTAAACTACTTATAGGAAAAATATGACTGGATAATAGATTTCAAAGTTCTGTTGCTGTTAGTGGAATGTGTAATTGGAATTGCTATTGTGTGTGGAAGAGATGCTGTCTCATTTTAATTGGACATGCTGAGTGGGAACCTTTGTGTTGTTCAAGCACTCTTCTATAGGAAAATTAAGCAACAGAGAATTCCAAAAGTACAAGAGACCATTGTTCTATTAAGGATATGACAAAGTGGAAGCTTTAAATCTCACTCACTCACAGAATATGACAGTAGCCATTTTAGGACATAACAAGGTTGTTCTCCTCATTACTTACACCGTAAGCAAGATATTAAAGACTACACAAGAAGGGCAACAGGCCAAAGGTGATTAATACGCCATAACAGAATTGTCTTATACCTTCTTTTTCATACCTATTTAGAATCCAATCTGACACTATTTGGATTTCTGTGAAGTGGCTTTTGGTACATATTCTTGATTTTTCTACCTTGATATTTAACTTTATCGCCATTCTTCATATCTAGTGTAGTAACATCTGAGTTTGATAACACTCCATACATTGGTTCATTGCATTGATGATACTGTGAGAATTGCCTCTTGGGAGAAAGGCAGGCAGGAGAATTTAAGTCACCCATATGACAAGTAGAATCTGGCTAGTGAACACAGCTGAACTGTAAGCCTGGCCTAGTTACATTTTGAGGGATTATATTTCCTGGATAAATCACAGATATCCCTCGAGCTATGAGAAACAAATTATTTTATTAACTGACCCTGACACTGAACAGGAAACACAAATACAGGTGGATCTTTTGGGTTTTTGTGAAACCATAATCTGTACTTAAGAATTCTGTTAGTCTCAATTCACAAAGTCACCAGGAAACAAAACAAAACAAGAAAAAAAGAAAGTGAATTTGAAGGGAGCCCAGAGCAAAAACAAGCACTAAAAGACCCACTCGAACCTCATGACCTGACTGCCAGTTGATTTCAGTAGTACCTGCAACTAGAAATATGCTGACTGGAGCCTTTGGCAGAAAGGGGATATTGTATTCAGCAAAGATCTTTGGGGATTATGCCTCAAAAGCTGCATGCTGCAGAGGCACTTTTTAGACCTTTTGAAAAACAACTGGCAGCTTGTTACTGGGGGCATTGGTGAAAGTGACCCCTGCGGTGAATGACAGCACATAATACTGTGTCATTATGTGCTGGGACCAGAATACCTTTCAAGTCTTATGTAATGTCAGAGAAGAATAGAGACGCAGCTTAGCAGAGCTCACTGATAAAACAAAAATATTGTATTCAACAGCATGTGACAAGAGGAAATTCAGGAGATGTAAACTATGTATATATGCAGCTTACTTCTCTTCTTCCAAGGCCAATGACAGGGCTCTGTGGCTTTTCCTACCTCTTTACATCCCTACTAACTATTGTTATATGCTCTGATGCCAAAAAATAGCTTTCTTGGTTCAGTGATTGAAATTCTTAATTCTATAGTTAGATTGCAATTAGAAATTGATCATAATACATGTTACATATGGTAAAGTGTTGATGAAGAAGGAAAGAGCAAATAATAGGGAGAACTGAAATCTGTTTATTTAGGAATAAATGGCAGAAGGAATCAGGCTTGGACCTGAGGAAATATTTGGATAGTTATACTCTTGTGCCAAAGTTGATGTCATTTCAATATGCTTCTAGATTATTAAACAATAAATGCAGTCCTCCTCTCCTTATAGAATACTTAACTTTGGAAGATTTTATGTGACTTTAGAGGAGGTAGAATTAAGGTAGAGCAAATAGGTGCCCACCGGAAGTACCTGCTGATGACTCGCATGGGGAAAGCATACTGGAACAGATGCCTTTGTCAGAGCTGTAAAGCTAGCTCTCTGGGTTCATGAAATAAGTTGTTATGGGAATGCCTGTCCATGCACAGTTGGGCCAAAGAAAATGCATTTCCTTCATATCCAACTGAGCAAATAATGTGGGAAGAACCTTTACTCAATACAAATTGGAGAAACTTCAGATAATCTTAAACACTTTAAGATGGATCTAGGCAGAATTACTGAGCTGCCATTTGACTTGTATAAGTCACATTGAGGGGGCTACAAATGGGTATTGACTGAAACGGACACTCTTTTATTCTAGCCTTTGCTTATTCTGAAAAAGAAGCAACTGAACAGAATACAATAAAAGTTTAGAAAAAGCAAGTAATTGATCATTTTGGTCCACATGGATGTATTTCCTCTGATAAAGATTCACGCTACTGCTAATATTCAAAAATGGGTAGGAAAAATAATGTTATATGTTCATATCACATACCACATAATCCTTAGAGCAGTATTCTTATTGGAAATTAGAATCAGTGATTAAAATAGTTAAAACTTGGGATGAAAATTTTGCATTGATAAGGCTGTGGAGCATCATAATCTCTCAAATATCATTGAAGGGTTGTAAAAATGCACAACCACTTAAAAATCTACCTCTAAATTTTAAGTTAATTTAAATATAGACATGTTCTCTGACCCAACAATTTTATTCCAACAGAAGTACATGCATACATACACAATCTGAAATATTTAGGAAGAATCACCACATTATTCATAATAGGTCAAAACTGGAAACAAAGAGATTTCCATTAAGAGTAAAATGGATAAATAAATTGAGTTGCCCATACAATTGAATTCAAGAAAGCACTGAACAACAAACTGCAACTCTTCCGGAAAAAATGGATAAATCTCATGAGCAACAATTGAGTGAAAGAAGCCTGAAACAAAATAACCGATGTTGTATATATTTTTCTACTTAAATAAAATTTAGAAAATGACAAAGCAAATCTATAATGTTTTAATTAAGGATAACATTCAATTTGGGGTGCACTCAAATGTAATTAGGAGAAGGCATGCATGGACACTTAAATCTTAATATTCTATTTCTCACTCAATTGAGTGGCAGATCCAAGATTTGGACCTAGGTTAACTAATTATAAAGTCTACCTGTGATCCACTACACAACAGTGCTTCCACAAAATTAAAAAAAAATTCTTCTATCATTAAATTAGTCAATTTTATGTTTCAAGATTGCCAAATATCCACAATACAAGTCATCTAATCTTAGATTTTGCAATACTTTAGAGTATCTATGTATTTCTACTGGTAGTTGGCCATGTACGTCTCCCCTCAGCCTCTCTGAACATGACTAAATGGATCTTCCACACATTACTGCAATCTTAGAAGTAAGTGCCAGGCTGAACTTTTGCAGCACTACATTTTTTAAAATGTTGCAAAAATTCTGTCCTGATTGTATTTTCTTTTCAGCCTTCATCCTACAGTGAACAATAAGCCAGTATTTTCTGCTATGTACTTCACCTGTTATTGGTCATTTTTTTCTCTTTCTAAATTTTATTAGTAAAACAAAAATATATTCCAATAATCTATTTCTGTTTAACAAACAACTCCAAAGTTTAATGGCAAGAAACAAAAACATAAGATCATCTCTGATGATTTTGTGGTTTGACAAAATTGGTGGTTCAGCTGGGTGGTTTGTTCTGGGGTTCTTTCATGTGTTTGTAGACCAAGTTTTATGAGGTTGAAGTAAACAGAATGTTTGATTAAGATAGATTCTCAAAATGTTTTATTCTTTTATATGCCTGGTGACTGGGCTCGGATATTGGAAACAACTGGAAGTTGGCCATTCATCTCTTTGTGAAGCTTCCCCACATGGCCAAATTGAGCTTCCTCACTCATGACGGTCTTAGTGAGAGGATTTCTTGCATCTTGGCCAGCTTCCCTGAGAGCAAGTATTCTAAGAGATCACAGAGTAATCTTCAAGCCTCATTCTAACTTAACTTTGGTCATAAATTGTTACTTCCATTACATTTTACCTTTGCCAGCTCAGATTTAAAGGCATATTGACCCCTGCACAGGTATGTGAATATACACACTACTTAAATATATTAATTGGGGGTTAATCTTTGGAGACTAGCGCTCACAGTAGATCTTCTTGTCCTCTGTGATTTACTTCATTCCTACATGCAAAATATACTCATTGTACTTTGAAGACCCCCCCCAAAACCTCATCCTATTATTTCATCAAGCTTAGAATTTAAAACCAAGATGTTATTACCCAAATAAGATACAGGTATGAAAGAGATTTCTCAGGTAAGGTTCCTTGAGTACAAATTATCTCAATCTAAGACTAAGAAGTCAAGAAACATGTTGTCTAAAGCTCACAGACCCAATATACAATGGTAATACATAGTTAGAATAGTCACAACAAACACTCTTCTTCAAAAGTGAATGGGGGTAGGAGGCATATAGCATAGGCTCACAGGAAATCTAAAATCCAATAAGATACATGCCAGTAGTTCATTGATTAGGACCTAGTTCTGCATCCTGAAAATGATTTGCTGGGTTTCTTGGCTCTGAGCTCCTCGCTTTTCTTTCAAACTTCTCATTCATCCTTCATTTTGTTTAAGAGGTTGTAACCTTTTTCTTCTCATAGAATGTTGGTGTTTCAACGGTACCTTTCCATTTTGTTCTGTCTGTGATCTTTTTAGCTGAGCCACTGGTGCTTCCACCAATATGATTCTCCTGAAAATTTCATGTGTCTCCTCTGAAATATACTCAGGTTTCCTTCCTTAGATGAGTTATACCTACAAATTTCTTCAGTACAGGGCTGTCTCTGTTTGAATGCTGTTAAGAGGTTACTTTCTAACAACACCTTTCAGGTTCTTGGAAGCTCTATTGTTTAATACAGTTTCCAGCATACTTTTAAGATTGCTGGAAGAAAGAAGACATCACTGAAAATTGTGGAAAAAGAATCACCAAATTTATTTCCTCCATGAAAACAATGAGAAAACTGACAACAATATGATAAATAACTCTTTGAAAATTGTAGAAATTAAGTCTTACAACAACCAAGAGTAACATTTATCCAAGAAAGCTGGCTGAATACCAATAAGAACAGCAAGATTTGTGATGTTTTAACTTGCCCTGGTTGTATCCCCATTTCTTCAGCTCTGAGCATAACAGTCAGTATTCTTGTTAAAATTCATCAGTCTAGCAGCCACTAAAGATGTGGTTGGAGCTCTTTAAAGCCTCATTTTTAAATAAGTGCCTTAAAAAAAAAAAAAAAACCCTGCATGGTGATTTTCTGGAAAACCGCACTTGCAAGGCTGTATGTATTGATCTGATTTGGACCTCACACATTACAAAAAAAAAAAAAGCCAAACAAACAAACAAACAAAAAACTCATTCTCAATGAGCATTTGTTGAAAACATATACAGGCAATTGTGTAACTTCATGACTGCCTGAAGCAGTGGATAGAAACTGAGCAAACAATAGACTAACCAAAAAGCTTAAAAAGAAAATTATGAAAATGAGATGTCTTTAGGGACTTTGAAAAGCTCCAACATGTTTACACATGCCCAGGACAGTGCAGGTGATCAGCAAAAACCTGAAAAGGTCCTGAGCTCTCACCTCTGGATGATGTTGTGGCTCTGGACAAGCAGAAAGTAAAGACTAAGTCAAAGTTGGAAACTGCCAGGCTGAGTGCTGAAGGCATGTTCCGGCATACACTCAGAACCCCTTCAGCAAAGGCTGGAATAATGTGGTTCTGGGAATTTAAGGAAATCTTTGGCCAATCATTTGTTGACTATCAGAGACTTCAGAGGCCACATCAATAAAGCATATAGACATCACCAGTTGAGAAAAGCCACTAAGTAAACAAATATTTTCAGTAGCAGCAACAAAATCTGGGGAGAAAGAGAATCTGATTTCCCACTTACTCATGGAGAGTAAACATTTTTATAGTTGCCAGATTCACATGGCTATAATTTTTTTTTCTTTTTTTTATTATTATGCTTTAAGTTTTAGGGTACATGTGCATAATGTGCAGGTTTGTTACATATGTATACATGTGCCATGTTGGTGTGCTGCACCCATTAACTCGTCATTTAGCATTAGATATATCTCCTAATGCTATCCCTCCCCCCTTCCCCCACCCCACAACAGTCCCCGGTGTGTGATGTTCCTCTTCTTGTGTCCATGTGTTCTCATTGTTATATACACCATGGAATACTATGCAGCCATAAAAAATGATGAGTTCATGTCCTTTGTAGGGACATGGATGAAGCTGGAAACCATCATTCTCAGCAAACTATCGCAAGGACAAAAAACCAAACACCGCATGTTCACTTACAGGTGGGAATTTTTTTTTTCTTTTTAAGACCAGGTCTCACTATGTTACTTAGACTACTCTTGAATTCCTGGCCTCATGTGAGCCTCTTGCCTCAGCCTCCCAAGTAGCTAAGATTATATGTGTGAACCACCATGCTGGACGACATTGGTAGCACATTGTTAATCATATTTGCATCCATAAGGAATATTTGTCTGTAATATCTTTTTCTTGTGATATTTTGTCCAGTATTGCTATAAGAGTAATACTGGCTTCATAGAATGAGTTGAAAAGAGTTTATGTATCTTATACTTTTGGGAAGAATTTTTGATAAATTCTACTCCTAGGTATATATCCAGGAGATATCTAAAACATATACATATGCAAACATTTGTACAGTAATTTTCATATTCATAATAGCTTGAAGGTAGAAAGAACCCAAAAGCCCATAAAGTGATAAATGGGATATAATACATTTTGTGTTATATCCATGCAATGTAATGTTATTCATCCGTAAAAACAAATGAAGCGCTGATACCATAAAAGCTAAAATGTGAACTTTAGAAACATTAGGTAAGGGAACAGTCACATATCACATGGTTTCATTTATTTCAAATATCCAGATTAGAAAAATCCATACAGAAAGAAGGTAGATTGGTTGTTTCCAGGGGATATTGTAGAGGGATGCAGTTACTGCTAATAGGTATGAGGTTTCTATTTGTGGTGATGAAAGTGTTGTGGGATTAGATAATGATGGTTACATAACCTTGTGAATATACTAATATTACTAAATTGTACACTTTGAAATATTAAATTTAATAGCATGTGAATTATATTTCAAAATAAATCTTTAGAAGACATTCTGCCTAGCTGAAATTTTCTATGAGGCACCATAAATCTTTTTGAAGTACAGTTTTAGTTTCCCTTATCCAAATGCTTGGGACTGGAAGTGTTTTGGATTTCAGAATTTTCCAGATTTTGGAATATTTGCACATACACAATGAACTATCTTGAAGATATGACCTGTGTCTGAAAATAAAATGTATGATTTATGTAGATATCATGCACATAGACTAAAGATAATTTTATTTTTTGGGGGACACTGAACAAATTGTGTGTTGTGTGATTGCATTTTAACTGCTATGATCTGTCACGTGAGGCTAAGTGTAGAATTTTCCACTTGTGGCATCAAGTCAGCACTTAGCCAGTCTCAGATTTTGGAAAATGTCTAATTTTGAATTTTTGGATTAGGACTTCTCAACCTATAGTAACAAAGGTGGGTCTTATAGCTACATCTGGAATTTGATCTTTGCCCTGAAGGCATTTCTTTTTTTAATCTTTTTATTCTCAATACATGAGAATTGTGCTTTCTTTTTTTAATATTTTAACTTTTAGTTTAGGTTCAGAAGTACATATACAGGTTTGTTATATAGGTAACTCATGACTAGGGGGTTTGGTGTACAGATTATTTCATCACCCAGATATTAAGCATAGCACCTAATAGTTTTTTCTTTTTTCTTTTTTTTTTTGCTAAACCTCGCCCTCCTCCAACCCTCTTCTTTCAAGGAGGATCCTGTCTGTTGTTCTTCTCTTTCTGTCCATGTTTTCTCATTATTTAGCTCTCATGTACAAGTGAGAACATGCAGTGTTTGGTTTTCCATTCCTATGTTAGTTTGCTAAGGGTAATGGCCTCCAGCTTTATCCATGTTCCTACGAAACACGTGGTTTCATTCTTTTTATGGCCACATAGTATTCCACGGTATATATGTATCACATTTTTTTTATCCAGTCCACTGTTGATGGGCATTTAGGTTCATTCCATAACTTTACATGGAATAATGCTGTAATAAACATTGTGAATAGTGCTGTAATGAACATGTGTAGATGTGTCTTTATGGTAGAACAATTTATATTCCTTTGGGTTTATAACCAGTAGTGGAATTGCTAGGTTGAATGGTTGTTCTATTTATAGTTCTTTGAGGAATCGCCACACTGCTTTCCACAAGGGTTGCACACGTGAGAGTATAAATTAGTGCAACTTTTGTGGAAAGCAGTGTGACAATTCCCCAAACAACTATAAACAGAACTGGTGTGAGATAGTATCTGACTGGTGTGAGATGGTCTCTGACTGTGGTTTTGATTTGACTGGTATGAGGTGATATCCCATTGTGGTTTTAATTTGAATTTCTCTAATGATTAGTGATATTGGGCATTTTATCATATGCTTCTGGGATGTATGTATGTCTTCTTTGGAAAAGTGTTCATTTCCTTTGCCCACTTTTTAATAGGGTTGTTTGCTTTTTTGCTTGTATGTTTGTTTGAGTTCCTTGTATAATCTGGATCTTAGACCATAATCTAATGTATAGCTTGCAAATATTCTTTCCTATTCTGTAGGTTGTCTGTTTACTGTTTTGATAGTTTCTTTTGTTGTGCAGAAGCTCTTTAGTTTAATTCAATTTCATTTGTTTATTTTTACTTTTGTTGCAATTGCTCTTGGCATTTTCATCACGAAATCTTAGCCAATTAGTAAGTCCAAAATTGTATTTCCTAGGTTATCTTCCAGGGTTTCTATAGTTTTTAGTTTTACATTTAGATGTTCAATCCATCTTAAGTTGTTTTGAATATGCTGTAAGAAAGAAGTCCAGTTTGTATCTTCCGCATCTTCTTCATATAACTAGTCAATTATTTGAGCATCATTTATTGAATAGGGAGTCCTTTCCCCATTGCTTGTTGTAGTCCACTTTGCTAAAGATCAGATAGTTATAAGTGTGTGACTTTATTTCTGGTCTCTCTATTCTGTTTAATGGGTATATGTGTTTGTTTGTAAACCAGTACCATGCTGTTTTGATTACTGTAGGCTTGTACAGTTTAAAATCGGGCAATAGGATTCCTTCAACTTTCTTCTTTTTAGCCTCTTTTTGGTTCTATATGAATTTTAGAATAATTTTTTCTAGTTCTGTGAAGAGTGTCTTTGGTAGTGTGATAGAAATAGCATTGAATTTGTAAATTGCTTTGGACCTTATGGCCATTTTAACAACACTGATTCTTCCTATCCATGATCATGGGATGCTTCTCAATTTGTTTGTGTCATCTCTGATTTCCTTGAGCAGTGTTTTGTAGCTCTCTTTGTAGAGATCTTTTATATCCCTGGCTAACTGTATTTCTAGGTATTTTGTTCTTTTGTGGCAGTTGTGAATGGGATTGAGTTCCTTAACTGGTTCTTGGCTTGAGTGCTGTTAGTGTATAGAAATGCTATACACTGATTATTGTATATTGATTTTGTATCCTGAAACTTTGTTGAAGTTGCTTATCAGCTCAAGGAGCTTTTGAGCAGAGACAATGGGGTTTCCAGATATAGAATCATGCTACCTGCAAACAGAGATAGTTTGGCTTTCTGTCTTCCTATTTTCATGTCTTTTATTTCTTTCTCTTGCCTAATATCTCTGGCCAGAACTTCCAATACTATGTTAAATAGGAGTGGTGAGAGTTGGCATTGTTTTCTTGTTTTGGTTTTCAAAGGGAATGCTTTCAGCTTTTGCCCATTATGTGTGATGTTGGCTGTGAGTTCATCATATATAGCTCTTATTATATTGAAGTATGTTCTTTCACTGCCTAGTTTATTGAGGGTTTTTTTTTTCTTTTTTTTTTTCTGGAGTCTTGCTCTGTCACCAGGCTGGAGCGCAGTGACACAATCTCAGCTCACTGCAACCTCCACCTCCCAGGTTCGAGCTATTCCCCTGCCTCAGACTCCCCGAGTAGCTGGGACTACAGGCACACACCACCATGCCCGGCTAATTTTTTGTATTTTAGTAGAGATGGGGTTTCACCATGTTGGCCAGGATGTTCTCGATCTCCTTACCTTGTGATCTGCCCACCTCAGCCTCCCAAAGTGCTGGGATTACAGGCGTGAGCCACTGCGCCCGGCCTATTGTGGGTTTTTAACATGAAGTGATGTTGAATTTTATCAAATGCCTGTTGAGAAAATTATGTGGATTTTCTCTTTAGTTCTGTTTTTATGATGAATCACACATTGATTTGTGTGTGTTGAATCAACCTGGCATTCCAGGGATGAAGTCTACTTGTTCATGGTGGATTAGCTTTTTGATGTGCTGCTGGATCAGTTTGCTAGTATTTTGTTGAGATTTTGTTTCTATGTTCATGAAGGATATTGGCCTGCAGTGTGTGTATGTGTGTGTGTGTGTATGTGTGTGTGTGTGTGTGTGTGTGTGTGTGTGTGTGTGCTTGCCAGGTTTTAGTATCAAGATGGTGCTGGCCACATAGAATGATTTGGGAATGCATCTGTCCTCTTCATTTTTTTTTTTTTTTTGAAATAGCTTCGGCAGAAATGGTACCAGCTCTCCTTTATACATTTATTAGAATTCAGCTGTGAATCCATCTGGTCCTGGACTTGTTTTTGGTTGTTAGGTTATTCATTATTGACTCAATTTCGAGCTCGTTATTGGTCTATTCGGGAATTTAATTTCTTTCTGGTTCAGCCTTGGGAGGATGTATGTGTCCAGGAATGTATCTATTTCCTCTGGATTTTCTAGTTGTGTGCATAGAGGTGTTCATAGTGGTCTCCGATGGTTACTTGTATTTCCTTGGGGTCAGTGGAAACATCCCCTTTGTAATTTCTAATTGTGTTTATTTGAATCTTCTCTCTTTTCTTCTTTATTAGTCTAGCTGCTGGTCTATCTTATTAATTTTTTAAAATAACAAATTCCTGGGTTTGTTGTTCTTCTGCATAATTTTGCATGTCTATATCTGAAGACATTTCTTAGTTTAAAAATATTTTGCCAAGAGAGACTGATGAAGAGGGATCACCTTATTTTTCATTTGAGAAATTATTTCTCTTCATTTTTAATTTTTTATTTAATTAATTAGTTTATTTATTTTTAGAGACAAGTCTTGCTCTCTCACCTAGGCTGAAGTGCAGTGGCATGATCAGAGTTCATTGGAACCCTGAACTCCTGGGTTCAAATGATCCTCCCCCTTCAGCCTTCCTAGTTGTTTGTACTACAGACAAATGCCATCATGCCTGGCTATTTTTTTTACTTTTTGCAGTCATGAGATCTTGCTATGTTGCTCAGGCTGGTCTTGAACTCCTGGTCTCAAACTGTCCTTCCAGTTTGGCCTCACCAAATGTTGGAATTACAGGCGTGAGCCACAAAGCCTGGATTTCACATTAAATTATTATCAGAGCTGTATATTAAAATATCAGTTCTTCATTCTTTTAAAATTTTTATCATATGCATAAGAAGCAATGTTTATGTTATTTTCCACTTTTTGCTAATAAATCTACATAGACGGATACATGAATTCATTAGATACCTTTTCTATTTCCATGTTACTGTATGAGACAGTGTTACCAAAGTTTCTGCCATTACATAGAAGGTGTTATTTTATGGTCTTCAACAACATTGTCTCATCTTGGCATTGTCTCATGTTCATGGTTATGAAGTGTCTCCTTCAGGATCATCCAGCTTTCAATGAAAGTCATCTTGAGGCTCTTTTAGGTCATGCCCCCTGCTCAGTTTTAAAGGCAAGTGTTTTAGAGTTTTTGATACATTGACTCCCCAGTCCCACGTACCAAATTTCATTCTGATTATATATTCTTGTGTAAAAAACTTCCCTAAAGCTTAAAACAGCAAACCAATATTTTGTTGTATCACAATTTTGTGTGGCAAGTATTCACATTGAGTTTGGCTGGGATAACCTCTTGCTTCATATGTCAACTGCAGCCATTCACTGGTACTTTTTAGGTTTGTCTGGAGGGTCAAACATGGCTAACATTCATAGCTGGCTGGGCACCTCTCTATAACAATGAGTTCCTCTATGTGCTCATTTGGGCTTCCTCACAGCATTCATTGTGCTCTCACAATAACCAGACATTTTTTCATCGCAGTTGGCCTTGAATAGCATTCCAAGAGTAAAGCAGTGACCTCAATATATTTTTCTTAACTGGCTTCATAGATCATATGATTTCACTTCTAACACATTATATTCTTTACAAGAAAACCACAAGAAAAATCTAGATTTAATGGCTGAGGATCATTGAAGGCTATGAATAGGAGATATATGTTTCATTTGGGTAGGTGGGCTAATTTATGAAGATTAGCAATGGTAGAATTTTCTGACAGAAATTTACTTATGTGTATAATTTGATGGCATAATCTTATGGATGTATATGCATATGGACATATACCTTCCTAGAGCTAACTTCTTAGCTTCTTTATACTTGGCAGCTGTCTTCAGGAATGAACGTTGTTGGGTTCCGTTGTAAAATCTATGCCCTACTCAATTTCTTTATATTTCTGGTGTGATAGGGATTAATCAAAAAGCAAAGTAATCTAAATGTCATTTTATTCTAGTTCAATGTTATAGATTCTCTGTAATATCCAAAGAATAAATTTGTATTTATATCAATCTTTAGGAGGGAAATATTAGTTAGCTTTCTCAAATGTAAGTTACAAAATCCTACAAGATACATATAATTCATTTAAAAGACCTATTTTACAACAACTTTAAGTTTTGCCAAGGTCCTTATTATAAATAGTGCAACAAAATATAGTTAGAGTACAATATATTTAATCAACTAACCTTTTTTATTCTCGTTTTGGTACAAAAGAAAATACATTTTGTCTTTATCCAAAAAAACGTCACTTGTGTCACAGGTGGATTTTCTGTTGTTTGGACATTTTCTTATTTTTGTGCTTTGCCGCATCTGACCTTTAGTACACAGGTAACTTTTGGTCTTTTGCTGCTACTAGTTTGCTAAATAGTCATCTCCAAAAATAAAATAGTAGCACATTGCAGAAACAGGTATATTAATATTTAGGAAAATGTAGCAATGTAAATGTAATGTAAAAATTACAGGAGAAATAGAAACAGATAATTATATACTGTTATTACTATCTAAATGATTCCTGGATGGCAGAAAGTAAAAAAAAAAAAAATTTACTGAATATTTCTTCCTGATCCTTGTTCGCATCATGATATGTTAATCATTCTGTGGGTTTTCTTTTGCTAAGTTAATTGAAATAAGGATCCACTTTTAAGCTCAGTCACATGGTTGTTGGGAGAAGGCCTTTGTTCCTTACCACATGGGCCTCTGCATAGGGTAACATGGCAGTCAGCTTTCTCCAGACTCAGTGGTGAGAGACAAAGACAAAGAGTGCAAAAGGGAATTCGTAGTGTCTTTTATAACCTAATTTAGAAATTATATACCATCACTTCCTCCATATTCTACTGGTGACACAACACAGACCAACCATGATACAATGTGGAAGAAGACTACAGAAGCAATGAATAAAAGGAGAAGAGACAGTCATTGGGAGCTATCTGGAAGTTAGTTACTGTAATCTCTCCCCCATGATTTAAAGTGAAATACATATATTTAAGTCTTTCTAAAATCTCTATTTTACTCAGTTGATCTTTCTATGAATATAACAAATCATTCAAAGATATATTGTGATGATAGCTATAAATATATCTATACACATTATATATATTTTTAAAATGCTCATGTTTATATATGTGCAATTTTATATATCTATATGTATGTTTATTGCCCACTGTTAAATTTTACTTTCATTATGTGTTTTCATGTTTCACTTTCATTCGAAAAAAGAAAAATAATGGAAGTTCTTATTATATAAGCTTTTACATTCCAATAGAAAAATATAAACTATTGTTTGCTTAATACATATACTTACTGAAAATCATTTCTCAAGATCTGGCAATTTTTATAAGAATGGTATTTATATTTTATTTCATTTTCTAAACAGATTAGATTAATTTCTAAACAGATAGACAGTAGATTAAAATTTCCTCTAGCATACATAAAAATATCCTAATACAATAATATTTCAAGTAATATATTTTAATATAAAGTCATGTTTTATAAGTGATAATCACACAGGACATTCAAAATTGACAATCAGACATATTTGCCATTTTTAGGCTCTATTAAACAATAAACTATTTAATAGCTCCTCTTATTTATTTCTAAATATCATGGAGATAAACATCCTTCTTTGAAGGATGACTTTGTGCAATTTTGTTGAACTTTAAGGCATGATAAATTAATTTTAAGCTAGGATATGTGTAAGTTAATTAGCTTGTACTTTATATCATTGCATTCACGGATTCTTTTAATTTTGAGATAATTTACGCAGGTGACATTAAAAAATATCTTGAAGTATGTTTTTCTGTTTCATGAAATCAGTTCTTGGATGCTTTTTTTGGCCACATTATTATCATATATCAATAACTTAAATATTTACTTAAATTATAGCTGCCAATTATTACTTAACTCTTTGTTAGGCATGATTCAGATCTTATCACCTATATTGCCATACTCTTTCTCAAATTTAATAAGATTATCTTATGTCTTAAATGGAATTATCTTATGTCTTAAATGGAATAATTAGTGAAATATACTACTTTAAATTAGTTTTCTCTGATATACATTTTCCGCTTTTTTGTGTTGAAGGTCATTTTATATAAATAAGGATAACACTAGTGCTATTGAGTTACAGTCATCCTTTGGAAAAAAATGTTTATTACTATATAATTGTATAGCATTTTACTTATTTATTTGTACATTGGCTTGTTCATTTTAGGAACAAAAATTAATTTCAAATCTATGTTAAAGTAAACTGTCATTTTTAGAATTAATTTTTATTTCTTCCAAAACATTCATTTTTTAAAAATTTAGACATTTACAGTAACAAAATGTATTGTTTGAATGTTACTGCATGGCACTGAAAAAAATCTTTATGTGATTATAGAATCTCTAATAAACATGTATAAATATCTATTTAAATAATCCATACTGATAGAAAAAATATTCATTTCAAGGCCTTTAAACTAAATTAAATTGTTAGCCAGTTCTGCAAAATTGTCTTCTTATATCAACTCCAACAATCCCTGAGTCAAGTGACTTACTCAGGACATATAGCCAGGAAGTGGTAGAGGCAAAAAGAGTTGCTATTACTTTTATCAGAATTTTCAAAATTTCTATAATAGAAAATCTACTATAGAAATGTCTCCATGGTTAAAAAATGAATGCATTTTCCAGCTTAAAATGACTTCAGCTTACATCATTCCATGAGAACTGCTCTCAAGAAGGTAAAACATACCTTTTTAAATCCTAATCTTACATGAACTTATTATGTTCCACATAGCCAATAACTCCCTCCTTCTTGAAATTTTCACCTTTCTTGTCTTCTGTATTGCGTTTTTTTTTGTTTGTTTGTTTTTTTTTTTTTTTGCCGTGAGCTCTTTTACCATCTCTTTGACAACTTATCTTACTCAATTCTGCTTTTATAAGTTGTAGCTTTCCGAAGGTTAGGATTGTGTTTTTTTTTTCCCTCTAATTCTGTAAACCTTCCTTAAGAACAATTGGTTTTGCATCAACTTCTGTTTTTCCTTTAACAATATCATCATTCTTGTTTTCTTATCCTTTCAGGATAGGTATGAGAAAAGAAAGAACTTGTTTTTTGCTCCTTGGAATGTGCCACAATTTTAAAGAATATATATTTTTTATCATTTCCTGGTTTATTTGGAGACAGCCTATGTTAGTGATGCACTACCCATTGCAAACATATCTCTTTAGGCTTGTCTCTCTGGAACTTATCTATAGCCCTGGACATCCAATGATCTACCTTTTACTTTCTCAGACCTCTTACCTCTTCTTGTATATGATACAAGAAACCACTATGCTGTTTCTCTGCTGTGTAGCCTGTATCTGCTTCAGCACACACTAGGAATGGAGTTCTTCCTAGGTCCTAGCCTTTTCTCTGATGCCACAGGTTCCTTCAACCAGCCTTTTGCTCCTTCGGTTCTTCTGAGATGTGACTCAAACACCAGTCGAACTGAAAGATAAGCATATTCATCTTCCAAGTAATGGGATTAAAGCTTTTTTCTCTTGAATTCTGTTTATGATGCAGCATTCCCTAGCCCTTTCCCTTGGAGGGTGCAGTTCTTTTTTTTTATTTATTTTTATTTTTTATTTTATTATTATTATACTTTAAGTTTAGGGTACATGTGCACAATGTGCAGGTTTGTTACATATGTATACATGTGCCATGTTGGTGTGCTGCACCCATTAACTCGTCATTTAGCATTAGGTATATCTCCTAATGCTATCCCTCCCCCCTCCCCCGACCCCACAACAGTCCCCGAAGTGTGATGTTCCCCTTCCTGTGTCCATGTGTTCTCATTGTTCAATTCCCACCTATGAGTGAGAATATGCGGTGTTTGGTTTTTTTGTCCTTGCGATAGTTTGCTGAGAATGATGGTTTCCAGTTTCATCCATGTCCCTACAAAGGACATGAACTCTTCATTTTTTATGGCTGCATAGTATTCCATGGTGTATATGTGCCACATTTTCTTAATCCAGTCTATCGTTGTTGGACATTTGGGTTGGTTCCAAGTCTTTGCTATTATGAATAGTGCCATAATAAACATACGTGTGCATGTGTCTTTATAGCAGCTTGATTTATAATCCTTTGGGCATATACCCAGTAATGGGATGGCTGGGTCAAATGGTATTTCTAGTTCTAGATCCCTGAGGAATCGCCACACTGACTTCCACAATGGTTGAACTAGTTTACAGTCCCACCAACAGTGTAAAAGTGTTCCTATTTCTCCACATCCTCTCCAGCACCTTTTGTTTCCTGACTTTTGAATGATCGCCATTCTAACTGGTGTGAGATGGTATCTCATTGTGGCTTTGATTTGCATTTCTCTGATGGCCAGTGATGATGAGCATTTTTTCTTGTGTCTTTTGGCTGCATAAATGTCTTCTTTTGAGAAGTGTCTGTTCATGTCCTTCACCCACTTTTTGATGGGGTTGTTTGTTTTTTTCTTGTAAATTTGTTTGAGTTCATTGTAGATTCTGGATATTAGCCCTTTGTCAGATGAGTAGGTTGTGAAAATTTTCTCCCATTTTGTAGGTTGCCTGTTCACTCTGATGGTAGTTTCTTTTGCTGTGCAGAAGGTCTTGAGTTTAATTAGATCCCGTTTGTCAATTTTGGCTTTTGTTGCCATTGCTTTTGGTGTTTTAGACATGAAGTCCTTGCCCATGCCTATGTCCTAACTGGTATCGCCTATGTTTTCTTCTAGGGTTTTTATGGTTTTAGGTCTAACATTTAAGTCTTTAATCCATCTTGAATTAATTTTTGTATAAGGTGTAAGGATGGGTTCCAGTTTCAGCTTTCTACATGTGGCTAGCCAGTTTTCCCAGCACCATTTATTAAGTAGGGAATCCTTTCCCCATTGCCTGTTTTTGTCAGGTTTGTCAAAGATCAGATAGTTGTAAATATGCGGCATTATTTCTGAGGTCTCTGTTCTGTTCCATTGATCTATATCTCTGTTTTGGTACCAGTACCATGCTCTTTTGGTTACTGTAGCCTTGTAGTATAGTTTGAAGTCAGGTAGTGTGATGCCTACGGCTTTGTTCTTCTGGCTTAGGATTGACTTGGTGATATGGGCTCTTTTTTGGTTCCATATGAACTTTAAAGTAGTTTTTTTCAATTCTGTGAAGAAAGTCATTGGTAGCTTGATGGGGATGGCATTGAATCTATAAATTACCTTGGGCAGTATGGCCATTTTCACGATATTGATCCTTCCTACCCATGAGCATGGAATGTTCTTCCATTTGTTTGTATCCTCTTTCATTTCATTGAGCAGTGGTTTGTAGTTCTCGTTGAAGAGGTCCTTCACATCTCTTGTAAGTTGGATTCCTAGGTATTTTTTTCTCAGTTCTTAAACTCTTTCTAAAGAAATGTTCTTTAAAAATAATCTCTCAGACTTTACTCCTTTCACCCTTTCATACCCTTTTGGGAGTGAGAAGTTATAAAGTTACTTAACCTTAGGTTTACCTTGTTTCATGTGTTTTGTATCTTACGTGGCTTTGGAATGTGTCTTAGGTAGCTGATATCTTCATTTTAGCATTTCATTATAATGAATGAAAAAGAAATCTCTATATGAAGGCATCTCTGGAATTTATGAGTGTATTTTTCAATTCTTCCTTTTGTGAGTGGCTTTTAAACCTTTTTGTTTGAAGTAGTAAACAAAAGGATTTTCTGTCAGTGGTAAAGATTTTCAGGATTTGCTAATCTTTTAATTCGAGACAGCTATAGTACCAAATCTGAAGTGGAGCACAGGAGGTGAGGTTTGAAATGGGGGTGGTTATGAGGAGTTAGAAACCACAAATTAGAAATTCAGGAATTCCTGAACTTACATGAGAAGTTATAAATTTTACTCACAGTTACCTAGTTTTCACTTTTTCGTAATTAATATTTAACTATGATACAAAAATGTTTCAAGAAAATTAAAAATATTTTCACATTTTGATGAATAATTTTGTTGTTCATGTAAAAGCTAATGAAGTATATATAACAGTTGAAACTAACTCTAGGTAACTAGGCAATTAGTCTCTATTATTATTATTAACCTTGTCATCATTGTACCACTGTCAATTGGATATATAAATATTATAAAATACAGGACATGACTAAAATTAATGTATAAGGAATAGATGTGCTTATTTGGTTTTGCCCTTAATAGCAATATATCACAGAGTACTTCATTCATGCTTCCATTTATTCAGTCATTTTTCTAAGAGAAAAGTTCAAAATGCTGTAATTTGGAGTCTATTGTTTAATTAGTATGACTGTATATTTAAATACAAATAATAAAAGGAAAGATTCTCATTATTGATATTTTGTCAGAAGCTCAGCTAAGAGCTTTGTTAGTATTGCCTTAACTAACACCACAACTCTATGAAATAGTGACTTGTATTATTTCAATTTTTACATGTGCAAATTGTGGCTTAGTGAAATAAGAAATTGCAAAAGATCTCACATGTGGTTGAGTGGAAAAGCAGGATTTCATACCTGTTACAAAGTGCATACTCTTAATTATAATACACCGAATATGATAATATCCTATAACGTTTGCAATCCAGAGACAGTTCAAGTTAACGTTTTGAGGATTTTTAAAATTGAATTTAAACCAATTTTCTAAATAATTTTATCAAATTATGTGTATACTTTCTTCTTTAATAAGTACAAATCAGAACTCATGTTATCTATCTATATACCTATATACACATACATCTAAATAAGCATACCCTGATAACACTTTATTTATTTATTTTTAAAATTCAGGATAGTGAAAGCTGAGCTGTTACTATTTAAAATTGAAATAAATATATTGATTAATCAAATATTCTAATTATCCTGCAATTATGTATACATTGGCCCCATTAACATTGATGAGAAATACAAGACTAGGAAAATATGATTTGTTGAAGATTGTGCAAATGAAAAATTAAGATCTGTTTCAATCACTTGAGCTGAAAGCATTTACCAGAGTTCTAATAATACGTGCAACATTTACATATGATCAGAATTATTTTTAGTTCTGGTGTATAAAGCAGGAAATCAATGTGATATTACAAGGGAAAAATCCATGTAATGAGTGATCAAAGAGCCTACAGGGCTCCTATTATGTGTCTTGGATTTCATTTTGCCTCTCTTTTATGTGTGGCAATGAGGTGTGAAAATTGTTCTTTGGTTGTCTTAAGTATCAGTAAACTGCATCGTACCACACTTATTTAGGACTTAATGGGAATGGGTGAAATTTACTTTACAATTAACTCCAGCATTTAAATGAAAAAGGCAATATTCAAAATGGTGTTGTACTTCCTGTTCAAGTGAAGTTTTCTAGTGAATGATTCATTAGCTCTTTCAAGTCTAGTTAGCAATAACTTCTTTACATTGAAGAGCTTTCCAAGTCACTACATCTTTGCACAAATTATACTCAGTGAAAATTAAATTCTCATGAAATATGTTTTCATTCGAGTGGTAGCTATCCAGACCCATATCCAAGTGATGATATTCCTAAGCTCTAGTTCTAACATCTAGGAATATTAAATTCTCATTCAACAAAGGCTAACTAAATGCAATTTTTTAAACTTGTTATTAATAAATATTTAAAGTTCTAACTCCATCTAACTCCCTGGAAATAGGAGGTTATTGAATTTTTGAAGTTTATTGACTCTTTTAGTCCAAAAAAGATTACTATATATTTTCTGTATTATTGAGCACTTTGTTCAAAGACAATTAGGATTTCCAACTCCTGACGGTTTAGCTTCCTTTCACTTCCACAGTTATATTGCTCTCCCACCCATTTGATGTGTTGGCAAATATGTTTAATTAGACCTTGAGAATCTGAGTAACAGTCAGTCTCTATCAAAATTTCTTCAAAAGTAATTCAAAGAAGTCAGTGGTTGGCAAAACTGTCTTTTTTTCCAGGAGGATTTTTCAGTTTATTTATTCACCCAAAAAGTTTTGATAAGATCATATTTGATACAGGTGCTTTATAATGGTTATGTCTCATATGCCTGAAAAAGGTTGAATTATCACCTTAAAATGACAAAATGCTTCCCATTAACAGTAGTAATATTGATAATTTCATTCCTGTATCCTCTCATTCTCTTCTATTTTTCATAGTCTGACTAAAATTAAATATTACATATTGTCTTGAATGCTAATATGGGTATATTTAGTGCACTGATTTGCTACAGGCTAAAAAGGACCTCTTTTAAGTTATTGCAGCTTAAAAGTATAATCAGAAATGTTTGTAAGCCTTTCTAGTGGCAACATAAATTTAACATGATGTTCTCGAATTACTGCCTTTTTCCACCCTTTGCTCCAAATATTCTTGTGATTAGGTCTAAATTATAACTACTTGATTCAAGAGAATATTTTCCTTGTCAAAAAAGTGACCTTCGTCAAGTGTCAAATAAGTAAATTCTTTGGAAAAGGAATTAATTTTTTTTCTAGGTTTCTTTTCAAGGTCCTGCAGTACCCTTATAATCTCAAATTTTATAAAATGTTATTATTTGCTGTTGCTCAAAATATATCATGTGCCATCTTTAAAATGCCTGAAGATTCTTAAGACTCATATATAATGACTATGTATATATATATATATGTGTGTGTGTATATATTTGAACCATTCTCACTAGTAGCAATTCCTATTTTGTTGAACTTATTTGGAAAATAAAAAATCATTATAAATCAAGCCCAGAGAATAGAGTTATGCTGAAGAGAGAGACATTTGTGGGTAGAAATGAGAAATGGCAATATAAATTATTTTTCTCCATTGCACCATGAACAATCTTTTCCTTAATTTAGAATAAGAAATGTTACATTTAAAAATATCAAAGAAGCCGTTTTTCACACAAAGTTATTCAGAAATAAATATCAACTCCCATTTTTGTCAAAATGCATATTTATAGCAAACTCGTTATTCTTCCTTTAGTGACAGCTTAGGAATTAATCATAAAAAAGGACACATTGCCCCACTGCTTTCTCAAGAAATTTTTTCTTAGCTCATAACATGAGGGTTAATATAATTAATTTATGTCTTTGAATATATCACCCCCAGAATTCAAACTCTGCAATCATTATTTAAATATTAAATTCTGATAGTATACAACACACTAATTATGCTATATCAATAATTACAAATAATTTGGGGAAAATTATAAAACATATTACATGTATTTTACTGGTTAGTTAAAAGAAGCTCTAAGACTTTCTATTTTGGTGATATATTATTTCCTATTATAATTATTAAAAAAATCTGCATAACATTTGGTTATCCTCTTATCCCATCACCAGACATGTCAACATTTTACTTTTTCTCTCTACTCTAGTAATGAAAAATATCCTTTTCACTGCAGAGGCCCTGTTTCCATACTCCATCCTAATCTTGCATATTTTCTAGGTTTAATGTTCACTGTTTACACCATTCATGAGTGATAATGAAAGTGTCCAACATGTAATAATGTGTGGTTTTGCTGAAACCCCAGTTTGAGTCATGCACACCATGAACTGGTATGGTAGAGCAAGTGCCTGGGCCAGTGACAGTGTTTAATGGAGTTCTCAGCGTTTGGATGTCATAGAAAATTTTTGGTTCTTTTCTCCTATAACCTGAAATTCCTGAATTTATTTTTTCAAAGAAAAAAAGAGAACTTTGATTCTTTCTTAATATAATCATAAAATGAGAACTAAAAGTTAGTTGTTACTAGAAAATATATGTACTTTTGACAAAAATTAAATCAACTTCCATAAACCACTACATTTGATTCCTATCATAGTTCCCTAGGATATAGCATTTAGTTAAATTGCTCAGTCCTTGAAATAATTGGATCTTTTGCTTTCATTGGAAATGTGGGGTTGAATTCTTCATCATCAAATTAAAACTGTTTTCTTCATAGCAATCTAATAAATGAATTATATCTGTGTACTCTAGTTGTCCCTAAGAGAATCCTTGGAGGAGCTTTTATGGTGATTCTGAGCAATCAACCCATCACTTGCTCTATCTTTGTTAACTTAATCCATGCTCCCTTTTCTTTTCCTGAAAAATTATTTTTAACTAAATTTTTCCAATATGTAATTAATTTATTTTATCATGAATTATATGCTGAAATTGATTCTGAACATGTTTTAAGCTGGATTCGGTGGAACTTAGAAAATGCTTGACAAAAAAATGGAGTAGGAATGTAAAATGAGTCATTGCTTCTGTATAATAAATTGTTTTTCTTTTTGTCTCTGAATGATGGCAGTAACAATTTATCCAAAGCAGAGAATTTGATGACTTAGTTAACACAGGCTTCTGCTTGGGAACTTCCATGGAGCAGGTCCCATTTTCATCTCTTGAACAAATTTTGTACTTTGGAAAAAAGAATACCCAAAAAAACCCCAGAAAATAAACCCAATAATGATAGCAGAGTAATATATGGTAATAACATTTTCCATAATTTTGATAAAATAGGGGCTAATGATATTGACAGATTTCCCATAGAGATGAAAAAATTATAAACCTGTAGTTATATGTATTTTATAAATAGTACATGTGATTCTTAATACCAGTGATAAATATAATTAATGCTGAAGAACTGTGTAAAGTAGCTATCACTGCGTTCACCAACTGCAAAACCAACTCATTTGCAAATTTTAGAGATTTGCCAGAATTATTTTTGAAATAATTGTGCATAATAATCATCCAGTTAGAAGCTTCTTACACTTCACTGGGTCAGAAAGAAACTGGTAGTAATGTCAATATTGCAGGGGGTGTAAAATTTGGCTTTTGGAAATGTGCATGGATTTTTGTGTTCTACTCCTTAGCTTCATTTTTCTTGCGTGCTTAGGTAGGAAAAAACACCGGCTAAGTTAATCAAGGGAACCTGAGAGCAAAGCCAATATTTGAGGTAAAAAATGGAATTTTTATTTTCTGAAGAACTGAGCAGCAATGTCTTACAGAAATGACAAAATTTTGTTAAAGAGAACTTACAGTGGAATGTTCCAAATAAAGAACATTGCACTGAGGTGCATTTAAAAATGAGGGCTCCAAAATTAGTCTCATCTAGGGATGCTTATTTACATGCAGAAGATTCTAAAAATATTTCAATATTTTTATTTAGAAGTTTATGAAAAGCAAATAAAAACTTTAAGTGACTAATTGATTTAAAAAAAAATTAAATCTGCCTTGCACTCTTTGCTGACAGCTATGGGTGAGAGGATTAGGCATATATGGGACCATGGAACATGGGGAACTTTTTCTCCCCAAAGGGGGAAACTTGAGAGCTGATGGGATTGTTGGAAAAGATCCCTGTGTTACCAGCAAGCGGTAGCCTGAACTTTTGATTCAGTATTAGTGCAATGGGTGGGACTTTCTCTGACTTCCCCAAGTTCCCTACCTTTCCCACCCTGCCATGAGCAATGCTTCTCTCTCTCTCTTTTTGTGTATGTGTGTGTGTGTCTGTGCATGTGTGTAAGTGAAAATGGTAAACATCACTGTTTGTCTCCTCTCCAATGGTTTGGTTAATAGAAAAAAGCATTTGTGAGACTAGTCCTAAGCTTTAGCATATCTGGTGTACTTTGTGCTATTAATTTGTTTTTCTGTGTCATTCTGTCATAAAGAGAGGTACCTTAGGATAATGGGCTTAGGATCCCACAAGCCCGCTATTCAAGATGGTACAGGATGCTGGTCAGTAAGAAGCTTTGCTGCAGGTTCCTGAAACAAAAAACCTGGATGAGGTCTCCATCTTGTTTTATGTCCTTGGTAGGTTGACCATGTAATCATCTGATTGTACTTTCTCTTGGTCTCTGTCATTCAGGGAACAGGAATTTTGGAGTTCATGTTACAGTTAGCTCTAAAATTGTCTTGAGTAGTCAAAAGCCTTTGCAAACTCAAAACCGACTGTTCTTGGCTCCTGGGAAGAGTGATGAAAGTTGCCCAGTGCTTTAGCTTAGTAGCTAACGCTTTTTCTTTTCACAGTGGAAGCCCAGGTTCAGGATTCAATTCTTGGCTTAGAGAATGAGTCCTTTCTGGTTTAATATCAGTGTGACCTTTACCATTTGTTGATTTTCTTCCCCTACAAGAAACATCTTGAATTTTCCTTTATTTGAGATACCTTTGGAGATTCTATATCTGGTAAAAACTGCTAACCACCTGTTTGAAAATACCTCATTCACTTGTGGTTAAGTCATAACCTTAGTTAATGCTTGTTGATTTCACCCAATGAGGTTACTTTCAGTAAGATTTAAAAGCCAGAAATATTGGCTGTTTGGCTGGCTAAAGTAGGGTAATAGGAAAGTTAGATGGATATTTTTTAAAAAGAGCACTATGGTTAAAGGCATGCTTAATGGATATCCAAGCTGTACATGTATGTGAAAGGCCTTTATGTTTTTTCTCTTCTTGAATTTGTTTTTATGGTAAAAATGTTTGGTCTTCTCAGGTAACTGAATTGTTTTTCTTCATTTTGTCTCACCACTCTTGATGCACACCTGAGAGGGCATAAAAGAATTTCTAACAGCTTGGGACTCTTTAGGAAAAAAGAGGAGGTGCCATAGATCCTGTTTTAGAAAATAACCTCTGTTTTCCTTATGAAACACCAGGAATTAAAAGCAGATAGATCCCTCTCAAAATCTAATGCTAAATATACTTTTAGGGATGGCAAATGGTAGTTTTTGACTCATTGCACATTTGGATCAGAAAAGCATGCTCTTGGCCACCCAAAAAGTATGGAAATGTCCCTATCCCCACTGAGATAAGCCTATCATGGGGGATGGGCTAGTCACAGGATGGGCTGATTGGGTTTGGGTTGCTTAGCAATGAAATGAATGGAAAAAGTTTTGCACTGTCTTCTCCCATAGCATTTCCCTCTTTTTGGGGATCCAGGAGGTGATATAAAAATGGGACCCTTAATTTGGGGGATCTGGTTTTTGCCTTCTGGCTGTACCTGCTTATTAGGCCCTAGAAACTATATGCTTTCCTGGCCCTGTTTCTTGAAGGTCTCCACCCCGAAGCCAGTAATCCAATTAAGAAAATTAACAAATGGCAAATTAAAAATCCTACAATACTGGATCTTCCTCTGTCTGTCTGTGTAGTTATGTATGTGTTGTGTGTGTGATATTTATATAAAGCAGCTGTAATTAATTGGCTTAAAGAAAAAAATCAAATATTTTGTTAGAAAAATACAACTAATGCTTTTTAGTTCATGTGAGATCAGTGTTAGGAAATAAAGAGTTTTAAAGATTATTGGTAAAATAAAGACATTTGGTCTAAATTAGGCAGGTCAAATATTAGGTTAGGCCTGGGAACATGTGAAATTAGCCATCCCCTTAGCTATGCTGGTAAGAGTCAGACCTTATCAGCACTTCGGTCTGATGTCCTAGGCTCTAAACTAAGTACATAATTAAAATAGCTTACTAACCAGATTTTTCACCAAAAGTTGCTAAGAGTTAACAGTGTAACATGTACTTGAAACTACTGAAGAAACAATTTTACATGCAAGGTGTGTAAGGAAAGTAAAATGTTCCTTTACTAAAAGATTATAAGAAGGCATGTGAATGTAAATATTTGCCTTGGTTAGAGAGTTAAATAATTATTTTAAATTAGATAGGATAAAGCTAAATGTTTGTGCAGATTGTGGAAAGTTCATGAAAAATTAATTGTTAAAGAGATTCTGTGTATAAACATATTGCCTAAATTTGAAAGAGTATTGCTCATTTTTTTCCCATAAATTTAACATTGGAATAAAAGCATAACAGGGTTTTCTTGGAACACTGATCTGCTCCTTAACAAAAATTTGTAAAGGGTTATAAAATGTTTATGAGAATCTCACCTTATGGGCAAACTGATTAAGATTTGATAGATTATTCTATAAGGTTTTATTAAAAAATGGGATGACATTAATAGTACACTAATGCAAGGGTAAAATTTGGCTTTATATCTTGAATAAGATTTTCATGTGATATTAAAGGATATAAAATATTTTTGTTTACCTTTTCAATAAACTACAGGAAAAAGAAGAGAAAGATGAGACAGATGTTTTGGAAAGCTAAGTCTTCCCTCTATCAAAGAGGAAAGGTTTTTGCCTTTCTTAAAATTTTGAGTTATCATTTTGGCTAAATGAATGACTTATGTTGACCTGGAATTGTATTTTATTATATGAAGTGTTTTAAACCTTTAACACATTTGACAGGCTTCCCAAAATGAAATTTCAGCTTTAAAAGTAAGTCTTTTTTAACCTCTAACATTGAGATGCTGCAAAGGACCCCTGAAGCATCCAAAAGAAAGGTAAACAGAATTATTTGACATGTTAAGTTATATAGGAATCATCAAAATAAAAAATAATGTTTAACCTTATTCTGGTTATATTTTAGTGAATGACATTAATATATATTCCAAAATTATATGAGATTTCTAAAATTCTAATATGTCTGTGGATATCCTATCAATCATAACTATGGTTATTATGTTAAGTTATAGAAGACCACAGAAATAACTAAATTTCCTTGTCAATTATGTCTTTATGATGATTTAAAGTCATTCCACAGTTAATTGCTTAATGCTGATGCAGTTTCTGAAAACTTCACAAGCATGCAAAATTTTAGAATATGCCATCTTTTAGGAGGTTCATGAAAGGATGGAAAAGATCCTGAAAAGCACTCTCAAATACAAGTTTCTGATAACTTTAGAATCATATCTTTTGGACTGCGTAAGAATTCTTGGAACTTTAAAGAAAAGACTGACTGGTTCATAAAACTGCTAACCCAAGTAGAAAAATTAATTGAAGACCAAGAAAATACTTTGCCAGATTTCCATGTCAAATCAGTCAGTACTGAAATTATTTAGATGTACAATGTGAATGAACTCCATAGTTTAAGTCAAATTATCTATTATAACCTATTAGTTATCAGTGCTACTCACCTGAATTGGAGAAACAACTGGTGTTCAAGAGGACATAAGTCCAATGTTCAGCATGGACTCATGGAGAACCAGGATGGCTGCCTTGTCCTTCCTTAGTCCTGGAAGATTTTGTTATGAAAGTTCTGTATTCCATAACCATTATGAAAAACATAAAATGATCCAAATTAAATATATATTGGTGTGGTGACTTCTCAATTACTAAAATCATTTGCAACAAATGTTTAGTTTGTCAAGCACATATTCCTGGGAAGACAATCAAAACTTCAGGTACATTTGGCTACCAGATGGGACATTTAAACATTTATAGAGGGATTTCATTCGATTGTCATTTTTGATGCATGTTTTCTGGTTATATATATGCTGTTCCATCCAAGAACACTGATGTTATCACAGTAGATTATTATGCCACAGTGTGTTTTCACCACGTAAAGACAGCTTTTTAGGGTTCACTGACTGAGGACAATCAAACCCTTCACAATCTAGAACCTGAAGTTTGGATCTTCTGAGAACATCAGAGAAAGATTTCCCTTACCATCCACACTGCAGCAAAACTTCAGGACCTTGAAGCTAAGCTTCATAATCTCACAAGTGAGAAGGGTCCCTCCACACTCTTGAAACTGTACACCCACTGGAACTCTTAAAGTAAAGCTAACCAGGCAAGTTTCTCCCTAGAGGAAGATAGCATCCTTGATGTAAATAGCTTTTTCCAAGATCATGATTCAAGACTTATCTACCGTCATGAGACTCTTATCTTTAAATATTTTTTCCCTTGCTTATTCCTCTATGAACAATAGAAGTGAAAAGGGGGTCTGTTGTGTGCACTTATGGGGTATACTTTTATTTGTGAAGGATTTTGCAGCCAGCCTTATAAATGGATAACCTTATATGTTGATAGATGGAAGATGAAGACCCAATGTAAGTGAAAAATGTTAATGGTACGTACATTGCTTCATAATCAGTCAGAAATAGAATATTAGTTCACTCTTCTTAACCCATATCATGGGTTAAAGAGAACATTGCCAGAGGCCTTCACTATTCTAGAAGGGCATCATTTTTAAGATCCTTTTTTCATTGTTTGGAGTAAAAGAGGCAATTATTAGAAATGTATCTCTCATGATAGACTCTATAGCAGATTTGGCTGTAAAGGCTATGGTTTCACAACAGACTTCAAATTCTCTTGTAAAAGTTATGCTAAATAATATAATTGTTCTAGATTACTTACTGGCTAAGCAGAAGTATCTGTGCAGCTGCTGGCACTTGTGGCCTGTGGAGAAAACATCTAGTATTATAGAGATTCAGTTGTAGGGGATTAATGAAGAAACTGCTTAGTTAAGTGAGTAGATTCTGTATCTAGGTCATTATTTGATCTTTTTTTTTAAGTTGGTTTGGTTTATGGGAACCCTGAGTAAAGAGCATACTCCAAGCTCTTGTTATTATTCTCCTGATAGTCATATTAGTAGTCTCCCTGGTGCACTGTATTCTCTCAGAAGTTTTAAATGTTTGCATGCAGGCATCTCTAGAATGTCAAATGACCTATCTTCAACTGTTATGAAAAAAGCTGAAAGAAATGTGTGGCTTTAAGGACATCGTAACCTATGAATGACATGCTGAGGCTGGAAACCCAAAATAATGGTAACCAACAGTGGCGCTAAGGCCGTAAGTTTTGGTCAAACTATAACCTAAGTTACCTAAGTGGTAACCTGATCAAAAAAGGAAATTTTTTTGAACAGAATTATGGGAGGCCATTGTTTTGGACTGAGCTCATGTACTAGGCCCCAACAGACCAGACCAAACCAAAAATAGAGTCACTCATGTCAAATGTGACATAATCGAATGAAGACTTAAGGAAACACATAGATCCTGGAATAGATCTGGTTTTGTTTTTCTCCTGTAAACAGGACACAGCAGCATAAGGAGGTACCTCTACTCAGTCCTTGTTCCAACCTTGCAAAACCCACTGTTATACTGTTTCCAAGTGGGTTTCAAGGCCAGTGGGTATAGTGACATCAATAACTAAAGTTTTGATCAATCTATCAAAATTAAGAAGACGACCCAAAGATGAGAATTGTTAAATCAAGTTTAGCCTAAAGCTGCTTCCTTACATATTTAAGTTTGGCCTAAAGGTTTCTCTGTATATCATGAACTATAACCAGACTGTAGCCTATACTTGTACCAATAACTGAGTTATGGCCAATCATATGCAGCCAACTGTTCAAACCATGCTCAAATGAGGCAATGTTGAACTGTAACCAATCCAGCTGTTTCTGTACCTCATTTCCGTTTTCTGTACATCATTTTTCTTTTTCTGTCCATAACTTTTCTTCTACCACGTGGCTGTGCTGGAGTCTCTGAGCCTACTCCAGCTCAAGAGGCTGCCCAATTCGCAAGCCATTCATTGCTCAGTTCAACTCCTTTAAATTTAATTCAGCTGAAGTTTTTCTTTTATCAAAGGACATTGTGTGATCTGCTGGCGCGTTTCACTATTTATGAATAACCATTTTGGCTGTGGTGCATTCCCACTTTACTTCTGCAGTGGAAGCCACCTGACATTGCTTTTTTAACTTTATTATTTTTTGTTGGATTTTTCTACCCAGCGATTCCATAATCCATATGATTTACATTTTTGAACAGTAAGCACTCTTGAGAACTCTTCATACTCCTGCATTGAGGAAAGGGATGTTTGAGCTTTTTAATAGTGGCAATTATACATGGCTGATAAACCAACCAGAAATTGTGCTTTATTGCTACACATTCCAGTTGTTATTATGGATAAATTATTTAAGGAACAAAGAAAGAGTTCCAGCTTGCATGACGTCAGAGCCCACTCATGAGATGGGTCATTGTTGGTGGAAGAGGGAGAAAACCTATAGTCAGCTAGTAAGTGGCAGGCTTGAACAGAGAATATAACTGGAAGAGAAAGTCAGAAGTCATTTTTTTTAAATGTAGGTTTTACTGTGTTTTTCATTATAATGTTCCTGATATTAAAAATAGTGCTTTTTTAATTTGCAAAATTTTGTGGTCTTACCTATAAGTGACAGTGATGAATTTTTAAAGGCATCTTTCCATGAGGTGGTTCGATTCTATATAACCATTGCTTAGGAGTTCTTTTAAGAGTCTTCCAAGCTTGGTATCATTTATAATATTAGGAGTCATCTTATTTAAACTTCCAAGTACTTCTCAGAATTTCGTATTGATTCCATCTACTTATAAACTGATTTGGTAGATTGACGACAGTATAACATAATATTCTTCAATGTCAAATTTGTTGAGGGAATCCTTACCAACTGCCAAGCTTGTTATAATTCCAGATGGGTTTATAGATACTTTGAAATTCTGTTATTGATATGTTCAATTCTTTTGACCATTCTTATGATTCAAATAATCTGCATGTAACTTTGGACCCATAATTATAGTTTAAAGTGTAATTTAAATGTTACAGCATTTAAAACTGAAGAAATGATAAATGATAATAAAAAGCATAACAGTCAGCCATTTTGGAGTTTTTTTTTTCCTATTGTGGAACACTTGAATTTAAAAAATTAAAATATGTATTTTTAAACTCTGGAACTATTTCTAAATTAATGAGGAACAAATTTGCTATGAAAGTTTAACAATTTTATAAGTCGTTTTAAAGCAATGATAATAAAAGAAAAATATATTGTTACTATGTGCCAGGCTTATTTTCCAAAACACTTTTTCTGTGAGCATCTGTGACTTTGAAAAAGCCCCACATTCCACCTTCCCTTCTGTGTGAACAATAAATTTATGCCTTTGCATGCAAAGCCTTCTTGCCTGATATAAAAGCAGTGTGTCATTGAGGTTAAGAACATGGGCTTTGAGTCAGGATGGCTATTATTAAAAAAATTAAAAAATCACTAATCATCAGAGAGATTGTAATAAAAACCACTATAAGATACCATCTCACACCAGTCATAATGGCTATTGTTAAAATGACAAAAAATAACAGATGCTGGTGAGGTTGTAGAGAAAAGGGAATGCTTATACACGGTCAGTGAGAGTGCAAATTTGTTCAACTATTGTCAAAAACAATGTGGTGATTCTTCAAACAGCTAAAAACAGAACTTCCATTCGATCTAGTAATACCATTACTGGGTATATACCTAAAGGAATATAATTTCTTTTACCGTAAAGACACATGTATGTGAACGTTCATTGCGGCACTTTTCACAATAGCAAAGACATGGAATCAACCTAAATGCCTATCAGTGACAGAATGGACAAAGAAAACGTGTCACTTATACACCATAGAATACTATGCAGCCATTAAAAAATGAGATCATGTCTTTTTTCGGGAACATGGATGGAGTTGGAGGCCATTATTCTTAGCAAACTAAGGCAGAAACAGAAGAACAAACACTGCATGTTCTCACTTATAAGTGATAGCTAAATGATAAGGACACACGGACACATAGAGGGGAACAACAGACACTGGGGTCTACTTGAGGGAGGAGGGTGGGAGAGGAGGGAGAGAATCAGAAAAAATAACTAATGAGTACTAGGCCTAGTACATGGGTGACAAAATAATCTGTACAGCAAACCCCCATGACCCAACTTTATGTATATAACAATCTTGAACATGTACCCCTGAACCAAAAATAAAAGTTAAGAAAAAACAAAATTGGCTTTGACAAGCACTCAAGTGCTTCTGTTGTCCCTCAGTATCCTTTTCTGTGAGCAGTGGTAACAATACCACTCTATAACTTGCTGTGAAGTTACAAGGATTATATCATATGATACATCTAAAGAACTTAGAATATGCCTTACATATCTGTGTGCATTTAAATAATGGTGATTATTTTTAAATTATATTTTTTCCATGGGTGTTAATTGCTTTGCATATTTTGAAGGAATTTACCACATCAGGGTTCTAGTTTCTGAATTAAAATAATTTACTAAATTTCCCAAATTACGTATCTCAAAATCAATGTAAGATTGGTCTATAGGAAATGTATTCTGGATATGTTTCTTTTCACAAAAAAAAACAACCATTTTAACAGTCCAGCTATGTAAATGCCTTTTATTATTTTCCCAGATCCAAATTACTGTTTTAGAAAGATTACATTCATTTATACTGTAATTTTGCATTCTCCAGAGCAAATGATCATATACTTTCAAGGTGAAATATTCCATTTTTATAAATAATTTTAATTTTAATTTTAGACTCAAGGGGTACTTGTGCAGGTTTGTCACATGGGTATATTATATGATGCTGGGGTTTGGGGTACGCATCAATGAGCATACAATTCAAAAGGTAGTTTTTCACGTTTGCCTTCCTCCCCTTTTTGCCACTTCTAGCAGTCCTCAGTATCCATTGTTCCTATCTTTATGCCCATACATACCCAATATTTAGCTCCTGCTTAAAAATGAGAACATGTGGTATTTGGTTTTCTGTTTCTGTGTCAATTCACTTAGGATAATCACCTATGGCTACATCCATATAGCTTGAAAAGATATTATTTCACATTTTTAATGGCTGCATATTATTCCATGATATATAGGAATCACATTTTCTTTCTTTTTTTTTTTTTTCCGAGACAGAGTCTCGCTCTGTCACCCAGGCTGGAGTGCAGTGGCGCAATCTTGGCTCACTGCGAGCTCCGCCTCCAGGGTTCACGCCATTCTCCTGCCTCAGCCTCCCGAGTAGCTGGGACTACAGGCACCCACCACTAAGCCTGGCTAATTTTTTGTGAGGAATCACATTTTCTTTATTCAATATACTGTTGGTGGGCACTTAGGTAAATTCCATGTCTTTGCTATTGTGAAAAGTGCTTCAATAAACTTACAAATGCTTGTGTCTTTTTTTATACAACAATCTGTTTTCCTTTGGGTGTGTACCCAGCAATGAGATAACTGGGTCAAATGCTGGTTTTTTGAATTCTTTGAGATATCGCTAAACTTCTCTCCACAGTGCCTGAACTAATTTACATTCCCCCCAATAGTGTATAAGCATTTCTTTTTTCTATAGCCTCACCAGCATCAATTATTTTATGTCTTTTTAGTAATAGGCATTGTGAACGGTATGAGATGGTATCTCATTGTGGCTTTGATTTGCATTTCTCTGATAATTAGTGATTTTGAGCATTTTTTCATGTTTGTTGGCTACTTGTATGTCTTCTTTTGAGATGTGTCTGTTCATGTCAGCTTTGTCCAGGTTTCAATTATTTTGTTGTTGTTGTTGTTTACTTGTTGAGTTGTTTAAGTTCCTCAAAGACTCTTTATAGTAGGCCTTTGTTGGATGCAAGGTTTGTGAACATTTTCTCCCATTCTGTGAGTTGTTTTTTTACTCTGTTGAAAAATATGAAATGCTTCACGAATTTGCGTGTTATCCTTGTTCAGGGGCCGTGCTGATTTTCTCTTTATGATTCACAATTTTAGTATACGTGCTGCCAAAGTGAGCACAGCTATTCCATTCTGAGGGGTAAAGAATCAGAGTAACAAAGGATGAAAGTGCCTTGAAACAGTCCAGGAAGCTGCCTGAGAGGAGAGTGTGGTCCTCCAGCTGTGGTTCATGCACAGCTACTCCTTCTTCCTGGTTTTTCTGCTTAGTCTGAAAGATGTCAAATGCATTTTATTACAATCAATGCTTCTCTTGACAGTTTTCATAACTGCAATTAAAATGTACTTTTTAGTATTTACATGAACACTTTCCATTTTTCAATCTATCCCAGTCAAGATATTTCCAAAAAAAATCAAATTTTACTCATTTTTATTACTTAATTATTTTTATGTTGATAATATCTGAGAAAATGTGTAGGTATTTTTATATTCCTATATACGTTAAAGTTGACTATAATGTGAGAGAAAGCAACACATATTTATGATTGAAAAATTGAATCATGATATTTACAAATGGGAGCAAGTTTATAAGACCAAGTCATCCTCCACAGTTAAAAATGTACCTGGAAAGTTTGAAAATCATATAAAAATCTATATTAAAAATTTCAAACTTGTTCTCAGTTGGAAAATCTTTTTAAAAATCTAATTTTGGATAATCCCAATATATTAGAGGAAAATAATCTCTATCATTGAAGTAGTGGAATGTAAAACTTAAAAGAAGTAGACTCTAAAAAAGACTTTGTGATAACAATTTGGCTAACTATTTAAAAATGCAAAGTTTCATTAAATGACATTTATATTTATTGTTGACATTAAAAACAACTTTTCTTGCACAGAAATATAAGTTATTTGAAAAACATTGCATGTATACAAGTTGTGACTAATGTTTTGGGCATTTGTAAGGTATCTAATATTTGACCATTGCCAGATTATTTATTCTTATGTACTTTATTGAAAATAAAGCAACTGTAAGAACTTTATAGGTGTTATAGAGAGTATAAGGATGGAATAGACATGACATCTATCTTAAGTATGTTATAGCAAAAAAATGAATAAGTAAGTACAGAAATAATTATGACACAAAGTATAAAAGGTGGAAAAATAAAATATTAGTTTCAGAGGACAAAAGTGATTCTATTTAGATATTTAATTTTAGCTAGGTCTTTAAATTGATATAGGGAAGTCTATATAAAGATAGAAAGATACTTTGGGCAAATAAGTAGGAAGAAAGAAAAGGTTTGGAAGTATGTAACCATGTGGGGATTTGAAAATATTTCACTTAGCAAAAATGGAATTATTGTGGTAAACCTATGAAGAGAGCTTGAAATTAAATTACAGAGAGCATTAAATGATAGGCTAGGGAATTGTGACTATTTTGTATTCAATAGGAAGTAAATTTAATTGTATCTTTTAAAATGTTTTAATCATACTGTTTTCCTTTGTTGGAAAATGATACACATTCATTGTACAATAGTGAGAAAATAAAAATAAACAAAAAAAGGAAAATTGCTCCCTATAGATCTCTGTGGTCACTTTGCTTTTCTCATCTTCTTCAGGGCTCTCTTCAAATGTTACCTTATCAAAGAGGATTATCCTGACCACTCTATTTAAAATATAGTAAGCTCCACCTATCCTGTATTTCCAAACCAATAATTCACTTCGTTTTTATTTACTTTAGTTATTGTTGATGGACATGCATTTGTGTACTTGTTATTGTTTTTTTGTGTGTATTTTTCTGTGTGTCATTTATTGAGAAATTCAGGAGGATGTAACTTTTATTCATTTTTGTATTACCAATATGAATAAAGTGTATATTGTAGTTGAAGTTCAATAAATATTTTTAATAAGTGAAAAATAAAGTCATAGTGTACTTACTGATTTATTTGCTTGTCTATCACACATATAAATTATTTAAAATGAGCCAGGTTACGATGTACTGGTAATACAGTGATGAAAGCAACAGACTAGATTTCCAGCTTTCATATATGTCTGGTTCCTGTACACAATGTTACTGCACACAACTCGAATGTCTGAAAAATTACCTACTGCTATTCAGAACCTTACAAATAGTAGATATTTTTGTTTTAGTTCATTACCATACATTTGGATGTAATAATAGTAACAAATTTAAGGATAAAAAACACTAATCCTTACTTAATATTAGAGCCATTAATATCATCTTTGCAAATATGCCAACCGTCTAATGTCTGAGAATAATCAGCAACTTTTTAATATGTATATGTTGCATAGTGTATTCTCTTTACTTACAGAGTTTATCACCCATACCTCCTCATTAAGGGCTTTTAAGATTTCAGTTAGTTGTGTTAAAATTGTTGAAAAGATTATAATGTATTCAGGCTTAACTTATTTCCAGAGATATAATCTACACAATGTGAAAAGACTTCAAGCAGAGATATATTTCCTAAGTATTGGAGTAGTTCATCAGTGTGAACATACCACTATTTATTAATTCCTGCATTTGAACACCTCCAATATGAGCTATAAGGATGATGGTTCTTTGGCCTCCTCTATTTGGAAAGAGGGCCCAGGTCATTTAGGTTGGTATCACAGTTCTCTGGTGTGGAGGAACTAAAAGATGGTTATATTTTGCATGAAGATGGTGAATATCTGCATGCATACTAACTTTTTTCATTCTGCACACATGCCAGAAATAGCATCACAATGCTTTCCCAATGAACACAGGCACTTCAGAGTCACTCTCCACAACTACTACACATCTACCAGAGTTGATATGTGGTATGTGACTTGAAACTTATATTCCCCTTCTTTTCTGGCTAGGTTACTCGATGATCTTGACTATATGATAGTCAAATTATCTGTTTGGTTCATTTTCATTATCAACAGAGTCTATTCTGGATGAGTTATTTGTGGTGGAATCTCATAAAGTAATATCAAATGAGTAGGAGGAATTTTATACCAGTTAAATATGTGATATAATTATGACAACCTAGTTATAAGTTCTGGGAAGTATTTCCAAATTTAGTATAATGTTATGGAGGAAATTGTAACACTTTGGAATTGAAATAAACCTCATATATCACCTAATCCAACGTTTTCATTTTTTATGAGGAAGCGGAGCTTTAGAGAAGTTCAGTGGCTTTTCCACAGGTTCACAGGTAAAGAATGGCAGAGTGTTGTGTGCCTATTATAACATTGCATGATCTATAATAGTACCAAATAGCAGTTAGAAAGCCTGGACTATATACAATGATTTTTCAGTCCTTATATTTGAAAACTGCATTATCTCAGACTATGACACAAATTTAAACTGAAGGCTTAAATTAAAAGTGATCTCAGAACAAATTGAATGCACTTGGAAATATGGATTCTGCTCAGGCCTTCAAAAGTATTAGACAGGAGTATGATGAATGCTGGAATTTCATGTAATTTCTCAGACAGAAATGACACGCTATTGTTACTTAATCTGCTACACATGAATTGGCTAAAGTTTAGTCTTGTGCTCATTAACATAATTTGTAATTGTTTCCAAACAGTTAATATTCATTTATTTATTATTTTTTTCACACATTCCCTAACTGTAGTACTTACCTTCATGGTTTTGTCCATTTGGCACATTTTAGAATATTTGTTAGAATTAAATAAGTATTTATGAAGCTTTATAAAGATTTAAAAACTATATGTCAGTTTGTAAATAACAGTACTCAAATATGTCTTAGTCTGAGGGATTTCAATTTAAGATGATAGTGTGATATAAAAAATAAAGGAAGAACATTTTTCTCTCCACAACATGTACTTTCCTGTATCAACATGTGTTCCCACATTCAAATGAAATATGTTGTCTTAAAGTGTTGAAATAAAATTGTAAACATCTGAAAATTATAAAAATGCAAAGCATGAGAAAAATTAACACAAAATATGAAAGTTCGTTCAGTTTCTTCTTTCGGAACTGTCTGCAAAATGCATCAGGATAGAAACCTAATATAATGTTAAATTCTAAATGCTCAGCCTATGTGATATGCCCCCAAACTGTCTACTTTCCTCCATCTGCATTGCCACTATTAGCTCTCAGCTTTCCTATTGCAATAATATTTTAAGATATATTTTTCTAAGATTATTCCCCACCCCTTTTAATCCACTCTTCTTTTGGCATTCAGATTCATTTCTGCTCTTCTCTCACTTAAAACTATCCCATGGATTCCCACTGTCCTGAGAGCAAAATTCAGAATCTACCATGTATTTCTCATACGGTCCTACATTAAGCAGCCTCTATTTACTTCTCTGACTTCATCTAGTAACCATTTTCTTTCCTTCACCATGCTCCAACACTAGCCTTCTTGTTTTTGTTTGTTTGTTTGTTTGTTTTGGTTTGGTTTTTTTGGAATTGTCAAGCCCCTTCTTTTCCCATGAACTTTGTACACACTCTCCAAGATTTTCTTGGCATAGACTTCTTGTCATTCACATGTAGATTAAATGTTTCCTCCTCGTAGAAGCCTCCTTGGTCATCCTATCTGAAGTCATGTGCACTGTTATCTTGCTTTTTCTTCAAAACATGTATCTCAATGGAAATTATCTTGTATAATTATCTATTAATTGTTAATTATCTGTCTCTTCATGCCTTAATTAAGCTCCACAATAGAAGAACTTTGTCTGCTATATATACAGGTATACCTCATTTTATTTTGCTTCACTTTGTTGTGCTTTGCAGATAGTGTATGTTTTACAAATTCAAGGTTTTTGGCACCCCTGCATTTTGCAAATCTGTTGGTACCATTTCTTTCCAACAGCACGTGCTCACTTAGTGTTTCTGTGTCACATTTTGGTAATTCTCCCAATATTTCAAAATTTTCATTGTTATATTGGTTATGGTGATCTGTGATCAGTGGTCTTTTGATGTTACTATTACAATTGTTTTAGGGCACCACAAACCATGCCCACATAAGACAGCAAACTTAACTGTCAAATGTATTGTGTATTCTGACTGCTCCACCAACCAGTTGTTTCCCCATATCTCTCCCTCTCTTTGGATGTCTCTATTCCTTGAGATGCAACAATATTGAAATTAGGTCAATTAATAATTCTACAATGGTCTGTAAGTATTCAAATGAAAGAAGAGCTGCAGGTCTCTCACTCTAAATCAAAACGACTTAAGAAATGATTAAGTACAGAAAGCAATTCAAAAGCTCTCAGGGCCAAAAGTTAGGCCTCTTGTGCCAAACAGAGAAGTTGTAGATGCAAAGGAAAAGTTTTTGAAGGGTTTTAAAAGTGCCTCCTACTCCAGTGAACATATGAATAATATGAAAGTGAAACAGCCTTATTGCTGATATGGCGAAAGTTTTAGTTATCTGGATAGCAGATTAAACAAGCCACGACATTCTCTTAAGCTAAAGCCTAATCCAGAGCAAGGCCATAACTCTCTTTAATTATTTGGAGTCTGAGAGAGGTGAAGAAGCTGCAGAAGAAAAGTTTCAAGCTGATAGAGATTTATTTATGAGGTTCAATGAAAAAAGTCATCTCTACAACATAAAAATGCAAGGTGCTGCAACAGATGCTGATGTAGAAGCTGTAGCAAGTTATCCAGAAGTCTAGCTAAGATAATTGATGAAGGTAGCTAAGATAATTGATGAAAAGCAGTAGATTCTCAATGGAAATGAAATAGACTACTATGGGAAAAACATGCCATCTAGGACTTTCATAGCTAGAGAGGAGAAGACAATGCTTGGCTTCAATGTTTCAAAGTATAGGCTGACTCTCTTTGTAGTGGCTAATGCAGCCGGTAACTTTAAGCTGAAGCCAGTGCTTGTTTACCATTCCAAAAACTCTATGGTCCTTCAGAATTAAGGCAAATCTATTCTAACTATGCTCCATAGATGGAAAAATGAAGCCTAAATGACAGCACATCTGTTTACAGCATGGCTTACTTAATATTTTAAGCCCATGGTTGAGATCTGCTGTTTAGAGAAGAAATTCCTTTCAAAATATTATTGCTCATTGGCAATGCACCCGGTCACCCAAGAGCTCTCATGGAGATTTCATTAATGTTGTTTTCATGCCTGCTAACACAGAATCTGTTCTTCAGCCCATGGATCAAGAAGTAACTTCTACTTTCATGTCTTGCTATTTAAGAAATACATTTTGTAAGGCTATAGCTGCCATAGGTAGTGATTTCTCTGATGGATCTGGGCAAAGTAAATTGAAATCCTTCTGCAAAGGAATCACCATTCAAGATACCATCAGGAACATACATGATTCATGGGAAGAGGTCAGAATATCAACATTAACAGGAGTTTGAAAGAAGTTTATTTCAACTTTCATAAATGACATTCAGGGTTTTAATACATTACTGGTGAAAGCAACTGGATATGTGGTAGAAATAACCAGAGAACTGGAATTAAAAGTAGAGCCTGAAGATGTGACTGAATTCCTGCAAGTTCATATTAATCTTGAATGGATGAAGAGTTGTTTTTTATGGAATAGCAAAGAGTGGTTTTGAGATGGCATCCACTGCTGGTGAAGAAGTTAGAAACGTTGTTTAAATGAGATAAAAAGATTTAGGCTATTACAGAAATTGAGTTGATAAAGCAGTTACACAGTTAGAAAGGATTGACTTGAATTTTGAAAGAAGGTCTACTGAGAGTAAAATGCTATCAAACAGCATCACATGCTATAAAACAGTATTTCATAAGGTGAGGAGTCAATCAATGTAAAAACTTCATAGTGTCTTATAAGAAATTGACACAGCTACCTCACCTTTCAGCAACCACCACCATGATTAGTCAGCAGCCATCAACATTGAGGCTGGAGCCACTACCAATACAAAACATTATGTACAATTAGCTGAAGGTTCAGTTGATCATTAGCATTTTTTAGCAATAAAATATTTTAAAATTAAAGCATGGACAGTTTTAGGCATAATACTATTGCACACACAATAGACTCCGGTATAGTATAAACATAACTTTTATATGTATCAAGAAACAAAGAAGAGTCATGTGAATCACTTTATTGAGATATTCACTTCATTGCAGTGGTCTAGAAACCAAACTCACAATATCTCTGAGGTGTGTCTGTACTACTGTAACTTAGGATCTATATCAGTGCTTAGCACATATGAAACACTCAACTATTTCTTAATATTTGTAGTGGATATCACCATCTCCTAATCCTTAAATTTTATTCCACTGCCCTGTGAAGTAAATCTATGTAGGAGTGATGAAGTGTGTAGTTTTAGAAATAGTACAGAAAATTATTGTTTTAACATTTGATATTATCATTAATACATTTTCATAATTGTTGATAATGGACAGAGGAGGAGAGTAAAAACATTGATAAGTTATGTCAAAAAGTAACTCCTGGTTCTTCTTTTTTTGTTATTGTGTGCAGGTTATACAGACAAATGATCTTTTGGAAGCTATATTTACAAGGAACATAGTGGTAGAGAAAGGTCAGGTCTTCCAGCTGAGTAGCTTGAAAGGAAAAAAAATGCAATTTCTTTTCCTTACTTTCTGGCAGTTTTTCCTTTTAATATTTTTTTCTGTTGTATATATATTTTCAGTTTGTCAGATGTAATTTGTGAGTCATTATTATATTTAGAATACAATTCGATTCAAGGACTGCATGAAATGGAGAATCACACTATTAGGTAATCAGAAAACCATTATAATAGCGTATTTTCACAAACTTAAAACATTACTCTTCAAAAGAAAATTAACTTTCAAACAACATTTTTTTGTATTCTGTGTTATGAATACATAATTTTTTAAGGCCTATGATTACTAATGTTAAGACAAGGTCATCTCTCACACATAAAACTTACATAGTCAGTTTTCCACTCTTGTATTTGCTTTCTCTAAGGACTGACAAAGAGAACACTGGATTCTTTAACAGATACTACAACCTCCTAGTTATTTTGAAGCTTTCTAACATTATCAAAATTCTGCATGTATTAATTTGATTAAATGTTATTTTTTGAGGTAATATTGTGTTATTAATTTGAATAAAACATTTATTGAATCCAGACAATGAGCATAATATTTAACAAGTGACATAAACAGCATGAACATGCATATTTTGCAAAGAAAACCTCATAATCATTTTAAGGTTGAAAACAATTTTGTGAATGTTTATAGGAGAGAGAAATGCATGTACAAAGAAATTGTAAATTATTGAAATACTTGTCTGGGTTTTCATGAAAGAGGACTTTGGGGCAGTTTTCGTTAATTTGTTTCCTTGTTTTATTATTATGTTGATTATTTCAGTCTTGAATCATGTAAATAAGCATTTTAATTTTCCAGTGTATATTTCTGCCATGTATAAGTAAATTGCAAAAATCTTCTGGGTTCCCGCTCAGTGCAGTGATCTGTGTTAGAAAAAAGTGATTATGATATATTCAGTTTCATCTCATGATAAATTAGTTGTATTTAAATATGAAGTGAGGGAAAATTCACAGAGTGATAATGTTAAAATTGTAGTACAAATTTTCAAAAATTATAGGATACTATAAAAGTGGATAACTGTGAGTGTTAGTAATGGAGATCTCTTAGGATGAGATCTTGAAGATCTCTGAGAAGTTGAAATTTAAGTGGAATCTGGCATAACGAGAGAAAGTGAGCCATGTCTACTTCTGGGGAGAAAGCATTCTAGGTAGAAGAGCCAACAATTTAAAGTCTCTAAGACAGTAAAGCTATGTACAGACTCAAGGAGCTACATGAAATGAGGGTGGCTGGACCATAGTGAGTGAATAAGAGAGTGCTGGATGAGATTGTGTAGATTAGTAGAGCCCACAAAGATCTGTTGGCAATTGTAATATGTTTAATTATATATATATATATGTGTGTGTGTGTATATATATATATATGTGTATATATATGTATATATACACACACACACACACACACATATATATATACACACATGTACATCTATATATATATACATATATATGTGGGTGTGTGTGTATACACCTATATGTATTCAGGTATATATAATACTCCAAGACTTCTGTAGAGAATGGATTTGAATGAAAGGAAAAAAAATTTAGAATAATACCAAGATCTTTTACAAAAGAAATCATAGTGTCTTGGTATAGGATTGTGGCAGTGGATATAGAGGAAAGTGAATGGGCTCCCATTATACATCTGTGGTAAAGCATAACTTGATGCAAGTTGGGAGTAGAAAAGAATAAGTTGAATATATTTCACCGAAGCCACTCAAAGATTAGAAGAGTACTTGATTGTAGTGGTTAAAGTCAAGAGTTTAGCTCTGAGCAGTTTGAGCTCAAATATGAAGATATATATATCTAACAGGATCAACTGTAGATTGAGAAACAAATCTGACATTCATTTTTTTCTTATATCATGAGAATTAGACCATCTGCAAAAGCAATATATAGAGAGAAGATGGGGCCTGGAGCAAGAAATAACATCTTGAGATCTGGCTAACATGGAGAAATATGCAAAGCAGTGTGTGAAGGAGCAGGCATTAAATATGTGGACAATCAGAATTATACGTTGTTATAGAACATGAGAGAAAAAACAGTTTATAAAGCACAGAATCATCTGTTTTAATGCTGCTATGTTATTAAATAAATATATAAAAATATACTTACGGCTTTGAAAACCTGAAGGTTGTTAGTAATTTCATTTGAAATAGATTCACTGAAGCACTTGGTGAAAATCTCTTGGAGTGTTATGAGGAGTGAATGCAATATGACAAAGTGGGGAGGAGAGATGTATGCAATTTTTTGGAGAAGTTGATGGGAGTATTTTGTTAACGAATAATATAAATTCAAGAAAAGCTAAGGTAAATTGACCCGAGAAATGATAGAGCAGTTTTATATGGTGATGAGAATAATCTAATAGGGAGATGCTGATAGTAAGGAAGAAAAAGGAAAGACCATGGAAATAAAATACTTTATTGACTCTAATGGAGCAAAAGATCTCCCTATCATAGGAAGATAAACATTTGGTTCATTGAAATAGAAGGGAGGATGCTGAAGCAGAAAACAGACACTGGAGTGTTTATAGATTTTGTCATGGGGAGATGAATGAGCCCTATTCTAAAAGTTTGTGTTTTCTCAAGTATGTAAAAAGCAAGGTCAATGGCAGAAAGTAAGAGGGGGACCGATTTAGAGGGATGAGACTCTAGGAGACAGAGCTCCTTAAATAAATCTGAATTCATAATGACATTAGTCATTATTTAACACCCAATTTCATGATACTGTCTGATGACATTTGGCCATGCAGACTGTTAGCAAACTTGACTGTAGCAGATCCACCGAGGTGGAAGGCAGATGGGCTACAGCAGTGTGGGCATAAAGAACATGGCATGAAAGGCTAAATTGACCCAGTTGTACTAGATGTTTTAAGGTTGGGCCACAGTGGTCTAGAAGTCACAAAACTATTAGCACCCTGGGTGTGATTGCCTCTACTACGATCTCGATATATTTAAGCTGCATGCCTCCAGAATTATTAATGAACTATCTAAAAAGAATCAATATATTCTAAGTATCACTGCTTCTGCTTCTACACATTTTTTCCTATACTTGCAACTTCCAACCTTCCCTGAAAATACCTGGGAGTTTGAACTAGGAAAAAAAAGTGTGTATGTACATGTATATGGTGATCCAGTTTTTTGTATTGTTTTACTCCTCATTTCTGCAACTTCATTAAAGTTTTTCTCCACATTCTGGCATATTATTTTAAATCATTTCTCTAAATAACTGATGAGAACTTTGCAGCATTCAATAATCAGATTGCTGCCTGTTTATTTCTTGTTTGTTTTCATTTAGGCAATTGTAATTTTCATCTGAATATGTTTTTTACTAATGCCAGGTGGCTTCTATTGCATAGATTCAATGCATTTGCATATTTGAAAAAAATGGATTTTTTTCTCCCTGTTTTCTCTTTTTCCTTTGGGTACTATTACTTGATAGAGAAATGTTGACTCAGCTCTTCTCAGGGATAATTTTAGGAACACTGTGACAGAGCCTCCATTTTGAATATTAAATACTCTCTGGCATATCATGGCTGGGAATGCTTTCTGAAGCTTTATTTGTAAGATAGCTGAAGAATTACAAAGTGCTTAAAATTACTCAAGTCCTTCACTTTTCCCTATTTGCATTCTCTCCTAAGCCTTGCTTCTCTAAACTTGGAAATTTTCTGGGCTCTGTTGGAGAATATTCTTAAATCACAGGCTAACCCATTCCTTGTCCACACTGAACTGGGCTCATATTTCTTCTTCTCTCAATCTGATCCTATCTACAATTTATCTTCCAGAAAGTTTATCTTACTAGATATGCAATCTATTCTACTTGATGCAATAATTGTCTTCCTCCTAAATGGTCAGGTAAAGAGAAATTGGGTTAACATTGCTTTTGTTATTATCTATTGGTTTTATTTATTTTCTTCTGATGTGTTTGAAAGGATAAGAGCTACTTTTGTAATTTGGCTGCTGACAAATTCCAAAAATTTTTATAGATTATACTAACACATATATAGATTAAATGAGGTAATGATATCACGTTTTTCACTATTATGTAGGATATATTTGCAACATTGAGTTTTATTCTGAATGGCATATGTAATAACAAGAACATTGACAAAGTGGACTACATAGAAGTTGGTGTTTGGCATAGTTGAGGATAAGGCTGCCATTACTTGTGAAGAATTGCTAAATGAAGTAGGAAGGTCTGAGATAGTTATATGAGTGTGTGATAAGAATGAGAACTATGATGACAGGCTGAATATTACTTGAAGCTAAATTTGTCTTAATAGATGAAAACACATGATAAACATTGGAACTCCCCAGCATTAAAAATGAGCTGTTTTAGAATGGTGAGCTCTTTGTACTGGAGGGCATTCAATCAGGGGCTGTGCATCTATCAAGTATGATGTGGAAGTAATTCTTTCACTAGAGAGGTGGTTGGATTGATGTTCCTTTCAAATCTAATAGCCTACGATTTTGTGAGGGTCAAATTGAAAACACTATCACTTAAAGGATTACCTAGTATTTTCTGAGATATATCAATATTTGCTATTTTGAACCTAGAAAAACAATAATGGTTTATAACCAGAAGGACATGACAGATTGCAAATAACATAAACTATAAGAAGAAATAAATACTCAATATAAAAAGCAAAGAAAACACAGACTACAAACTAAATAATAAAATCCAAAAGAAATATTAAAACAGTTGATATAAGTTGACTGAAAAAAGAACTAATCTCTTTCAGGTAAATAAGGTAAAATCATCCACTTAAGATGAAAGATCATTTAAATTAGAATATAAAGCAAAACTTAATCACATATTATTTGTAAGCAACACATCTATAACAATGACTTGGAAAAGTTAAAAAAAGTAAAGAGCAAAGCTAAATGAATAAAAGTAAACAAAAATTCACACTCAAGGAAATTAGGGGTCACCTTCTTAATGGATTATATGAAATTAAGAACAAAAACATTAAAAATGATAACAATACATAGTATAAATCAAAATGATTATATATCTGTTATGAATATTTGTGCTCCAAATAATATCATACTATTCATTTGCTTATAGAGCTCTTTTCATATGTCAGCCAATATTCTAGGCTTTAAGGTTATATAATAAACAAAAAGAACACACTTTATTTTCTCATAAAGCTGATACCCTTACTGGAAAAATAGAAAATGAAGGGAATGGATAGTATTATGAAGAAAATCTGACACTGAAGAAGGTAGCACATCTGACTAAGACTTTATTTCATGTCTCTTAATGCATGACAATTCAAATAAACAAAAAGCAATTAAAAATATAGAATGTTTAAATAATAACAAAGTAGAACTAATTTTTATATATTGAATTCTATATCCTAAAGGCAGACAACAAACTGCTTCTTCTCTCAAATGTTCAAGGAACGGACACAAAATTTAAGAATGCCTCAGTAATAAACATGGGAATATGACACAACTATTTTCTGTTTCTAACGTTAAAAAAAGTTTATAATATGTTTAAGTTAGGAAAAATATATTATTGTATGAAACAAATAAATAAAATTTTAGTATAGACAGAAATTTTGTTTTAGGATATACACAGGATATAAAATTTTCAAAGATAGAGATATTAATAGAAATGAAAATACTACATATTCAAAGCCAATGAGATTTTATTGAAGCAGCCATATACTGAAATAAATGAATTTAGCACTCAACGTAAGTGTTATAAACAAGAAGCAATAAACTTAGAAAAAGCCTAAAAGCAACAAGTTTTGGACAAATATCAAATGAATATTAATAGATTGAATTAAAATGGAAGAATCAGTAAGTTCATATATGAATTGGTTCATTTTACTAACAAAAAGTAAATGTGAACTCACCGAACAAAGAAAAATGTAGAAATCATAAATAGTATAACATTATAAATGAAAATACAAAAATAATCACAGATAAAAGATATTACAATTTATAAGAAGTCATTTTGTTCAATACTCTGTATAAAAATTGATATCATTGATGAGGAAGTGTAGAATATTTAATCAGACAAATTCACCCAGAATTTATAGAGAATGGCTCTCTATATCATCTTAATTCTTGCTATTTTTCTGATATTATCTCCTACCTTTTTTCCTCTTTGCTCTCAGGCTGGCCCTCATACTACTTTTTGTGCAGAAAGCAAGGCCTCACCTCAGGCTTAGGACATTTGCACCTCCTGGTCTTTCTGACTTGGAACATTCTTTCCACTGATAGCCACTGCATTCCCTTATTGCCTTAACTTTTAAGCTCAAATGTCATCCTATCAGAGAGACTTTTTCTAACCACCCTATATAAAATATACCCCACCTCGTATCTCTGTTATGGATTGAATGTTTGTGTCTCCCCCAGTTCTTATGTGGTTGCCCTAACCCACAATGTGACAGTAATTGGAGGTAAGATCTGTGCGAAAGTGATAAAAGTTAAATGAGGTCTGAAGGTGGGGGCTGTAATCTTAAAATAGATTCATAATTATTAAGTATAAAAACAGAATCGTATCTAATAGTAAAACCTGAAAAGATATTTCATTATATTTAGACTAATAGAATGTACATAATCACAACTATTTAGCATCATTTTGGAGGTACTAGATAAGATAATCAGACAAGAGAAATAAATAGAAAATAATAAAAATTGCATTGAACTTAATGTCATCATTATTTGAAGATTATAAGTACGTTCACCTGGATTGTACATCTAAAATGATTGTACACCTAAAATGATGGTACAATTAGTAATTCTGGAATTTGCTTGAGGACAGTATTTATATAGTGGCAAATTTGAGATTGAATAGTACCATGAGTTCCTGTTTTAGATTTTCTTTTACTAAATAAGGATAAACAAAATATAAAATTAATTTAAACAATGAAACGAAAAGACAGCCATTTTCCCCAAAATGATGATTGTAACTGCATGAGAATGGAAATGGAAACACATAATATTAAATGGTAAGAGGAGTTGTATCAGAACATTCAAACGTGCTAACCACAAACATTTATACATACAAACAAGTGAGGAGTCACATAAGATGTAGATGCTTTCAAGAAAGCATCACTGGCAGCATAACCCACCCCCCCAAAAAAATCCAGCCAATCTACATCATTATAACTTTTTTTTTTGAAGTTAGAAGGCAAATTCCTAAGAGTAACAAGCCCATCTGAGGAGAAACACAGCACAGCAATTATTTGTCTCACAGAACAGAGGAGAAAGAAGTGATTACTCTACAGGCAGCCAGAAAGAATTGAAGTAAAATTTTAACAAGTTATTAAAGGCCAAGTATGGGCTGGCATATTAGAGTGGGAATGCTAGAATTCTAAGTTACAAGGGAGGTTGGCATTCACTTCCAAGTTCTTTTCTCATCTCTCTTTGGTGGTACGAAAAAAGAGGCAGGTCCCTGGGCATAGGACCTATACAGTTACTTAGGTCCCACACTTAAAAGAGCTCTGCATTTGGTTTAGTGCTCTGCTGTCACTATCTTGAAATTATTAATTATTTTGGAACAAGGGGCCTCATATGTTCATTTTACACTTGGCCTCACATATTATGCAGCCAGGCTGGCATGTTGGAGGTTATTGGTGGCTGGTGGAAAGTGGATAGGAATCCTATTTCTCCATATTCTTTCCTCTTACAGAGCAAGGCCCAGGCAAAAAGCCAATGTTTCTGCGGACAGAGTAGAGGCAACATTTCTATGCATCTGGTGGAGGGATAGGAATACTCCCCTATCCATAATATAGTCAAAGATCTACAGCTTCCAGGGAAGCAGTAGAAAGAAAAGCCTTCTGCTCTCAGGGTAGAATAATTAAGCATGTTCATGGGTGAAATCTGATTGTTACTAAAATGTCAATTGTCCCCAATTTATCTAAGAGTACAAACCAACCCCAGTGATAATTTGTGAAAGTTGATTTTAGTTGTCAACTTTACTGGGCTAATGGGTACTCAAATATCTGATAAAACATTATTTCTGGGTATGTCTGTGAGGATGTTTCTGGAAGAGACTGACGTGAATTAGTGGAGTGAATAAAGAAGATATAGATTCACCTAATGTGGGTGGACACCATCAAATCACTTGAAGTCCAGGATAAAACAAAAAAACAGAGGGAAAGCAAATTTGCTTTCTCTTCTGGAGCTGGAACACGCATGCTATCTAACTCTTGAACATCAGAACTCCAGGTTGTTTAGCATTTGGATTTAGGAATTGTATCAGTGCCCCCTCCTCCAACACACTCTCAGTCCTTCAGCTGCAGCTAGAATTACACGATTGGCTCTCTGTTCTCAGACCTTCTGACATAGACTGAAGTACACCAGCATTCCTGGCTCTCCAGCTTGCAGGTAGCCTACTGTGGGACTTATCAGCCTCCATAATTCCCATAATAAATCCCTTCTCCTCTATGTCTATGTGTATATATGTATTTATGTATCTCTCACTCTCTCTCTCTCCTTCTATCTGTCTATCCATATCCTATTGCTTCTGTTTCTTTGGAACACATTGAATACACAATTCCAGCATGCATTTTATAATTGAAAATTTAATATTTATATGGGAAATTAAAGAATAACCAACACAATTTTGAGATTGAAGGTTTAGTTAGTATTCCCAATACTACCTGAATTCCAGACTTGCTCTGAAACTATGGTAATCACAACACGGATAGGATGACATTTCTGTGAAGGTAGACATGTAGATGAATGGAATAAACAGAGTTCAGAAATAGGGCTATTTATATATATATAAAAATATATATTTTTTATATATTATATATAGTGTATACATTATATATGTATATATTATATATAGCGTATATATTATATATACACATATAAATATATATAATATATACAAATAAATATATATAATATATATACATATAAATATATATTTTTAACTTTATATATATATATATATATATATATATATATATATATATATATATATATAAAACTACAGATATTCCAAGGAAATTCCACAGAGTAATGAGTCCTCTCAACAAATGGTACTGGAAAAATTATACATCCATATAAAAATGTAATACACACATAAAATTATACATCCATATAAAAGTGTTATACACACATAAATGTAAAAACTAAAATTGAAAAATTATAAGAGAAATGGGAGGAGAAAATCTCATTCAACCCCTGTTAAGCACAGATTCTTAGATATGACAAAAAATCATTATTAAAAAGAATAAAAAACACATTGGCTGCATTAATAGTAAAAACTCCTACTGTTTGAAAGCCATTAAGAAAATTAAAATCATAAGCTACTCTCAGGATAAAATATTTGAAAAACACATAACTGATAAAATATTGGTATCCAGAAAATGAAAAATCAAAACAGAAACAAAAAAGTTTTAAATCAATAATAAGAAATAGCTCAGTAAAAAGAAAAGGGATAAAAGGTTTGAATAAACTCTCCAACAAAACTGAGACTTCACTGGCAAATAAACATATAAAAAGATGCACACTATTATTAGTTGTTGGTGTAATACAAAGTAAGATTAGTTGAGATACCACTACACACCTATGAAAATGACTTAAAAACATAAAATTGTCAATAGCAAGTGCTGGCAATGATTGGAAGCAGCTGGAACTCTCACTACTCATGGTGAGCATACAAAATGGTAGAGCTACTTAGAAAAATATTGTGAAATTTTCTTTTAAAATTAAATGTATCATTATCATTACACTAAGCAATCACCCTAGTAGGTATTTATCCAAAATGAAATAGATATGTCCATTCGAAGACCTCTATGTAAATATTTAAAACAGCTTTATTCTTAATCAACCAGACCTCAATAGAACCTAAATGTCCTTCAGCTGTTTATCAAATGGATAAAGAATTATGGTACATAATCCAATTTTTAAAAATCAATGTATACATGCAACAATATAGATACATCTGGAAACATTATACTGAATGAAAGAAAGCCACACAATAAAGGCTACATATTATACAATTAAATTTTTATGACATGCTAGAAAACACAAAATTATAGGGACCAAAATCAGATGAGAGACTGAAGGCGGGAGAGGAAAATGACTACAAGTGGCACAAAGTAATTTTTGGGGTGATAGGAATGCTTTATATCTTGATTGTAGTGGTTATTACACTACTTTATACATTTGTGAAAACTCAGAGAAAAGTACATTTCAAAATCCAAAGTGTAGGTTTTTCTCTATGTATATTATACTTAAATAAATCTGATTTTCAATATTTTCTCTCAAATTAAGAAAAATAGCAATAAATCATCTTAGTTAGCAAATTGGCAAGTGTCCAAGCATTAGATGATACATCTTTGCCTGCCTGCTAGTGCTTACAGAAAGCAGTACTCCCATACCTAGGCTGGTGAGATATAAATTGATCTAACAGTCATGTAGAATAATTTGGCCACAGCTATCATAATTTATATGCCACTTGATGCCTCAAATCCTCTTCTAGGAATTTATATCAGAAATGTAATTTTATATATTCACAGCTAGTTATATACAACAATACTCATTGGAGTGTTTCTGTAAGTTTGAAACAGCTTAAATGTTCATCACTGAAAGTCTGGTTAAATAAATTATGGAATTTTCATACAATTGGATGCATTCTATGTAACTGTATAAAAAATTGGTCAATTTTGTAGATATGAATGGTGATGCAATAAAATATAATGTAAATAGAAAAAAGGCAAGTGCCAGATAATTGATTATAATATGCTAATGTTTATCACTCAATAAACATTATTTATTCATAAATAATGTTATTTATGAATACCTACATGAATAGAATATCTATGGAAGTAGGCACAAACAACTATTAACCGCATCAATACATAGTGGATGGGAACTGGAAAATGAAAGGCATGTGTGGAAGGAAAATGTTATTATGTTTCATGATTTATTTTTTATCACCCTTTTATGATGTTATTTTATATTATTTGCATGCATCTAAGATCTGTTACAGTAAATATTTTAAAAGAAAAACAAAGGAAAAAGAAAACATAAATCAGAAGTGTTGGAGAACAATGGCACCTTGATCATGTCGACTCTCCTTCCCTCATCTCAATTTTGCTGGCATAAGAAATGAGTCAGGGCAGGAAAACTTCAGGTTCCAGGTCATGCAAATGTTCAGATTTGGGAAATCCTCCTCCATGATGCTGGGTGACAGCCCAGTGAAAGCAGCCAAGAGTGGAGCTTGCCTTGTCTCCCTATCTGAGGTGAAAATTAACCAACCAACTAACCAAACAAAACGTCTACACAAACAAACAAATGAAACCAAATCATCTTGAAGTGCCTCATTCTACTCACTTGCCAGTTCTAGTACTAGGAAAGAGAATTATAGTATGACTTGGTGAAAGCTGCCAACTTCAAGTAAGAATCTGGGAGGCCAGATGTTGCTTCTTTATCGTTTAGGAGAGAAGTCAGTCTTCATTTGTTTTGGTTTGTTGTTTGTCACCACTTGGCTTCAAGAACAGAGACTACTGTATTTTATTAATTCTCTCATTCCTACTTCTTGAGAAACAGACTGATCTTATTGCTAAAAAATATTTTTATTTTATTTTATTATTATTATACTTTAAGCTTTAGGGTACACGTGCTAAAAAATACTAAAAAGTCATGAACAGAAAAATAAAAATAAAAATTTACTCTGAGTACTGAGGCATCAGAAGGAAGAAGAAAAAGTAAAATTTTAGAAGAGTTGGTTTTTATTACTTTTTGTTAAAGAAGGCTTTGTGATATGTATTAGGTCTGTTAAGGAGAAGAAAAAAGGCAAAACATTTTCTAGTTTTAAGCAAAAAAATGTTGAAGTAAAAATTCAATACATAAAATAAAAGGGAAGATAACTAAGAAAAATCTAGCCAAATAAATTCTGTTGTGTTGTAAAGAAATTAATAACCTTGAATTATATTTAAAAATCTTGAAAAAATTTAATTAATAATAAAAGCATACCAAACCAAACTTCCTCAAATTCAGATGGCTTACCAGGTACATTTTACTGAACATTCAAGATAACCTCTACATGTGCAACTTCCAAAAACAGAAAGGAAGGAACAGATTTCAAACTCATTTTATTAATCTAAAACAACCAGTTTCTAAACGAGATAAAGGCAGCGAAACTGTTATAGGACCATCTATTTCACTTATAAAAATATTTTGCTGTGCACGGTGGCTCACGCCTGTAATCCCAACACTTTGGGAAGCCAAGGTGGGAAGATCACAAGGTCAGGAGTTCGAGACCAGCCAGGCCAACATGGTAAAACCCCATCTCTACTAAAAATAGAAAATATTAGCCAAGTGTGGTGGTGCACACCTGTAGTCCCACTTACTCAGGAGGCTGAGGCACGGGAATCAATTGAACCAGGGAGGTGGAGGTTGCAGTGAGACGAAATCCCGCCACTGCACTCCAGCCTGGGTGACAGAGTGAGACTCCATCTCAAAAAAAAAAAAAAAAAAGTTTCCTTTAGAAATATTTTAAAACTCCTACCTAGACACAACAATGTAATTAAAATAATCATCATAATCAAATAAAAGTGAGGATCATTTAGCATTAGAAATATCCGTTGGGGTAATCTACTCACTTACGAGCTGAAGGAGAACAAAATCATAAGATTATCTAAAATAATGGAGAAAAGACACATTACAAAAACAAAAGTGGTTATAATAAAAGATCTAAACATGATAGAAATAAATCCTATCTAAACTAAATAACGAAAATTAAACATCATACTTCATGGAAAAATGTTAATTCACTTGCAAACAAGAGAAGAATACCTGGTATCATTTCTTATAAATGATAAATGCAAAACTGGAAGCTCTGGATTGTCAAGTAAATGAAGCAAGAAGAAATTAGTATGAGATATGAAAAGGAAAGCTTAATAGTTTTCAATGTTTGTGGATGAAATGAGGATCAATGTACAATAATTACTGTACCAGCAAATAGCAAAACTAATGAAAGTTTCAACAAGTTTGCCAGATATGACAGCAACATAAAAATATTGCTAGAAAATAGAATAAGATGTGTTAGCATATACGTATTTATAAATATACATTGTGGTATAATTATAAATAATAACATGTAGTTCCTGTGTAATATCAACTAAAACATATGTAGTGATTCAGTTAAGAAATAACATGTAAATTTTTTATTAAAATATTAAAGTTGTATTAAATACTAAAAGCTGAATAATTTGAGAGGTGTATAATGTCTGTTGGTGGTTCAAAACAATCTATTTAATTTAAATTTCAATCAAAATTCTAAATATATTTTTGAGGCACTAATAACTTACTCTAAAATTAATATGAAGGACTACAACTCTGCAAATATTCAGGTCAACTTTAAATATTAAAATCAAAGTAGATCATACTAACTGCAAAAGATGACAGCAAACAATACTTACATTAGAGAAAATAAATTAAAACTACTTTTTGCAGGGAGAGAGTGAAAACCGGGGTGGATAAGGCATACTTAAAAATGATCCCCTAAGTGCCCCTAAAAATAAACTCTAAGAGAAATAAACAAACAAAAATAGACTTCAGTATCAACTATTAAATATTTATGGTCAACAAAAATTATCAGATAAAAATTAACAAATGGATAATAGACTGAGAGAAGTTATTCATGATGTCTATATTTGGCAAATGATTAGTATACAATTAATCTCTGAAAATGAACAAACCAAGTAGAACAAAGGACACGTAATATGATAATAATTTATATAACAAAAAAGCTGAATGGCTAAAATGCTTACGAAAATATACTCAACCACAACTGAAGTCAGAAATATATCAAATTTGAGTAAGATTCTGTGTAAGAGGTATGAGGTTGACCAAAATGAGCAAGTCATATAATAACAATTTTCATAAACACTGAGGAAGCAGCAATCTTAATGCATTGCTAATAGGTGTGTAAAGAGATACAGCAATTCTAAGGGATCATCAAAACTCTTCAGGGAACATAAATGCTTATATATCTTGCCTATTAATAGAGAGAAAATCTAAAATCGAACCATAAAGAGGTATGTTAGAGGAGGTTTGCCACTTAGTTATCCTAAATTAAGGAAACATATAATTTTGTGAGGTATAACTGATGCCTATGTAGACTAGTTTACAAGAGCCAGAAGTGAGAAACTAGATGCAGCTAAGAAATCATGAATAAATCTTAAAAACATCCTATGGACAAAGAGTAAGAAACAAATCAAGTTTGATGACATAACATTTACATAAATTAAAACACATGCTTAGAGATTTCTTCTGTAATGTAGTGTGAAAATATTCATGACAAATGTTCCTGCTAAAATAAACTAAAAAAAAAAAAAAAAAAAGCTTGTGTTAGAAAAGGTCATAGTTCTGCTGAAGTAAAGAGAATGAGCAGTCTTAAGATTCTATAGTGTGGACAACCACTGAGATTTGAGCTGATCATCTGCAGCCACTTTTTGCTCTAGGGGCATTAGCTGACTCTGGGTGCCATCAAGGGGTTAAAAATTTGGAGTAAAGTCTTTGAATTTAGATTACTCCCCACAATGCAATATTAGTAGTCCTGGAATGTTCAAAAACTGCCACCTACTATGTTAGGATATGTGGTAGGCAGAATAATGGCCTTCCATTTAAATCTACAACCTAACCTCTGAAACCTGTGAACATTTTACCAAACATGCAAAAGGGACTTTGCAGATGTGATTACAGGTATAGAAGGTATAGATCTTTCCACAAGTAAATTATCCTGGATTATACACATGGGCCCAATATAATCACATGAAATCTCCAAATTGAGAAACAGTCTTGGATCATAAGATGTATGAGATGAAAAAAAAAAGAAGTAGATATTTGAAGTAATGGAAGAACATGATATTGCTGCCTTTGAAAATGAAAGAAGGCCATGAGTCATGGAGTACAGCAACCTCTAGATCCTGGGAAAGGCTATAGCCAGTAGCCAACAAGGAAGTTATGTCTTTGGTGCTACAACCTCACAGAGCTGAATTCTGCTAACAATCCAACTAATCTAGAAATACTCCCCTGGAGCCTCTAGAGAAAAATGAAGCCCACAGACACCTCAATATTTGTCTGGTGAAACCTGTGTTGGACTTTCGGACTCCTGACCTACTGAAATGCAAGCTAAAAAATGTGTTGTCCAAGCCACTAAATTTGTGGTTGTTTGTAATGGTAACAATAGAAAACTAATACTAATACAAAGAATATTGCGTTGATTATTTTTTAATGTTTCAGGACTGTGATAACTTTGCACATCAGTTTCATTTTTTAGAACTATAATTCATGTACATCCTAGAGCTTTCTAATAAACTATTTAAGTAAGTGACTACTGGAATATGTATTTAAAGAAGCTATGCATCAGTTCAATTTATAGGAACCAGAAGATTCAAATTTTTGCGGTGTTTATTATAGAAAGTATTTTAACTAAATCTTGGTGATTAAATTGAAGCTAGGCTATGTATAATACACTCAATATCCAACAGCAATGAGTGCAAAAGGTGGGGAGATTTTGTGAAAAAAATAGATTTCTCATTTTTGTATGCAAAGTTATTGGAAAAGGGTCTAGTCTGTGCAAGTACAATGATTATTTTAATCATGCATTATTTTAATGTCAGTTATAAAGCTGCTTGAATAATATGATTCATATGAAAAAAGGGGAAGAGAAATTAAAAAAGATTTAATTCAATACTTTTTATTTTATACCACTAAAAACTTTAAAAGGATGTTAATGATTAATCAGCACAAATTTAATGCCTATCATTTTAAGTCTGACTAGGCAGTTATTTTAATGACTGTCATTATTGCAACATCTCTCTGTCAATATGAGATCTGTAACAGGCAATACAACTCTCTTAATGTGATGCTTCAGAGAGTGAATGCCTTTTATAGATTCAAATTTCTGATGAAATCTATATAAATGATGGCTCATGGTATTTAATAATCTGTTTCTTTTTGTACTTAACATGTACTAAAAACCACCATTCTTATAAAGGTCTTTTATTTCTGGCTGTGTATATTTTACTTCTTGTCAAGCTATCTATTATTCATGCCTGTGTCTGGTGTATAACTCTTTACTACAGTTCCTAAGCTCAGTACACTAAATGGTGACTTAGTGGTCTCAAAGAGTTAACGTAGTTCCCTCAGTATCTAATTTAGTACATGAGAGTGACTTGGGTACTGATGATGAGCTAGCTCAATATAAATGATAGAGAATCAGTCATCTTGTGAAAGCAGCGGTTAAATACACTTTAATTGAGATTCTTGTTACAAGTGGGAAGTTTTAAAAGTGCTGATGAATTAAGAATTCCATTTAGAGTCAGAGTTAATGTTTGGCTACAGGACTAATATCTAGGGTATATTTAAGGCACCAGGAGAGCAGATGTAGACATAAGTAGGAATAATTCATGCATCTGATGGATAGTTGGACTAGGTGACTTTAAAGTCCTTTTTAACTCTGGTAGTGCATGGTTCTGTGCATATTAGAAATCTAGCCCTGGAACAAATATGCATGAGCAGTCACACTATAAAATCAGAGCATAAAGAGGAAACTATAAAAATAACCAGAGTGTGGGGGAAGATGGACAGTTAAAATAAGAGCCCTGCTTTGAATCAAGGATTTAAAATAACTTTGAAATGCTTTGATTTGAATGTCTTTTGACTAGTGGTTTACAGGTTTTTAGGATGAAGACTTGTCTTAACAGCCAGTTTTATTATCTCCTAAGATGAAAATATTGTATAATGATAAAAAGTCATGCTTTTAAATTATTTTGAATGTTGTTAATACTCATATGTATAATGTATTGTTTATTCAGTCATCAGCCGACTAGGCTGAGTGTACATCTGAGTTTGGAGAAATAACTCTGTGGGCCTATGAGAATCCAGGGCCACAGATCATGAACCACTTCTTTAAAGTATCATTTCTTAATGCAAATTTCTTAATAATTGAGATTGGTTCTTCAGATGAAATTTAGAAGGTGAGTCTGAAGTTCCTAGGGACATGACATATTATGGATATTATTAAAAAGAACACACATACACATAACCCAACAACTGGAGAAGATAGCTAATATGATATGTTTCTTATAACACATTTGCCAGAAACAGTGTGAAGAGCTTCATATTTAACTTCACAAAGTCTTAAGAATCATTATTATGATAATTTTACAGATGCCAAAAAATAAGAGAGATGTTAGATAACTTGATTAATGATAAATAGATTTCAACTCCAGTCTATCTGTTCCCACATTGTTTTCCTTCCATTAAGTGATGATTCCTATAACATATAGTGAAGTAAAATGAATATTGGAAAATCTGCATTAATACATTGGAAAATTCGTTTTATTTACAAACACATGAAGTTTAAATTGTCAACTTTCAGTATACTTTTGGTAATATAAGGCTTTTGATTTTTTTCATATCAGATAGTAATCTCTTTATTATTTCTAGTAATTTATATAACACTTTCCATGTGCAAGCAGGGATTATTTTACACATTTTAAAGCATTAAATTATCACACTGACACTTGAAATTAGAAGCTCATTTCCTCTTCATTTCACGCATGAATATTCAGAGACATAAAGAGGTTAAATAATGATATCTTCTACATCTTATAGGTAATAAGTGGCAGAACTCAGAATTTGAACTTAAGTAGTCTAATTCTAAAGTCAGTTCTCTTACTTTTTTACTTGTTGCTTTAAATTATCACACAGAATGCTTGATCAAATAGCAAAAATATGTCTAAGAGCATACCTAAAAAGAAATAGAAAAGGCTGGTTTCCAATAAATCCTGTTTAACACCATCTGGCTTTGTGATCAAGAGCTATACAGTGGCTTGCATTGGATTAAAATTGTACAATCCCCAAGTAATTTCATATACATTATAACATTTAGTTGCAACTTTTTGAGAGTGATATGTCTCCAATTACAAATAACTAAGCTAAAACTAATAGAGACAAGGTCTCACTATTACAAAGTAGCAGACCGTCTCTGTGGGCAGGATTTATTCCCACTGAAATCTTCAATACATCAGATAAGTTACATAAATATTATCTCAGTTATTTTATACATTTTGATAACTGAGATTTGTAATTCTAAATTTGGGGTTATTTGAAATGAAAAACTTTTGGAAGAACGGGTTTGACTGAATTTTCTGGGGCACTAAGTGTTCCAAAATAAAAGAAGCAGTAAAATTAAAGACATAACTACATATACATGGATGTGATAACAATAAGATCTATATTAAAGTGTAAGTTTTCACAGATTTGTTTTTTTCCCCTCCTTCACCCTGGCCAATTCCCACACACATTGGCCTTCTAAGAAAAAATAATTGTTTTTGTAACTAGACTTTGATGAATTAGTAGTGCAATTAGTGGAGATATGAAATCAGGAAGCCAAGAGAGGCCAAAAATCTATGCCTGGGGGAAATTAGAAAAAAAAAAAAAAAGGAGATTTAAGATGGGAGAAGACACTAAAGACGGCCATTGGAATAGGAATAAGGCAGGAATGTGAGAGAACAACAGACAGGGGAAACAGATAGGTATCTATCCAGCAGATAGAGGAAAGATTTTTGAGACACAGCTGAGAGAGCCAAGAAAAAAGGGGATATGAGTATCTTCTTTGAAAAATAATTTCGAAGAGAGGGAGAAGATTCACAGTTCATAAATGCTTCGGGAGTTTAAGATGTGCGTGCAGATGTGAGTTTGTGCATGCAGGGTTACAGTTTTTTTTTTTTTTATGATTTTACGTGCTTTTTGTAACATGTGACAATTTTTGAGCTTGCCTTAAGCCTAAACCTAGGTTTGCTTTATTTGTCAAAATTATAATGGGTACGGCAAGAGAAGATAGTTAGGAGTTGCTCTAATTTGTTCTGTCGTCTGTGTCCACTGGTCTCTTGATGTCTTTGCTTCCCTGGAGAGCAGTAGAATTGCCATCAATTTTTTTTTCCCATATACTGCGGAGATAAATAAATCCTCTAAAATTATATTCTTGCTTTCAAAGTATATTGCTTTGTGATTAAAATATTGTTTCCTATTCCCAGTCAACCAAACAGTACAACTGTAAAGATTGTTCAGTATGCAAGATGCTAACCTGATTTCAGCCTTTACTAATTGCAAGGCAGGGACACTACTTTGTCTCCTTTTGATAAAGAAGTTGTAATGTCTTGTGTACGGGAAACAAACTGACCTTGTTAATGCTATCGTTAATTAAATGAGGATCATAATTGAATGCCAGTTTGCACTAAAAACATGCTTTGCCACCTTCTGAGATTCATTTAAGAGCAATTGAGGCAGTCAATGTGTAGGTGTTTATGGGCTCTACATTAGGTCATTGCAGGTGTTCTATTAGCAATTACTGCCTTTCATATTCTGCTTATGAAGAGTCTTAAGTTTTCATCTTTCTGGATGTGCATATTACTTAATATTACAGAAGGTATGCTGAATATTGATTTAAAAGTTACTTTGCATTCAAGTGACCTGTGACAACTAAGTGGTGGATGTTAGAATAGATTCTCAGAAAAACTACACATACTACAATCTAGGGCATAAACATTTGCCATTTGCAAGGTGTCCTACTGGTGAAAATAGTGAATATTTATGTTTTCATCCTAAGCAATATTTGCATAAGTAGCTACAGCTTTGTTCTCTAAGATTTTTCCCTACTAGCACTAAATAAGGATGAATAATTTATATTCTTTTGTTTAGGAACCTTGCTGCCTCTTCCTATAGAGTGTACGTGTTTATAATAATTTTGGAGACTAGATTGTCACTTTATTTAAAAGGTATTGAACTTTGTCTTGAGCAGGTAGATTTTGTCACCAGCCACACACAACCCAATTGTATCAAAGAAAGATGATAAGAAGGTTACAGCTAAGAAGTAGTTTCTGAAATTAGTCTTAAAAATGCATTAAATGTTCAATTGTGGCCTGTTGGTGAGCAAACGGTGTACCAAGTTCCCATATAACTGTCCCCAAAATGAGCAAGAAGTACCACTTTGGTTTCCATGTCCACTCAGAAATTTGATCTTTTCCACTATTATACAGAGAGCTGAAAGCACTGTTAAATGTATTTAAATATAACTTGTGAATTTTGGGGTGACAAAAAGATGTTCAAAATCTTTTGAACAATTTCTATCACTAAACTGTCTAACATTTCTATTTCCCATTACATATTAATTAAAATAATCAAAATGTTGTCTGGCCTGGAGAATAAGTCAGATTAGCCTAAATCATTCTTAACTATCTAATGAGCTCTGAAATATTACTGGTCAAAGTTTATTCCTCCAGGGGAACTCCCTTCCAAGGGTTTTTGTTTGTTTTGTTTTGTTTTTTAAAATCCTATCTTATGGTTTTGCAGTATAAACCTATAGTTTCCAGGGTCGCTGTCATGCATTGAGCAAATAAAGAAATAGAGCCGGGGCTTCTCAATATCTCAGCCAAGAAGTGACACTTGTGGCTTTTGCTTAAACTCTGTCAACTGGAACTACCCACATTAACCTGACTAATTGAAAGACTGGAAATTTTTGTCTTCTGGGTATCCAAGAAGGAAAGGAGAAATGAATATTGATGAGAGTTGGTAATTGCTTCCACAGGCAGAAAGAAGGGCATCATTCCTAATTATGAACAGATCCCAATAAAATTGCATATGATCTTTGCTCATTGTTATCTAAGCTTATTGGTCTTCTGAGCTTTTGAGCCCACAGATCTAAGTTCTGTATAATTAGGAAATCTTGGTTTTCTTATTAACTTCCTTGGGATACTGAGATCCTGTTAATTCCTAGTTATTGAAAAGTTGATTCAGCAATTCAGTCTCTAATATTGCTTTGCTTTCAGTGTCACTGGAAATAGGAGATACAGTCTGAACATTTCTGGCAGAAAATTCACATGAGAGCTGATTTCACATTAGGACATGTGTGAGAGGACAAAACAGATGTCTATCATCATTAACTGCTAACATTTGATGAGCACCTACTGAGTGTTTGTCATTTTAAGAAGCCTGCCTATAGTGGTAGGAAGTTTTACAAGCCTCTAAGCTATATATGTGTGTGTGTGTGTGTGTGTGTGTGTGTGTGTATGTATGTGAAATGTACTTTTTTAGGCCAGGGATTCTTGACTTGGATATGTGAAACTTTATAGAGCCCAGATGGGCTTTGGTGGGGTGTATGAAAGCTTTAAATTATATGTAAAACTGTGTAGGTATATGTATTTGTGCATTTTTTATAAAGAATTATTGGTCCAAAAAAAGGTCTGAAATGGTGATTTAGGAGAACATCTTAATTTTGCATTCAGGGGCATAGGAGCAATGCAGAGTAAATGGGATATGAAGTAAAAAATGTGAATGTTTATAAACATCTTAGTTTTCCAGCTTCTATGTTCGTTGTTCTATTTTTTAAGTAATCATTTTAAGATTAATATGTAGTCAAGATATCATTTCGAAGCTTGAGGCTTGACATTATCAATTATGGTCTAGGGTCAAAAAATATCCTCCTCAAGTTTTCTGTTTTGTTGTGTTTTAAACCCAGTGATAAACTGTTTGCTTTTGGGTTACAACTATTTGTTTTATATTTTCTCCTGAGTGGCTGACTTATATCCTCAAGATAAATTTAGCAGCATTGTCATTGCGCATGAATATAATGAAATGAAGGAAAATATGTTCACATATATTTTAGGTTGTTTTAAAAATAAAGCACTTTAATAAAATTATTTTGTGTTCTTTTAATATTAAAAGGGTCTAAGTTTTCTATGAACACTTTAGGAATAAAACATATGAAATGATCAGTAAGACTTCCTTGGATAACTAATAAGACAACATTTGTGAATTTGTAATAGTAAATTATACTTAGTCTTTTAAGAACCCAGAAACTGGGTTCAAAAAAATAGTACAACATAAAGATAGGAATAAGGAATTTTAACACATTTTCTCTTAGAGTGATTTTTTCTTTACAGAACCTCTATTTTTCAATTCTTGCAGCTTTATTTCAGTCTGTGATTACTTTCCCTTGGCCAAATCCTACAAAGCATGGAAAAGCCTTAATTTTCAGTGTTACATCCCTGCTTTTGTTCACAGCATGCTACTACTTTTTAAATCTTATCTTTTACAAAATAAGTATGGCCATCAGAGTTGTTTTGGATTCAAATTGACTAGTTTATGTAAATCCTCATCAGATATAAGAGAAGCAAAGATAATATTTTAGGGAACATGGTGAAGGAATGACATATAGGTAAACAAATGCATTTGGACAAAAATTATTGATAGGTAAAAAAAAGAACTGAAAGTAAAAGTCTATTTTTAATTTAATTATTTTACTTTTTCTGAAATATATTTTTCCTTTAACCACAATTATTTCCAGAAAATAAAATATGAAACTCTTATCTAATCTAAAGCTGACAACACTCAGATATGTGTCTTTTTGGAGATAGGCTGGTCATTATTACAACAGCTGTGTCAAGAGCCAGAGCCATTTTCCCGTGTTCAGGGAACATTGTCTAGTTTTACAATTAGAAATTAAAGATTGATGAAAAGATTATCTTTAAGGCCTATCTTGGCTTTTATTCCAAGATATTCTATGGTAGTTAGTAACAATAAAATGCTATGCAATATGAGTCTCTCTGTATCTCTAACTTAGTATTCTGTATTGGATGTAGCCTGAATCCGTTTTTTAATAACAAACATTAAACAGGATTTAAGTACACAAGTATACCTCCCTCTCCTGTGAATGGATATCTAAGAGCTTGGTATCTTGCTGGCTTCAAAACTGTGGGATAATTTTGTCCCTTTTGTTACAATATGTATAACAAACTATGTTGAAATATGTATCTATAGTGCAAACAGTTTTCATATGCAGTAGATAAATAGTTGAATATAACAACTGAAATATGAAATTGTGTCAGCTCATTTTGGATATTTCATGAGGTAATTCAGCATGGCCCTGCCCGATAATAATAGCCAAAAGTGAAAAACTTCACCATGCTCAATGAAACAACAAATTATATCCTCCCCTCCCCAACACATGTTCACTGTCTCAGTCCTTTTTTGTTGCTGTAACAGAATACTAAAGACTGGGTAATTTAGAAAGAGAGAGGTTTGTTTTGGTTCACAGTTCTGGAGGCTGGGAAGTTTGAGATTGGATGGCTGTATCTGGTTGGCTTCTGGTAAGTATCCCATTCATGTGGCACATGAATAAGAGTGCTGGTTATAAGAATCAAAATAGTGAACAAAAGGAAAAACCTTAAGTAATGAGAAGATTTAAATAATAAAACACTTTGAAAGAAATGAAAAGACAATTAAGGCCTAAAGAAACAACATTGTTATGGGAGATGAGGCCACAAAATAAATAAATTAATAACAATGAAAACTTCACATATTACAGTTATCATCTCCTTTAAGTGGAATAGAAAAGCATTTGCAGCGGATTGAAATTAACAACTATAAAACTGAGTATAGGATAATACCATTTTGTAGCATCTGTTGTCACTTGGCACAAAATGAGCAATTCCTTTATGTAAGGAAGTAATTCTCCAAACAACAAATGTTAGATTTCTAATTTAAGCCAATGAATAAGAAAATAAGAACGGAACAACAAACCACAGTAATTTACCTTCATTATCAAGACTATGTCCTTCTTTTAGACTTACTGCTTTCCACTTAACAGAGCCACAGTGCTTCCTTATACTTAGCTGCATAAAGCAACCTACAAGGTTTTTGTTAAGACACAGCACCAAGTTACTTCAATGTTATTCATGGGAAATTTAAGATATTTAAATTTGTAGTGGTATTTTTACTGTTTTGTTTACTTATAGAATTATTTATGAGATTATATATGTTATGAGTGCTCTGCATTTATGTTTCACATATTTACTATTTTTAAAACTTTAAATGCAGTAACATCACACACACACACACACACACACATATATACACAGACATTATAGAAAAATAATATTTGTTTGACCCAACTAATTAGATTTTAAACCAAAATATTATTTTTTATCTTTGGAAAGAAAAAATATAATTAAAAATCTATTCTAACCTCTAAATGTATTTTTCTCATTAGATTATAAATTTCTTGTAGGGAAAATATTAGATTTTTTTCTTTTTTAATTTTAAGCACTGGTCAGTATATAGTAGCTGCTTATTAATTGTTTTAACATAGAATTAGAGAAAACAAAAAGTGCCTCAGGAAACAAAGTTCCTCTCATTTTACAAACTACAATCATTGGCCATTTCCAGAGGTGAACTTTATTGCAGGCTTCCAGTAGTATCCTTGAAACGCTCCTCATTGATCTTCTTATCTCTCATGGATTAAATTATTGGTTTAAGTTGAGACCCCGATATTTATAACATAGCCAGGAACTTCAACACTCCCTTGAGTGTCCTACAGGTGTCTTAAATTAAGCATACTTAAAATTAAACTTGTCCAGTATTTCCCAAATTAAATGTCACTACTATTTACTTAATCCATATTCCTGGCAATATCTTTAAATGTCCCATTCTTTTAATCTCATATTTAAATTCTAATGACCCTGCCTACCAATGATCTTTCAAATCCATCCACTTATTTTCATTACCTATTCTTTTACCTTGTATTTTTTTTCAACATCTCTCACTTAGGTTGCTTCAATAGCATGTCCAACTTGAACTTTGACTTTTCAGTATAAAACCTAGGTTCCTATTGTTAATTCCCCAGGGAGTACTTCTAGTGATCATGTAAGAGGTATTGGTGAACCTAATGTTCAAAATTCTGGCTGTTTCAAGAGACACTGTAAAACTTCCCTTAAGTTACGTTAGGCAAGCAGTGGAGTAATATGGAGGATCATTTCTCTTATGTGTTGATGCTCAAGTTTGTTTACTTGTCTCCTTTATGATGAACACTAATTCTGACTGAATCATGACCAGAAGTTAAATAAAAACTTACTGACTTTTTTGAACTCAGGTTGCAAGAAAACTTGTTGAAATAATAATTTCTTACTAATAAGTTCCTCTATATCCATTGCCTTCATCTATATAGCACAGCCCCCTAAGGTCAAGAAAAATATAAAAATAAAAATGAACATTTAGATATAGAACGGGGGCTTTAAAGTACTTGAAGTTATAAAACATTATGGATCAACAAAATTATTTGAAACAATACAGACAGTATTTTGAGAACACAAGAATATTAGGACTCAGCTGTTATAAAAATGGAAATATAAATGAATTCAGTAATATTGTCTCAAATTACAACATTATATCCTTATCATTATGGAGTAAACAACCTTCGCAGTAAACAGGGTCAAGATAACGTATAAATGTTAAGATAAGTAAACATCAAATAAGAATGGATATAAAATTTTAAAAATAAATTCTATGTTGGATATTTTCTATCAATTTTTTTATTGGTGACACTAAATAATTGGATTATGATGACCTATATATCTATGACACAAAGGCCTTGATATGCTGTTATTTTGAGATAGCATAATTAGAAATAAAGAGCAAAGAGGAACAGAAAATCGTCAGAGATAATCAATGTGTCAGCATTCTATAGCCTACTTGAAAACAAACAAAAAAAAATTGAATTGAGAACCCAATGCTATAAAATACCTTTATAAAACCAAAATTGGGGATTTTTCTGCTTTTTGTTTTGTTTTATTTTTTCCCGAGGAGATAAAACCTGATCCTTCTAAATGTAGCCTCCTTTTCCCTTAGGAGTCATATCCTTTCTATGCCTTTGCAATAACTCACACATGCACACACACACATGTGCACATACACATACACACACAAACACACCCACATCCATTACAAACCTCTCATACCACTGGAAAACAAAGCAGCAATCGGAGTCTGACTTAAAACTTTGTGCTGGCATCATCACAGTAGAAAGTGACCTGGCTTAAACTTATTTTTTAAATGTGTATTTCCACAAGTTGTTATATGCTATATGGTATTTCAACAGATCGTTCTCCCTCCAATTCGGATTCCTTGCTTTACCTTAAAAACATATCTTAATAATCAACAGTGAAGGATATTATCCAGAGAGACAAAAATGGGCACATTACTTCAGATGTTTAATCTAGTGCTTCTCTACAGACTCCGAATACTCAAGTTGCATGAGTCACATACATGAAGCAAATATGATCAAAGAGAAAGAAAACATCTCAATATACACCCTAATCCATGATGGAAAATACATTTTGCTGATGTTGACAATTCTTGAAGCTCTATGAATGTTAATTGAATTGAATTTGGATAAATATTTTTTTTAGATTTTTAATTTCTTCTAATGTAACTTTGGCAAAAAGTGTTTTTATGAGATTTTTTTCATTTTATCTACTTCTGCAACTTCATTGCATAGAGATTTAGAATATACTTTTATTAATTTTAAAACAGCTACAGATCTGTAGACATGAAACATATTTTCTTGCTTAGTGTTGTTAAGAAATTATTCCTTTTTTTGCTTCTTTATTATTTTTGGATTTGGGGGGATTGTATTGTACCTGTAGATCAACCTGGAAATAGTAAACTTTTTAAAATATCAAATCTAACAATCCAGGACATGGGTTTATTCCTCCAGTTACTCAAGTGTTACTCAATTTCTTTCAATAACATTTTATAATTAGCACTGTAGATGACTTGCATATCTTATGTTAGATTATTTTTAAGGTTTTAATGTTCTTAAGGTTTTAAATAGAATTATTTATTAGCATTTCATATTCTTATTTTGGTTACTGGTATTTACATATACTATTATTTTTTGTACAAAAACCTGGTTGAATTTACTTATTAATTCTAATAAGTATACTGATTATTTTTAGATTTTCAACATATACAATCATTTGCCTATGAATAATGATAGTTATTTTATTTCTACATTTTGTGGATACCATTTTGTTATCTCTGGCTTGACCTCATTTCTGTTAAGAAATCAGTTGTCAGTCTTAATGAAGTATTTTAAAAATAATTTTTTAAAATTTATCTTGAATTTATTCTTTGTATGAGCAATGTTTGGTATTTGTCCATGGTTTGATGTCGTTCAATTTCTGGATGATTTTTGGTCATTATCTTATTAAGCATTGCTTTATCCCCTCTGTCTTCAAGAGACTTCTGAGACTTGAATTGAATGTTCAATCTTTTCACCATGTTCCATATTATGTCTAGGAGCTTCCCTATATTTTCTGTTTGTGCTGAAGCTTGATTATTTCAGTCTTACTTATCTTTTAGCTTTCTAACCATTGAGTTATCTTCAACTAATTTAATCTGCTATTTTATTCATTTACTGAATTCTTATATTTAATTATTATATTCTTCAGTTCTAGAATGTCACTTAATTTTATGGTTTTAAATTATCTGCAAAAATCTGTATTATTATTTAACTTATTAAATATTATACTGTCAATAATTTGAAATATCTATCTGATTATGTCAATACTTGGATTTTGTGTAGGTTTTTTTTCCATTTTCTTTCATTTTTCTATTTTTTATGTATAGTTTCATTGTCTAGTATGCCTGATAAATTATGATGAATATTGGACATTTCTTGTGAAAACGGAAATGAGAAGTAATATAAATTCTGCTTGATAGTATCTTTCCACAAAAAGAATTTACTTTCTCTTCTGTTCAACAATTAGGGTAGCTATAGTTCATAGAGATTAGAGATTGAGCTATCCACAGATAATTTAAATCTTACTGAGAAGTACACTATGTGGTTCACCCTTAGTTCAAAGCCACAGATCTCTGTGTAACTTGGTTGAAAGCCTTTTCTCCCCATCATAGATGGGGAAGGAACAGAGAGAAAAGGTTCCCTGATGAGTGAAAGTGCTTAGTCCCACAGGCAAACCTTTATGCTCAGCCTCTCACAACTCTTGTCTCCTACAACTTTAGAATCAGAAGTTGCATCAACAAAAATCTTGAATCAGGTTCACTTTTCTGTACTTCCCTCTCAGTTTTTGGCTCCTCGAGTGTTCTCTAAATTGGTAATATTTTGTTATAAGTTATGTATCTTTTCAGGAAGAGAGATGTGCTGCGGCAAGATAATTCAGAATTAGTAGAATAGAAAATGTGAGTCTAAGTCTCAGAATCCATGATGTCTGTAAAAAGTGTCTATATAAAAAAAAAATTAGCAAAACCCATGGCAAAAAGGAATGTAAAAACACATCTTCTTATGAAAGAAAAATGCAGAATCTGGAGAAACTATGCATCAGAATGTTGGCTAACTAATAAATATAACAAAAATAATCAGAAGGTCTGTGGCTAGTTGAAAATCTACTGGCTAGATGGATTTCTCTCATTCCATTCTACTCAATAATGGTTCATTTTAAATCTACTTAATATCAATAACATAAAACAATAGGTCTCACTAGAAAATTTTAGCTTACAATTTATTCAATAATTATAAGAGTGTAAGTACGTTTTATTAAGGACAATTATAGAAATAGATGTGCAAGATAAAGGTACTGGCCAGTTGTTCCTGGTGAGGGCTGTCTTCCTGGTTTGCCTTCTCAGTGCAATCACACATGGCTTTTCCTCTGCGTTTGTACAGAGAAAGAGAGAGAGAGAGAGAAAAAAATGTGTGAGCTCTCATGTCTCTTTTATAAGAACCCTAATCCTATCAGATGAATGTCCTACCCTTAGGACCTACTTAATTTTAATTACAATATTATAAGCCCTGTCTCCAAACCTAGTCACATTGGAGGTTAGGCTTTCACATATGAATTTTGGGGAAACATAATTTAGTCCATAGCAAAATGCTTGATTAATAGGTATATATACTTTCAGCAACTAATAAATGACGCATGGAATATGGTATAGAGGAAAACAATGATTACAAGACCTCTTTTCAAAGCTTAAGGGAAACAAAAATCCCCAATCTTGAATTCATGCTTAAAAAGTGATTTTACAAACCTCTGACGAGCAAGCATTAGTATATATATGTATATATATGTACATATGTACATATATATGTATATATGTACATATATATGCATGTATATATACACATGTGTATATATATATATATGTATATATATAGGAAATGATTTGGTGCTTACAGCAACAGCAAATGATTTAGACAGTGAGTTTGTAATACTTTAAATTTACCCTTTGACCAGTTTCACTACCCAAACATAAATAAGGCATGCTGCCCTGGAGCAGTGTTACTTGCTTTTGATTCTGTAAACTTTTGGTGCTGTAATTCTTGGATACAAGGTCAAGAAACTAAGAAGTCCTCTGAGCATTTCTAGATCATTGCCTTTTTCTTCAGGAACAGGGCTTTAATTTCTGATCAATTGAGTTCAGACACAGTGAACCCTTTGAGATGTAACTCATGTTCCCCTCTAGTTTTGTTCAGTGTTTGGTTATGTTCTTCTTCAGACTATGCTAGAGTAGGAATCTTTCGGTCAAGGGCTAAGCCGCTGACATATGGGGAATCAAAACCCAAGATGACATTTCTTCCTTGTAAATATAAGCACAGCTTCCTAATTTGGAGCATCAGAAAGAGTAGTCGGCAGAGGGTACTGTTTTATTTACATTACAGTTTCTAAAAGATATGATAGAATTTCATCTAGGAATTATATTCCATGAATTTTATTGGAAAAAACATAAGGATTGTAAGAAGGCATAAATATCATTAGAAAAAAGAAACTATTAAAAACAGTTGATGAAAATCAGAGAATTGAAAATAATACTTTTATGACCCTGGCAGAGCTAAAGTCTGGTTAGCAGGTCCCTGTGAATCAGAGCTCGTAATACAAAAGCTTTCCCATGGCAGGGACAAACTTCAGTTTTAAGAGCACAGACAATTCAAAAGGCTTCTAATTTTTATTTTTGGAACTGACAAAGCATTCTGTTTCTTAACTGGAAAAGCCTTGAGCCTGAGTTTTTAGTTTTTAAATATTTTTATTTGTTGTTTTCCCCATCGTTCTTACCCGCTCACATCAGTTGAATATCTTAATATAAAGGGAAAAAAATCGATACGTTTATAGTACAAATTATATCACATAATTAACACAAAAGAAGCCTTAGTCATGAGTGGGAGATGAGTGGAGCTATAATAGTGTGGTGAGTGCTTATAATTTGATGTTGTGTTGGCATTGATTTTGAAGCAGGTTTAGCTTTCTAGTGCCAAAAGCAGTGTTCAGTTACCCTTGACACAGTTTCCACTTCTACATCATACCCAGAAGGATCAAGCTGGTGGCCAGAGATAAGAGCATGGAGACATCTGTCCCACCTGGCAGATTGCACTCTCCACTGTTCCTGTTGTGTACACCTCAGGGTCTGTAAGTGTTAAAAACCCTTCACTTTTCATATTATGGTTGTATCACTGAAGGCTGTCAATGATCCCTGTCATTGACTCCTGACAGCAAAGCTACCCAAAAAAACCATGCAGGTGTTTTCTTGTCTAGGTCTCTGGTGGTTTCTGGGGACAATAGCTACCAGGTAAGTTGATGAGAAAAACTCAAAGAGTTTCATTTAAAACTAATATATAGCAATGTAAGGAGTGTTATTTAGAATCCTGATAAACCTTTTTTTCCTTGGGTAATTTTATGGCTTTTATAAATATATATATATATATCTCTAAAATATTGATATAAGTTAAGAATATAGGATATTATTTGAAAATTCATGAACCATGGCTGGACTGCTTTTTTGTAAACTATGGTAACAGGAAATTAGCCCATGTCATGTGCAATAATCCTCTCATATGCATTTTTTTTTTTTTTACTTCCTAAACTAGATATTTCTGCAAAACACCGAAATGCTATTTGGTTATATACTTTATTATAAAGACTTTAATTTCATATTATGGTGTGATTAGAGTAAAGGCGCATCCACTTTTAAGTTCTCAAATAAATCAATATAAATATATTTTAACAATATATAGCATATAAATATGATGAATCATGACTTTAGTTGTTTTAGCTTTTGCAGTTTGAATCTAATATCCATTCACTGTCCTAGTATGCATCCAGGATTCTACATTACATTTATTTGTCGTGGCTCTTTAGGCTTCAATTTTTGCAGTTTCTCATACTTTTCTTGTTTTTGATTATCTTGACAGTTTTAAGTAGTACTGGTCAACTATTTGATAAGATGACCCTCTGCTGGAACTTGTCTGAGGTTTTTTTTCATGATTAGATGGGGGGCATGGGTTTTTGGTAGGAATACTATCACAAGGTAAAGAGCCATGTTCATCACATTATATCAAGAGTACATGCTGTCAGTATTATTTATCACTGTTGATAGTGGCCATTGTCACCTGACTGAGGTATTGTTTGTCAGGTTTCTCCACGCCGAAGTCACTATTTTCCCCGATTTCCATGCTGTACTCTGGAAGAACTCACTATGTGCAGCTTATGCTTAACCTCTCTCCTTGAGGATGAAGTGTCCACATAAATTATTTGGAGCTCTTCTGTAAGAGATATTTATCTGTTCTTCATTAATTCTTTTATTCAATTATGTATTTATATTACTATAAGCTCATGGATATTTGTTTTGAGTTTGGATTATAACTCCAATACTATTTAATTAATTGTTCAAATATATCCAGCTTTTGCCACTGACAGCTCTCCCAGTTGTCTTCTGTGTCCCTTTAGTACAACCCCATCAGTTTAGGCTTTTTCTTTTCCCTGTACTTAATTTCTGGCATTACAAGATGCTCCAGGCTCATCTTGTATATTCTCTCACCCAGTCCTAGATTCAGCTATTTCTCTGAGGATCTCTGTTTCCTATTATTGGAGAATAGTATTAGAAACCAAGATCTGGGTAGTAGGTACGCTTTTTTGGCTAGTGGGATGTTGTTGCTTATAGACTTTCTGAACTAGCAGATCAAGGTCGTGTATGTGTTTATACTGGCCAATGTATACACACATATGTTGAAATATTTCCATGTGTAAACATCTGCACCTATATTAAGCTACTCATGAATTTATACTGATGCCTCTAACCCTAATCTATCACCATGTGGATCATTCTAGACTCTTCCCCTTGACTCTACATTCCCACTCCAAACATGAGAAACCTAACTTGTACCAATTATCGTTCATTCAATTAAGTGTTCAATTACAGTATTTTTGTATACTGGTATCAAAATTTTTACCTCTACTACTGTGGGACACAACATTAGCAACTAAAGTGTGTTGATTATGTTTTCCCTTTAATCTCACAGACTCCATTCATTTCCCAAATTACTTATGTGAGCATCTTTTAATTTCACCCTTTTTACTGAGGTTGTTCAATACATGTCTAATACAGTTAGATGCCCTTGTCACTGTCTGCACTTTTTACTGAGATCAGCAACCTCCTAAATGAGCTTTTTCTTAATTTGCATAAGCTAAGTTTCACTTTTAGTGCTGTAAATTTCTATGGGTTTGAAGAATGTAGGGTGGTGTTATCTATCATTGAAATGTCATACAAAATAGTTTTATTATCCTAAAAATCCTCTGTGCTTTACCTATTTGATGCTCCTTTGTTACATCAATTAAAGTGGCACTCTCATGGTTTTGGTCACACTTGACCAAGCCCACAGCTCTTTGATAAGACCTTTTAAATGTGTTTCTTTTGTCTTCAAATATGTTGGAATAAAATGGAAATTTAAACTTTTGTTTATTCTTTATCACATTATAGCTATCAGACTTAATCAGTTTCAAGAGACTTTTAGGAAATGCAAAAATATAAGCATATTTTCACTTTATTAGAATATAATTAATATTATTTTGTAACGATTTTATTCCCAACATCACTGTGTTATTTCATTTAGTGATTTAAAAATGCCAAATATTTCTTAAATTATTGGGAATTTCCTTTTTTCCTGTTTCATGAATGATTCACAGTCAGGTGTTCATTTGGGTAGTGGAAGTGTTCACAGTAATTGGAAATATGCTTATAGTTGCCAATAAACTCTATCTGATCAGTGCAGATTATAAGAAGCAATAGAGATTATAAAAAGGCGCAGGCAATAGAGAAGTTCATACAAGTCTAAGATTGATCCATTATTGCTTTGCTATAAAAGTCAAAGAAAAGCCAAATAAGAATGTAATAATTTTATCAAATTATGAAGATAAATGAGAAAAATTGGCTGAGAACATATCATAGAATTTTGAAATTTGGACTCTATATATGTAATTGAGCAGTTTTCAATTGCATATAGAGAAAGAAGCAGATTGCTAAGGAAAGTAGAGTGTTTGCTAAATCTATCTCCAGAATAGAAAACATCATTGAGAAGTTGAAGATGGTGTCTTGAATGTTTAATAACATTTAAGAAAATACTTAAATTTATTTATTTATTTTTATTTTTTGCTGGTAGGGTTTTTTATTTCTTTTCCTTCCAACTTTTATGTTAGGTTCAGGGGGTACAGGTGCAGGATTGTTACACGGGTAAATTGTATGTCATTAAGGCTTAATGTAGAAATGATTTCATCACCCAGGTAGTAAGCATAGTATTTGATTAGGTGGTTTTGGTTCCTCACTCTACTCCCGATCTTCACCTTCAAATAGGCCCTGGTGTCTTTTGCTCCCTTCTTTGTGTTCATGGGAACTCCATGTTTAGCTTCCACCTATACAAGAGAACATGCAGTATTTTGTTTTCTGTTCCTGTGTAAGTTTATTTAAGATAAAGGCCTCCAGCTGTATCCGTGTTGCTGTAAAAGACATAATTTCATTCTTTTTTATGGCTGCATAGTAGTCCATGGTGTAAAAGTAACATTTTTTCTTTATGTAGTCCACTGTTGATGCATCTAAGTTGATTTCATGTTTTTGCTCTTGTGAAATAGTGCTGCAATGAACATACATGTGTATGTCTGATATGGTTTGGCTACGTCCCCACCCAAATCTCATCTTGCATTGTAGTTCCCACAATTCCTGTATGCCATGGGAGGGACCTGTTGGGAGGTAATTGAATCATGGGAGCAGGTCTTTTCTGTGCTATTCTCATGAGAGTGAATAAGTCTCACGAGATCTGATGGTTTTATAAAGAGGAGTTCTCCTGCACATGCTCTCCTTGCCTGCTGCCGTGTAAGACATGACTTTGATCCTCATTTGTCTTCTGCCATGATTGTGAGGGCCTCCCCAGCCCCATGGAACTGCGAGTCTATTAAAGCCTGCAAAACCATGGGACCAGAGCTGCCAAAGGTCATGAGAGCCCACCTCTTGCTCTGGATGTGAGACACGAAGTCACAGGAGATTATTATGGAAATTTAAGTTTTAATGACTGCCCTATTGGATTTTAGATTAGCATGGGGCCTGAAGGCCCTTTATTTTGGCCATTTTCTGCCATTTGCAATGGGTATATTTACCCAGTGCTGGTACCCCCATTGTATCTGGGATGTAACTAACTTGCTTTTGATTTTACAGGCTTATAGGCAGAAGGGACTTGCCTTGTCTGAGATGAGACTTTGGACTTTTGAGTTAATGCTGAAATGAGTTACAACTTTGAGGTACTGTTGGGAAGGCATGATTGGTTTTGGATTGTGAGGACATGAAATTTGGAAGGGGCCAGAGGTGGAATGATATGGTTTGGGTGTATCCCCACCCAAATCTCATCTTGAATTGTAGCTCCCATAATTCCCATGTGTCATGGGAGGGACCCGATGGGAGGTAATTGAATCATGGGGGAAGGTCTTTCCTGTGTTGTATTCATTGTAGTGAATAAGTCTCACATGATCTGATGGCTTTATGAGGGGGAGTTTCCCTGCACATGCTTTCCTTGCCTGCTGCCATATGAGACATGACTTTAGTCCTCCTTTGCCCTCCACAGTGATTGTGAGGATCCCCAGCCACGTGGAACTGTGAGTCCGTTAAACCTCTTTTATTTTATAAATTACCTCCTCTTGGGTGTGTCATTATTAGCAGTATAAGAACAGACTAATACAGTGTCTTTATAGTAGAACAATATATATTCCTCCTAGCCAGGACAATCAGGCAAGAGAAAGAAATAAAAGGCATCAAATGAGAAGAGAGGAAATCAAACTATCTCTCTTTACAGACGATATTACTCTATACTTAGGAAACCCTATAATATCTGCACAGAGGCTCTTAGAACTTATAAATAACTTCAGTCAAGTTTCAGATTACAACATTATTGTACAAAAAATAGTAGCATTTTTGTATACCAATAATGTCCCAGCTGAAAGCCAAATCAAGAACACAATCCCATTCACAATAGCCACAAAAAGACAAAAATAACTAAGAATACAGCTAACCAGGGAGGTAAAAGATCTCTACAATGGAATTATGAAACACTGCTAAGAAAATCAGAGATGACACAAACAAACAGAAAAATGTTCCATCCTCAAGACTCTTTAATATAAACATTATGAGAATGCTTCTAGATGGAAGAAAAGACAGAATTGTGTCCAGTGGAGTAATAGATGGATCGATGCCCCAGAGGAATATGAGAGAATAAACTATCAAAAATTAGGAGGCAATGCCTCTCAGCACTTTGGAAGGCCGAGGCAGGAGGCACTTGAGCTTAAGAGTTTGAAACCAATCTGGGGAATACAATGAGATCTTGTTTCTACAAAATATATATATATTAAAAAACTAGCTGGGCATCATGACACATGCCTGTAGTCCCAGCTCCTCAGAAGGCTGAGTCAGGAGAATTGCTTAATCCTAGGAAGTTGAGGCTGCAGTGAGCCATGATCATGTCACTGCACTCCAGCGTGCATGACAAAAGGAGACCCTGTCTTAAAAAAAATTAGGAGGCAAATTTAACCTTAAAATAATGTTTTGACTCATGTTTCTAAAAAAAAAGGTAAAAGGGAGAAAATAGATTAAAGTTAACAAGAATTTAGAGGTGAAGGGAAGAAGAAACATTGGACAGATGGATATTGAATTTTAATTTCAGAAGCAGAGAGTTTTTCTGCTGAGACCAAGAAAATTGAGGATGAGGTGTGTAGCTTTGGGTACTATTTAGCAGTTTTTTAAAAAATAACTGAAGCCAAGATCTTTATAATCTTTCCTAGTAGTGGAGTTTTCCTTGATACTAAAGAGCTTGAATGTAGAATAGATAGAAATGAAATAATTCCATGAGAATGTGGTTAAGTACTAAGAACAAAAAAGAAATGGTGAAAAATATTCATGATTTTTCATTGGCAAGACTGAAAGACAGAATTATAATAAAATAGCTTATGCTAGATTAGTAATAAGACTATATTTGCATCTCTGACCAGGTATAGATCACAAAAATAGACAAGTAAAATAAAGATGATCTGGTCTTCTTCAAGAAATATCTCAGTGAATATGCCTTATTCCATTTTGTGATGCTTTACTCTTCAACTTTCATGCATTCATCATGCTTCTCAGGAAGAAGGAGAAAAATAATGGAGGAATACAGAGAGAGTTTTACGAACAGACCTAGAAGAAATATATTAGTTTGTTCTCATGCTGATATAAAGAACTGCCCGAGACTCAGCAATTTATAAAGAAAAGACTTTTAATGGACTCATAGTTCTTCGTGGCTGGGGAGGCCTCAGGAAACTTATAATCATGGCAG